>NW_003571055.2:399095-729520 GCF_000001405.40 Homo sapiens | reverse complement strand
AAGCTTCAATCTTATCCTTTTAACCCTCAAACCTTTTAACCCAGTCCGACACCCAGCAGCGACTTAGACAATTGCATTAGAGCCTCTGGAAAACCAAGAGTTTAATCGTCCAGCCTTTACCCCTCTCGGGGGCCCAGAGATACTACCACTTCCTAACTTTCCCAGAAACTTGCCCCCAAGCCCTTGAAGTCCCAAGCCTGCTCCTCTGGGTCTCCAGGATCCCAAGCACCAGACTTGGGCTCTTCTTCAAAACCCAAAGGTCCAATTCCCCAGCCTCTCCCCTCCAATATCCAGGGCTCTGTCCTCCTAGGGAGCCCAGGCATGGTGCTTCCCAGGCCCTGGGAAAACAAACTGGCTTCTTCCAGCCTTTTGGGGATCCAGGGATCCAACCTCTCAGACTTTACCCACTCCCAGCCCCCTTCCTCCCTTAGGCCCAGGAATCCGGGTCTCCATTCCCAACTCCCTTAGCCCCAGAAGTCTGGGTCCCGCCCCCTCCCACCCTGCTCCTCCCTCTCTCCCAGCCCCGGCCCGCCCCATCACCATCTCACCCACCTGAGAAGAGCCAGGAAGACAGAAGGAAAAACACAGAAAAAAAGGGGGCGGAGTCAGCATCGGGAGCCCCCGGGACGCACCCCTCCTTGACCCCCTTGCCCTGCCCTGGGGCGGACACTCACCCATTGACAGCGACCTGGGGGGCGCTTTGCTGTAGGAAGTAAGACAGTCGGGTCAGGCGGGGCCAGGCGGACCGGCCGCGCCCCCGGACTTCCCAGCCTCGGCCCTGCTGTGTCGCTTGGGTCACCTGCCGGCGCCTCCGCTCGTGCTGTAGCTGTTTCTCAACTGGGTCCTCCCAGGCGCGGCTCTGCGGGTCAGTGACCGGCGGCTCCCAGCCGCTGAAGAACTCGGGTCTGTATGGGGGTCCCTCCTCCGGGGACAGCTCCAGCCTGCGGCCAGGGACAGGGCCAAGAGCTCAGGGATCCTGATACAGCCCCCAACTTCGTTCCTGCATTAACTTCACTAAGTTTTCCCCTAAAGCTCGCTGTATTCCAACGATTCTAGCCCCGCCACTTTTCACCAAGTCCTGCCGGTAGCTCTAAGCCCAACTCAACAGCAATTTATATTTCTAGACCGGGCACGGTGGCTCACGCCTGTAATCCCAGCATTTTGGGAGGCCAAGATGGGAGGATCGCTTGAGGCCAGGAGTTCCAGACCAGCCTGGGCAAAATATTGAGACCCCATCCATCTCTCTCTCTGGAAAAAAATTGCCTTATCCAGCCTCTAAATCTCACCTGATTCCAAATCAGGTTTTCCGTAAGGTCGGTTTCAGGTTCTGACCCTTTCCCTGCGGAACTGCCAGCCCGCAGTGCACAGACTCTGTCCCATCACCAAAGTTATAGACCAAACCTTCCAGAAGCCCCGCCCCTTCGCGTAGCCCCGCCCCTGCCCCGTAGCCCCTAGCCCCTCTATTCCTTTAAGCCCCCCTTTTCTTTCAATCCGATTGGTCTGGTGGTCTTAAATCTTTCCTTCACGTTAATTCCTGGCCTTTCCTCCAATTGAATCTTGGCATCTGTCCTAAGCCCCGCCCCAACACAACTAAGCCACGCCTCTAACCCCTCCCTACTCTCCTAGTCCTATTTTCCAATCATCATGCCACCCACCTCCCAGCGCCTTATGCTCCTCCAATCACCATGCCCCCTGCCTCCCAGCCCCGCCCCTCACCCGGGGCGGGTCCACGAGTCCCCCAGCGAGGTCCAGAGCTCGTTTTCACGTGGAGTGACGTTGTCCCGCAGCAGCGCCACGGCATCCGATGTCAGATGCGGCCGCCGCACACTGCTCGCGAACTCCGGCCCCCCCGACGTGTTCACAATCTGTCAGGGGAGCAGGAGGGGCAGGCTGTGCCGCCACACCTTCTACAAGTCGAACCCGATTCCTCCCGCTGCAGGGGGGCCCGAGGGCCTGGGGCGGGTCTCACCATCTGCAGAGGCCCGAAAAGGAAGTGCAACAGCTCCGGAGAGGAGGGGTCGGCGATGTTGCCGCGCAGCCGGGCCTGGGGCGTGGGGAGGGAGGTGGTTGGCGTGGGTGCGGGGACGGGACAGGTTCGTCGTGCCCGCGCCCCGGCCCAGGGGCGGGCGCGTCCTCACCAGCAGGCTGAAGGCGTACTTGATCTTCTGCAGCACGTCGGTGTACTCGGCCTCCGAGGGCGGCTTGGCCCGCAGCGTCAGCAAGCCCTCTGAGGGGAGCAGACGGGCGCGGCGATGGGGACGCGGGGCCAGCACCAGGCAGGCAGAGAGAGGTGGACACCCGGTTAAGATGGCGGTGAGGTCAGCCCTGGCAAGTGGCGGGAGGGGAGAGCCTGGGGAGAGCGGGGACATTTGGAAGAGATCGGGAGGGGGTTCAGATCCCACGCCAGGGTGCCCCTTACCCCCAGCCGCCCGGCGCCGGCTCCTGCGGCCGCGTTCCCGGTGCTCCAGCACCCTGGCCGCCTCCGCCGACTTCTGCAGCCTCGATACAAAGCTCTCTACGTCGTCGAACACGTGGTTCAGGATGTCCTAGGGGACAGAGGAGGGGGACGCTCAGGGCTCCCGAGTTCCAAAACCATCCCCGTCGAAGCCCTGAACCTGAGCACCTATACACTTCCCCAGATCAGGCCACGCCCCAAACACCTGGCCACGCCCCACAACCAAGCCCCGCCCCCGACCCAGCCCCTCTTCCATAACGCAGAAGTCTGACCAGAGAACGCCCGTCCCGCAGCCGGCCCCGCCCTTCCACGCCCTAGCCCCGCCTCCAGTCGCCTGGCCCTGCCCCCAGACCCCTTCCTTAGCGGCTCACCACTTCCCGCTCCGCCTGCAGAACCGCCAGGTCAGGACCCCGGGGACCCAGGTCCGGGGAGGCCGAGTCAGCGTTGCTCGAGGTCCCCACCGGCTCAGGCCTCTGCGCCTCCTCTGCCTCGGGAATGGGCTTCGCCTGGGGTCGTCCGCGGCCCGCGCCCCGCTCTACGGTGCTGATCACTGCGCGGACTGACGGGCGGCGCTGCAGGGGCGGGGTCTCAGCGGCGGGCGAGCGGTCGCGCTGCAACTCCTCCTGCGTGGCCCTGCGGAGGGCGACGGGGACACCAAGACTGGGTCCACTGAGGGGTCCAGGGAGGGGGAAATCCAGGGCGCAGAACGAGACACACAGGCTCAAAAGGCTCAAAGGGAGTGAACAAGTTCAACGAGGTAGGGAGAAATCCGATATACGGAGGGATAGCACCTCTCTAGAGTGAAACTGAGGGCCTGGACAGGGAACAGAGAAAAGAAGCAGAGTTCTGGAGAAGGGGTCAGCTCGTCTGGGAGGTACAGACAAGACTCGACTAGGGTGTGCTTGACTCCATGCAAAACTCTTGTTCTGTTCCAGGCTGGTGTTGTAGACTGAGGCACAAGGAGGGGAAACCGGCTTCCCAGAGACCCTGCCAACTTCTTCCCTCTCACCTGAGCGCCGCCGCCCTGCGCTCCCCGCGGCCCGAGCGGTAATTGTGCAGAGCCCCCTGGATGTCCTCTCGGATCAGCTCCGCCTGCCAATCACACCGTCAGGCCACGCCTCCCCACGCCGCACCCACTTCCTACCCGGGCCTCGCCCCTGGCCGATTTTTCAGCTCAGTCCCAGCCCACGTGCGGCTACCGTTCACACCTGTGAACCCACGCACGTCCACGCCCCGAACTCACCCCTCGCCCTACACCTGTCCCTGCCCTAAGCCACGACCCCGCCCATGGAGACCCAGTCCGGGTGGTTCCTCGCCCCCACCTCGTCCTGGCTGCTCCCCCAGATCCTTCTTGGCCATGTTCTGTTCATGTCCTCATCCCACCTTCATGTTCTATCTTGACCCTGGGTCCAATCTCAAACCCCACTGCCTTCCAGAACTTCCTTCCCAGGTCCCCTGCCCTTCCTTGCTCTGATCCCGCCTTAGCCCCAGGCCCCGCCCCACCTAGAGGCCCCACCCATTTCCGCCCCGGCTCCAGGCTCCGCCCAGTTCCAGCTCCACCCCCAGAGCCAGCCCATCTGCTCACCCCGAGGCGCAGGCCCTGGAAGAAGTGCACGTCGGGCTGCGCGCGCTCGGGTTCCTGGCACACGAGCAGCAGCAACGAGCGGCTCCTGCCGGGTGGCATCACCGCGTCACAGCGCACGATGGCGCCCAGTGGGTACGACTCCAGCTCCTCCTGCCGGGTGGGATGGCGGGGTAAACTGAGGCCCCGAAATGATGGTACTACTAAATGGCGACGGGAGTGTGGGCCAGCAGGTCAGGGCAACCTCAGGCGGTTAGGGGGTTAGGGATAACAGCCCTGTTTAATAGATGAGGCTATTAAGGCTCAAGAAGGGGGCTGGGGTCCCTCGCCAGAGTTCCCAGAGGAAGGACGTGCAGGAGCCAAGATTCACACCCAGACCCCCTGAAGTCCCTGCCCCAGACACTCCTCCCACCCACGTGCCCCCCGGCACCTTGGAGGCCGGGTCGAGCAGCGTGACATGGTCGGGAGACACTCGCAGCAGCATCTCCTGTGCCCAGACTCGGCCCTGGCTATCCATGACGGCCAACTTCCTGGAGGCATCCTCCACGGTATGCACGCCATCGTCCTCACCCAGGCAGAACGTCACCAGGTGCTGGTACGGACCATGGAGAAAGCAGTGAGGCCCAAGATGATGCCAGGTGGGCTCAGAATCCCCCAGAATAATCAGACTTTCAGCCTGAGACTAACCACACCTCCTCCAGGAAGCCTTCCTTGATCACCTGTTCCACAAATCAGCTCCTCCTCCCAGTGCCCTTTGTTTCCCTTTCATCAGAGTGACTAGCACCTGAGTCTGGCTTCTCACAGACTGGAGGCTCCTTGCGGGCAGGGAAGGAGTCTGGATTATAGCTCTCTCCTTCTAAATGCCTCCTCGGGTCTCCTGCCATGCCCCCTGCCACCTCCATTAGAGCACCAGGCGCCTCTGTGGATTCCTCTGGACCTTGTCTACCCCTTCCTCATGCAGGGCTGTGTCTTGATTTGCCTCCGTGGTCCCACTGTCCAGCACAACAGCTGGCCTGGAGGAAAGGCTGGCAGATTAAGTGGACCCGAGGCCCCTGGCTTCATATCCATGACTGAGGTGAGGCAACGGAGGTCCATTTTATGGATGGGCAAACTGACTTTCCACATGCTTCCTGCTTGGGGGCCTAGCTGCTTTCAAAAGCCCTATCTCCTGAGGCCACCTTTGCCCCAGAAGATGTCCTGGGGGAACACAGACCCCAGACTCACATTGACTGGGTACTGGGATACATCAGCCATAACAACTGTGGAGTAACGCTTCCTCTGCTCTGCCAGGGGAGAAAGAGAATGAGCCTGGGAGTCCAGGCCCAGCCCCTCCTCCATCAGACCCAGGAGTCCAGGCCCCCAGCCCCTCCTCCCTCAAACCTAGGAGTCCAGCCCCCCAGCCCCTCTTCCCTCTGACCCAGGAGTCCAGGCCCCCAGCCCCTCCTCCCTCAAACCCAGGAGTCCAGGCCCCCAGCCCCTCTTCCCTCTGACCCAGGAGTCCAGCCCCCCAGCCCCTCCTCCCTCTGACCCAGGAGTCCAGACCCCCAGCCCCTCTTCCCTCTGACCCAGGAGTCCAGGCCCCCAGCCCCTCTTCCCTCTGACCCAGGAGTCCAGGCCCCCAGCCCCTCTTCCCTCTGACCCAGGAGTCCAGCCCCCCAGCCCCTCTTCCCTCTGACTCAGGAGTCCAGACCCCCAGCCCCTCTTCCCTCTGACCCAGGAGTCCAGCCCCCCAGCCCCTCTTCCCTCTGACCCAGGAGTCCAGCCCCCCAGCCCCTCTTCCCTCTGACCCAGGAGTCCAGCCCCCCAGCCCCTCTTCCCTCTGACCCAGGAGTCCAGCCCCCCAGCCCCTCTTCCCTCTGACCCAGGAGTCCAGCCCCCCAGCCCCTCTTCCCTCTGACCCAGGAGTCCAGGCCCCCAGCACCTCTTCCCTCTGACTCAGGAGTCCAGGCCCCCAGCCCCTCCTCCCTCAAACCTAGGAGTCCAGCCCCCCAGCCCCTCTTCCCTCTGACCCAGGAGTCCAGACCCCCAGCACCTCTTCCCTCTGACTCAGGAGTCCAGACCCCCAGCCCCTCCTCCTCCAAGACCCTGGATGCCAGGTCCTGTTTCTTTAGACCCAGTTCTATGGGCCTGGGGCTCCCTTGCCCCCCGCTCACCATAGATAGACTTGGCGCTTGGCTTTGGGGCAGCTTCTGGGCTGGTGAAGAAAAGAGGAATGAGAGAGACTGTGGGACTGGGGGCAGATCCTGTGGAAATGCCAAGCAGGGCAGCAAGGGCTTCATGACGAAGGTAATGGGGAGCGATGGAAGGGTTATTATTATTATTATTATTATTATTATTATTATTATTATTGAGCAGGAGAGCTCAGAGCCAGAGCTGGACTTTAAGAAGACAGGTAGGCTGGGCGCGGTGGCTCACGCCTGTAATCCCAGCACTTTGGGAGGCAGAGGTGGGCGGATCACAAAGTCAAGAGATTGAGACCATCTTGGCCAACATGGTGAAACCCTGTCTCTACTAAAAATACAAAAATTAGCTGGGTGTGGTGGTGGGCGCCTGTAGTGCCAGCTACGTGGGAGGCTGAGGCAGGAGAATCACTTGAACCTGGGAGGCGGAGGTTGCAGTGAGTCCAGATCGTGCCACTGCACTCCAGCCTGGCAGCAGAGTGAGACTCCATCTCAAAAAAAAAAAAAAAAAAAAAAAGACAGGTCAGGTCAGGCGGTGGTGCTGGGTGGTAGGGGAGTGTGATCTCTACCATGGCATAGTCCGGGATTCAAACCCTCTGTCTACTGCCTCCTTGCCATAAGACCTTCAGAAGAGGATTTAATCTCTCCTGCCTCAGTTTTTCTTTCTGTAACGTAGTAACCATCTGGTAGGGCTGTTGGGCAAATTCAGTCAGATGATGCAGGTGAAGTATTTTGAAGCCTCAATAACTGTTATTATCATTCTTAAGATGCTGCCAGGGCTTAGCACACAGAAGTTGCTCAATAAATGGGAATGGTTATAATAGCATTAGTGGTATCTGAAGTAGACAGGGAATTATCTGCTTCCCCTCCCACTCCCATGGGCCAGGTGCTTCCCAACCACATCCTTCTCTGTCTCCTCCCGTCCTCAATTTCTTCCTAAGATTACCTTTCCTAAGAATTCTTGAATCCCCACTTGCATGCACATAACAGAAGCTCAGCGATCAGGTGGCGTCAGGGGAACTGAAAAACCCTTTTTCCCAAACTCCTGTTCCTCATCCTGCTCCTGCCAGTCTGATGTCACCACAATTTGATTACCTCTGGGCCAGAGAGCTCACTACCTACCATGCAGGTATTTTGACTCATCTCTCATTGTTTTTCTCCCTGCTTACTCTGGGGGACTTGAGTCTTCATTATAAACAGCCCTGATTTTCTAGCAAAGGGTTAATATTTACTAACAACATAACAATCGCAATAGCGACTCCTATGAGTTGAGCACCTGCTGTCAGTGAGGTGGTCAGCTAAGTCCTGTAATGCACTATCCCTCCAATTTTTCAACATTGTCCCTGTGTCACAGAGGAGGGGCTGAGGCTCCAGGAGGTGATGTCCTCTGACCAGGGTTACATCAGCACTGAGTGTGAGGGCCGAACTGGAGCTCAGGCCTGTCTGCTCTGCAGTGGGGGCCCCTAACCCCAGGCTGGGCAGGGAGGAGAGAGGCTCTGGCTTCCTCCTGAGTGTCGGGGCTTGGGCCAGAGTCTGGGCCGCCGCAAACAGTCTGGGCTGCCGCAAGCGGGTGTGGGTGAGGAGGCGAGGGGAGGCGGGAGGCGTGCTGGGGCTGGGACCTGGGGTCCGGGGGCGCTTACCCTGTGGCGGTGCTCATGGTGCTGAGTGGTAGCTCCTGCCCACCTGGAGGTGCCCTGGGAGCCAGCAAACATGTGAAGGCCTGGCCAGTAGGAGCCTCTAATTCCTACCCCAGCCTCCTCCCTCAATGCAGGCATCCAGGCCCCAGCCCCTCCTCCCTCAGGCCCAGGAGTCCAGGCCCCCAGCCCCTCCTCCCTCAGACCCAGAAGTCCAGGCCCCAGTCCCTCTTCCCTAGACCCAGGAGTCCAGACCCCAGTCCCCTCCTCCCTCAGACCCAGGAGTCCAGACCCCAGTCCACTCCTCCCTCAGACCCAGGAGTCCAGGCCCCATCTCCTCCTCCCTCAGACCCAGGAGTCCAGGCCCTCAGCCCCTCCTCCCTCAGACCTAGGAGTCCAGGACCCCAGGCCCTCCTCCCTCAGACCCGGGAGTTCAGACCCCCAGCCCGTCCTCCCTGAGACCCTGGAGTCCAGACCCCAGTCCCCCCGTCCCTCAGACCCATTGGTCAAGCCCCGGCCCCCTTCTCTCCTGACCCGGATCTCCTTACCTGCCTGCTCAGGCTCTGCCCTGCTCTCCGCTGTCCTTTCCCTTCCAGGCTGCCGGCCCCTCCTCCTGCTCCCTCCCAGGGCCGTCCTGCCTCCGCCTCCGCCTCCGCATACCTGAGCATTCACCTGGCACAGCCTGGCTGGAGTGACCCCGGGGCGGGGCTGGCAGACAGATCTAGGAGGGGCTGGGGGGACTGCAGGGGAGCTGGGAAACTAACTGTCTGCCTTGTAGCAACAGAATAATAGCAACGAACAGTACATTTGATGTCACACTTGTTCACAGGTCAGAGTTGAAAGCTCTGTCTTTAAAACTCCCTTGAAATTCTAACAGCGGGAGGAAGTTCGAGGTTTGATTCCTGCTTGACAGATGAGGAAGCTGAAGGCCAGAGAGGTTGAGCAACTTGTCCATTTCAGCACTTGGTTAAGGAGGGATTTGAACCCGGGGCTGACCTTCTGTCTCCAGGGCCAGTGGCAGCCCGTCTTCTATGGACACCTCCTGCCCACGATCACTGCCTCTGCTCATGCCCTTACCTCCCCACCCATCCCGTTCCACCTTCCTTTGGAAATTTCCCTCAATGACCCCCCTATTCTGACAAAAGCTAAGATTTAGCTCGATAATGCCTGGCCCAGCTCCAAGGACATCACAAAAATGAACAGGCTTTCCAGGCATAAACACCTTTCTGAAATCACTTTTCCAGAACTCCCTCCATGCTGTAGAGGTTACTAGCAAAGCTTTCCACATCATTTCTCCCCAGAGCCCCGTGAGGGGAGTGTGTCTGGGTGGGAGGCTGTCTTCGTCTCACAGATGAGAAAATGAGGAAGAGAAGGGTTAAGAAACTTGCATGGGTACAGTGGCTCACATCTCTAATCCCAGCACTTTGGGAGGCCGAGGCAGGCAGATCACCTGAGGACAGGAGTTCGAGACCAGCCCAGCCAACATGGTGAAACCCCATCTGTACTAAAAACACAAAAATTATCCAGGTGTGGTGGCGGGTGCCTGTAATCCCAGCTACTCAGGAGGCTGAGGCAGGAAAATCACTTGAACCCGGGAGGCAGAGGTTGCGGCGAGCCGATAATTGCACCACTGCACTCCAGCCTAGGCAAGAGAGCGAGGCTCCATCTCAAAAAACAGAAAACAGGCCGGGCGCAGTGGCTCACACCTGTAATCCCAGCACTTTGGGAGGCCGAGGCGGGTGGAACACGAGGTCAGGAGATCGAGACCATCCTGGCTAACACGGTGAAACCCCGTCTCTACTAAAAATACAAACAATTAGCCGGGCGTGGTGGTGGGCACCTGTAGTCCCAGCTACTCGGGAGGCTGAGGCAGGAGAATGGCGTGAACCTGGAAGGCGGAGCTTGCAGTGAGCCGAGATTGCGCCATTGCACTCCAGCCTGGGCGACAGAGCGAGACTCTGTCTCAAAAAAGAAGAAAAAAAAAAAGCTGACATCTTGCAAGGCCTTAAGGGACGTGATTCTGATCTCATCTCTTCCTTCTGTGTGTCAGCACACTGGCCTCCTTGCTGCTCTTGGAACATCCAGACCCGGTCCTGCCTCAGGGCCTTTGCACTTGCTGTTTCCTCTGCCTGGAATGCTCTTCTACCAGATACCCTCATGCCTCACTTTCTTGCCTCCTTTGATCTTTGCCTGAATGTCACCTTCTCAGAGGACTGGCTGACCACCCTGTTTCAAATGGCGGCATCCCTTACTCGACTTCTTTTGTTTTTTTTGAGACAGAGTTTCACTCTTGTTGCCCAGGCTGGAGTGCAGTGGCGCAATCTTGGCTCACCGCAACCTCCGCCCCCCCAGGTTCAAGTGATTCTCCTGCCTCAGCCTCCTGAGTAGCTGGGACTACAGGCGCGCGCCACCACGCCCGGCTAATTTTGTACTTTTAGTAGAGACAGCATTTCACCATGTTGGCCAGGATGGTCTCGATCTCTTGACCTCGTGATCTGCCCGCCTCGGCCTCCCAAAGTGCTGGGATTATGGGTGTGAGCCACCGCCCCCGGCAACCCAACTTCTTTGTAGTCTCTTTCCTCTCTCCCTACTTCATTTTTGTGTGGAGAACTTTTCACCTTCTTACCCACTGTGTTCCTGGTTCATTTTGTCTGTGTCTCCTCCGTTAGAATGCAAGCTTCACAGGCTGGGCACGGTGGCACATGCCTGTAATCCCAGCACTTTGGGAGGCTGAGGCGGATTGATCACTTGAGGTTGGGAGTTCGAGACCAACCTGGCCAACATGGTGAAAGCACGTCTCTACTGAAAATATGAAAATTAGCCGGGGGTGGTGGTGTACACCTGTAATCCCAGCTTCTTGGGAGGCTGAGACAAGAAAATTGCTTGAACCCCGGAGGTGGAGGTTGCAGTCAGCCGAGATCACACCATGTCACCAACATGATAAAACCCCATTTCTACTAAAAAAAAAAAAATTAGCCAGAGTTGGTGGTGCACACCTGTAATCCCAGCTTCTTGGGAGACCAAGGCAAGAGAGTCACTTGAACCTGGGAGGTGGAGGTTGCAGTGAACCGAGATGATCGTGCCACTGCACTCCAGCCTGGGTGACAGAGCGAGACTCCATCTTAAAAAAAAAAAAAGCGGCCGGGTGTGGTGGCTCACGCCTGTAATCCCAGCACTTTGGGAGGCCGAGGCGTGTGGATCACGAGGTCAGGAGATTGAGACCATCCTGGCTAACATGGTGAAACCCCGTCTCTACTAAAAATACAAAACAATTAACCAGGCTTGGTGGTGGGTGCCTGTAGTCCCACCTACTCCGGAGGCTGAGGCAGGAGAATGGCGTGAACCCGGGAGGTGGAGATTGCAGTGAGCCAAGATTGCTCCACTGCACTCCAGCCTGGGTGACAGAGCAAGACTCCATCTCAAAAAAAAAAAAAAAAAAATGCAAGCTTCACAAGGGCAAAGATTTTTGTGTGATCAGTCCTCCACTTAATCTGCAGCACACAGAATTGGGTCTAGCACATAGAAAGTGTTGGAGAGATACTTGTTGAGTAAACGAGCTTTTGGCATTTGGTGCATTCATGTGCATTACTGCTTTGTTGCTTCATTCAAGATATGTTGCCTCCACGGTCTATGCTGAGTGAGCCTGGAAATCAGAGAAGGCACATTTTTGCCTTCGATTGATGGGGATGAAGGAACAGAGAGAAAGAGATATAGTGTGGTCTGATGGCAGAGAGCCTCGGGCAGGTGTGGGTCTGAATCCTGGCTTTGCCACTTGATAATTTTGGAGATACTTATTGTGTGCTTATATCTTCTCAGTACATCATAAATGTGTGTGTGTGTGTGTGTGTGTGTGTATGCATAATCCTCACCACATCCTATGGAATGGGTCCTATTATCCCCATTTTTTTTCTTAATTGAGACAAGGTCTAGTTCTGTGGCCCAGGCTAGAATGCAGTGTCATAATCACAGCTCACTGCAGTCTCGACCTACTGGGGTGATCCTCCCATCTCAGACTATATATAAATATATATACACATATATATAGTAGAGTCTCCTTATGTTGCCCAGGCTGGTCTCCAACTCCTGGGCTCATGTGATACTCCTGCCTTATCCTCCCGAAGTGCTGGGATGACAGGCATGAGCCACCCACCACACCCAGCTTATTGGGAGGATAAAGTCAGGTTATAGAGAGTTGTCAATACAGTACCTGGCAAAGAGGAAACGCAAGGCTGGTGTTAGCAATGGCGAGGACGATGGCCTTTCTTCCCATGCGTGCTGCAAGGGAGGACACGAGGGGCTCTGCCAAGGCCAGGAGAGGCTGCTGAGGGTCAGGACAGGCTGCCTGGAGGAGGAGGACAGGCTGCCTGGAGGAGGAGGGCAGGCCAGGAATCACCTTGAAGGATGAGTTTGACAGCCAGTGTCAATCCTAGAAGATAGGGGTGTTCTGGGCCCTGCAACTGCCTGAGTGAAGGATGGGGGCTGCAGGGGTGGCCAGCGGGGCTAGACTGTGAGCTCCTGGCTACCCAGCAGGTGGTCCTGGTGCGTGTAGCAGCGGGTGGGGGAGGTAGGGGTGGAAGGAGGGCCCTTACGCTTCTCTTTCTTTGGCTTCTGCAATTCTGTGTTCTCATCACATTCATGCCACAAGTATTTTCTGTGCTTGACTGTACCTGAGTTGGGGTTTGAGGGAAGGAGCAGACCCCTTGCCCCATTGACAGGAGAAAACAGAGGCTCAGAGAGGGAAGTCAGTAGCCTAAGGTTACAGTGGCCCTGGGCTGTGACACAGATGCAGATCTGACTGGGCCTGGGCTCATTTCTTCATGAACAAGGGGAGAAAACTATCTCATAGAAGCATTTGGTATGGGTCCGAGGCCTTTGGGTCTGAGGGAGGAGGGGCTGGGGTCTGGACTCTTGGGTCTGAGGGAGGAGGGGCTGGGGGCCTGGACTCCTGGGTCTGAGGGAGGAGGGGCTATCTCATTGCTTTGGGGGTGGCGCAGGCGGCCCTCCAGGCCATGGTCTGGAGCAGCAGGTGAGACCGAAACCCGAGCCTCCACCCAAGTCCCAAGTCCCAGGGCCCAGGGCCTCTTTCCTCCTTCTCTGGCCGCAAAGGAGGCCCCTCCCTCTCTGTAACCCACAGCAAATGCCTCCCAAATACCAGTCAAAGTGTCCACCCCTGCACAGTCTGACTCAGCCAGTCCAGGGCGGAGGCAGTAAAGCCCTGTCTTGGCAAGTCACCAGGGAAATCCATCACCGAAGCACCTCTCTCCCCCCTCGGCCTGGCTATTCTGTCATTGGCACCTGTTCTTGGGTGAGTGACAGGGCTCTGTGGTCAGGGTTTGCCTCTGTCCCAGTCTGGGATAGCTGTCTTGGGGGGCTGGCCTTTCTTCCCTCTCACCTGGGATGTCCCAGGAACGGAACAGAATTCTCCCCTGGGGCTTGAAGAGCTCACCCCCCATCTCCTCCGTTATCCCCACCCCCACACCACCCAACACACATCCTCTAGTCTGTAGGATTTGCTGACAAATTCCTATGACAGCCGGATGTGGTGCCTCACACCTGTTACCCAGCATTTTGGGAGGCCATCACTTGAGATCAGGAGTTCGAGACCAGCTTAGCCAACATGGTGAAACCCCATCTCTACAAAAGTAGCTGGGTGTGGTGGCGTGCGCTTGTAGTCCCAGCTACTAGGGAGACTGAGGCAGGAGAATCACTTGAACCCGGGAGGCAGAGGTTGCAGCGAGCCATTGCGCCATGCACTCCAGGCTGGGTGACTGACTGAGATTCTGACTCAAAAAAAAAAAAAAATCCTATGACAAGGAGAAAGGTCAGATTCCCTGGCAATGGGAGCTGAGGCATGTTCTTGAGAAGGAGGGAGGTTATAAATTAGATGGGGCTGGGTCTCAGAGAGATATAGCTACTTACATATTAAATAATGAGGCTGAGTGTGGCGTCTCACACCTATAGTCCCAGTACTTTGGGAAGCAGAGGCAGGAGGATCCCTTGAGCCTAGGAGTTTGAAACCAGCCTGGGCAACATAGGGAGATTCCATCCCTACCAAAAAAAAAATTAAAAATTAGCCAGGCATAGTGGCCTGCATCTGTGGTCCTAGCTGCTTGGGAGGCTGAGGTGGGAGGATTGCTTGAACCTGGGAGGTCAAGGTACAGTGAGCCACGATTGCACCACTGCACTCCAGCCTGGGTGACAGAGCAAGACCTTGTCTCAAAAAAAGTAATTAATTTATTTATTCAATACGTAGCTCCTGAGACAAAATGTGTGCCGTACTCTAGACCCTGCTGGTGTGCACAATTCATGGGGGATATGTGCGCTAATGGAAGTGTGGCACAGGGCAAGGGTGTCCCCAGAGAAAGCCCTAATCCAGCTTTATGGGTGGTTGTATGAGGCACAGAAGCCTTTCCTGGTTAAGGGATAAATGGATGGGGTTTCAAAGGATGAATAGGAGTTTGCCAAGGACAATGAAGCAAAGATTGACATTCTAAGCATTGGGAGTGTCCTATGCAAAATCCCAAAGTGATGTAGTAGCAAATACTTAAGCACCTACAGTGTGCCAAGCATGTTTCATGTGCTGGAGATACAGAGGAGGAGGAGACAGATGAAACCCCAGCCCTTGTGATATTGTCATCCTAGTAGGTGTGGTGGGGAGATAAACAAGTAGACACCTGCATGAATAAGACTTTCAGATTGTGGTAAACCCTGTGGAGGAAACGAAACAGGTGAAGGAACGGCGTGACTAGGAGCAGGCAGGTGCGGCTGCTTCAGGTAGGGTGGTCAGGGAAGGAGGCGGCATCTGAGCTTTGACCTCAATTTCGAGAATGAGCCAGGAATGCAGAGAGGATTTCAGGCAGAGGAAACCTTAGGGAGGCTGGCGGGTTAAATCTGCAGGGGTGTGGCTGGCCGGAGGAAGTGAGGTGTGAGACAGTCACGTTGATGGTGACA
The DNA here is from genome assembly GCF_000001405.40 of Homo sapiens. Classification (NCBI taxonomy): domain Eukaryota; kingdom Metazoa; phylum Chordata; class Mammalia; order Primates; family Hominidae; genus Homo; species Homo sapiens. The sequence goes on along the minus strand of NW_003571055.2, from coordinate 714,718 downwards.
GCAGCAGTGACCGTAGCAGCCTAGAGGTGGCCGAATGCTTACTCTAATGGGCTGGCCCATCCCTGAGTGTCTAGAGTTCCCAGCCCGCTTAAGGAAGGAAGGAAAACACAGGCAGCTCTAAGTGTACGACGAGGGAGGTCTCATCGGCGGTGAGGAAGCCCAGGCGGGTCCCCTTCCCAGCTGAAAGGGGTTCGGGTAGGTTTTTCCTGGGCGTTCCTCTGAGAACAGCCAGCCCTGGTGAGAGTGCGGGGAGAGGCGCTTATGACACAGGGAGGGTGGGTCTGGGAACCAGCCTGGCAGGAGGAGGAGGGAGACTGCCGGTGGCCGGGAGCTGTTTGTTCTCTGGGAGGGATCGTGGCGGGGTGGTTTGTGCAGCCCTTTCCTGAAACCGGAGGAGCCTGGCTCCTTCCCAGGTCTCTGGGGGATGGGTCGGGGCGGGGGGTGGTGACGGGGATAGGACCCCAGACAGACTTGAGTTTGGATCCTGGGTTGGAGCCGGTGACTTCACTCTCAGCTCCCTGAACATCAGGGCCTGCCTTTCTTCCCTCCCTTCCCCTCCCCTCCCCTCCCCTTCCTTCCTTCCTTCCTTCCTTCCTTCCTTCCTTCCTTCCTTCCTTCCCTTCCTTTCCCTTCCCTCCCTCCCTTTATTCTTTTCTTTTTTTCTTTTCTTTTCTTTCTTTCTTGACAGAGTCTTGCTCTGTCGCCCAGGCTGGAGTGCAGTGGCGCGATCTCGGCTCACTGCAAGCTCCGCCTCCCGGGTTCACGCCATTCTCCTGCCTCAGCCTCCCGAGTAGCTGGGACTACAGGCACCCGCCACCGTGCCTGGCTAATTTTTTTGTATTTTTAATAGAGACGGGGTTTCACTGTGTTAGCCAGGATGGTCTCGATCTCCTGACCTCGTGATCTGCATGCCTCGGCCTCCCAAAGTGCTGGGATTACAGGCCTGAGCCACAGTGCCCGGCCTCCTCTTTCTTTTTTTGAGACAGAATCTCACTCTGTCACCCAGGCTGGAGTGCAGAGGTGTGGTCTCGGCTCACTGCAACTTCCGCCTCCCAGGCTCAAGCGATTCTCCTGCCTCAGCCTTCCGAGTAGCTGGGACTACAGGCGCGTGCCACCATGCCCAGCTAATTTTTTGGTACTTGTAGTAGAGACAGGGTTTCACCATGTTGGCCAGGCTGGTTTCAAACCCCTAATCTCCAGTGATCTGCCTGCCTTGGCCTCTCAAAGTGCTGGGATTAAAGGCGTGAGCTACCGTGCCAGGCCGTGGAGTAGCTAAACTTATCTTACACTGCTGAGGTCTCTCAAGATGTGTGTAGGGAGAGAGAGTTGGGGGGAGAGAGAGAGACAAAGGAAAAGAGGAAGAGAGAGACAGGGAGAAAGAGAGGAAGAAAGAGAAAGAGAGAAACAGGAAGAGTGAGAGGAGAAAGAGAGGAAGGGGGAGAGAAAGAGAGATGGGGGAGAAAGAGAGAGAGAGAAGGAGACACAGGAGGGGGAGAGAAAGAGGGAGAGAGCAATGAGAGAGATATGAGACAGAGAAGAGAGAGAGAGGAGACACGGAGGAGGGGGACAGAAAGAGGGAGACAGAGAGATGAGAGAGAGAAAAGACACAGATGAGGGGGAGAGAAAGAGGGAGAGAGAGATGAGAGAGAGATTGATAGCACCCAGCTAATCAATCAGTGGCTTTAGTGCCATGAGCTGGAAGGGAGGAATGGATACTGGGGAACAGTTGGTTGACTTTCCCTGGTGGGACAGCCCCTCTTTCTAGAACTACCTTTCCTATGTCCCCTGTGCTTCTCTCCAGTCCATACTCTACATCTCAGCCAGAAAAGAAGAAATTCTAAAACATGTATCTGCCCGTGACATGACCCTCCTTGGCTCAACACTCTTCAGCGGTACCCAGCGCCCTCTGAGTCAACGCCAAGCTTCCTACCATGGCATTGGAGCCGCGCTCTGGGTCCTTTTACTGATGGCTCCCGCCTCAGCCCTTCCACCCCCTCCCATACCCTGCATGCCAGCCCAGGCAGCCCTCCCTCCTCCCACAATATCTCTCATATGCATTCCTGTCCCATGCCTTCTGCTTAAGCTGTTCCCACAGCCCGGAGTCTCCTCCCTGGCTGAGGGAAATCTTGCCGGCTCACATGGCCGTGATCCCCATCATTTCCTGCAGAAAGCTTGCCCAGCTCTCCGACACGGGGACCTTCTGCCCCTCCTGAGCCCTGAGTCCCCTCCATCTTAACTGGGAGGTCACCTGTTTGCGTGGTGTCTGCTCAGCTTGCAGGCAAGGCCACCAACACCCTCCTTTCCTGTCTTTCCTTCCTACCATCCTCTCCTGTCCACCCTCTGCCTCTCCCTCCCTTCTTCTCTTCTTTCCTTCTAGTTACTGAGCCATGCATGTGTTGCATGCAGCAAGGATGAATAAAATAAAATAAACCTACAGCAATCATTCCAGTTACTATGGCCATATAACAAATTATTCTAAAACTCAGTGGCTTCAGACAAGGATCATATCTATTTTACTCAAAAACCTACCATCTGCACAGGCCTTGGTGGAGGCAGCTTATCTGTGTGCCCTTTGGTGATGGCTGGGGCTGTCAAGAAGCTGGGGCAGTGCTTGGGCTGCAAAGACTCAAATGGCTGGAGTCTGGGACCACTGGAGCTCCTTGCCCCCCTTTGCTTATCTCTACACAGCCACAGGGTCGCTAAACTTACCTTACACTGCTGAGGCCTCTTAAGATGTGTGTAGGGAAAGAGAGTTGGGGGGAGAGGGAGAGAGAGAACAGAGAGAGAGAGACACACACAAGAAGAGAGAGAGGAAGAAAGAAGGAGAGAGAGGAAGAGGAAGGGAGAGGAAGAGAGAGAGAAAGAGAAAGAGGGAGAGAGAGAGGAGAGAAAGAGACAAGAAGAGAGGAAGAAAAAAGAGGAAGAGAGGGATAGAGGAAGACAGAAGGAGGGAGAGGGAGAGAGGAAGAGAGAGGAAAGAGAAAGGAAGGGAAAGAGAGATGTGAGAGAGAGGGAGAGAGAGAGAGAAAAGAGGACAGAGGAAGAGAGAGAGGAAGAGAGAGGGAGAGAGAGGGAGAGAAGACAGAGAGGGAGAGAGGAAGAGAAAAGGAGACAGAGAGAGGAGAGATAGAGAAGAACGAGAAAGGAGAGACAGAATGTGAATGAGAATTGGGTGCCATAAACCCTCTGATGGGGAAAGCAAAGGGCATTGTGGGAGAATCCTCTCAGCACCTGGGACAGCACCCAGTGCTGATCAGGAACATGTTAACAACCAGGAAAATGGTAAAGGCGTGGACAGCCCACCTGGAGTCCAAACAGATGTTCTAACTCCCTTGGGTGTGTCTGGGAATCAGGTAGGAGATCCTCAGAGGAGGAATATGCATGCATTGTTCTCTTTATAATAACCATATTAACAGCCAGCAATGTTCTGGCACTTACTATGGATTAAGTCCTTGTTATGAATGACTTCATGCCATCCTTCCAAATTCAATGACAGGTAGCTGGGCGCAGTGGCTCACGCTTTGTAATCCCAGCACTTTGGGAGGCTGAGGCAGGTGGATCACCTGAAGCCTGGAGTTCAAAACCAGCCTGGCCAACATGGTGAAACCCCGTCTCTACTAAAAATACAAAAATCAGCCAGGTGTGGCGGCGAGCGCCTGTAATCCCAGCTACTCATGAGGCTGAGGCAGGAGAATCGCTTGAACCCAGGAGGCAGAGGTTGCAGTGAGCTGAGATTGCATCACTGCGCTCCAGCCTGGGCATCGGAGAGAGACTCTCAAACAGGAGCTGGCGAACTGTGGCGCACTGCTTATTTTTATAAATAAAGTTTTATGGGAACACAGCTGTGCTCACTTGTTTTCACATCATCTGTGGCTGCTTCCCAGCTCCTCTGGCAGAGGAGGTGCAACAGCCACTGTGTGGATCACAAAGCTGAAATTATTTACTATCTGGCTGTTTGTAGAAAAAGTTTGCTGATCTCTGTCCTGGAAGTCAATGATATTAGGATTTCAGTTTACAGAAAAGGAGAAAAAGACAGGGAAAAACAGTGTTGTTTTTTTTTCAAGGTTGAGAAAATGAACATCTGAACCAATTGCCCATGTTATTAAATGTAAACATTTATTATTATTATTTTTGAGATGGGGTCTTGCTCTGTCACCCAGCCTGGGGTGCAGTGGCACAATCACAGCTCATCATAGCCTTGACCTCCTGGGCTCAAGCAGACCTCCCACCTCAGCCTCCCAAGTAGCTGAGGGTGCAGATGCGTGCCACCAAACCTGCTAATTTTTGTATTTTTTGTAGAGATAAGGTTTTGCCGTGTTGTCCAGGCCGCTCTCAAACTCCTGGGCTCATACTATTCTCCACTTTGGCCTCCCAAAGTGCTGGGATTACAGGCATGAGCCACCATGCCCAGTCTAAAATTTTTCTTTATTTTTAGTTTGGTAAACTATGCATAAAGTAAAATGTACCATCTTAACCATTTTAAGTGTACAATTCAGTGATGTTAAGTATATTCACATTGTTGTGCAACCATCACCACCGTCCACCTTCAGGTCTTTTTTTTATTTTGCAAAACAAACTCTGTATCTATTAAAAAACAGCTTCCCGGCCGGGTGCGGTGGCTCATGCCTGTAATCCCAGCACTTTGGGTGGCCGAGGCAGGTGGATCACCTGAGGTCAGGAGTTTGAGACCAACCTGGCCAACATGGTGAAACCCCGTCTCTACTAAAAATACAAAAATTAGCCGGGTGTGGTGACACGTGCCTGTAGCCCCAGCTACTCGGGAGGCTGAGGCAGGAGAATCGCTTGAACCTAGGAGGCAGAGGTTGCAGTGAGCTGAGATCGCCCACTGCTCTCCAGCCTGGGTGACACAGTGAGACTGTCTCTCAAAAAACAAAACAAAACAAACAAACAAACAAAAACAAATCCTGTGACTTCCCAATCTCATCTCCAGCCCCCTGCAGCCACCACTCTGTTTTCTGTCTCTATGAATTTGACTCCTCCAAGTGCCTCTTATACAGCATTTGGCATTGTGTAACTGGTTTAATACGTTTGAGATGGTGAGAGCTTAAGGTCTACAGGCCTAAGGTTTTTTTTTTTTTGACAGAATTTCACTCTGTCGCCAGGCTGGAATGCAGTAGGGCAATCTCGGCTCACTGCAACCTCCACCTCCCGAGTTCAAGTGATGCTCCTGCTTCGGCCTCCTGAGTAGCTGGGACTACAGGTGAGTGCCACCACATCCAGCTAATTTTTGTATTTTTAGTAGAGACAGGGTTTCACCATGTTGGCCAGGCTGGTATCAATCTCCTGACCTCGTGATCCATCTGTCTCGGCCTCCCAAAGTGCTGGGATTACAGGCGTGAGCCACCGTGCCCGGCCATTGACTAAGGTCTTAAAATAGCTCTTCCTGCCTGTATAATCTCCATTATGGCAGGGCTCATATAAGAAGATGACAGTTCATCTGATGAGGAAGAAAACTTACTCCTAGTTAGATTGGGTTGAATTCTTCCCTGTTTCCAGCGGTGTCTGCTCCTGGCACCTCAGGCACAGTCAGGGGTAGGAGGTGGTGATCAGATACACTCGCTGTGAGCAGTGCAAGGGGAAGCAGGTGCCCAGAGGTGCATCCCGGTTTGGTGGGGGTGACAAACATGGACAGGTAAGTGCAGGAGTGTGTGCAATACTCAATCTAAGAAAGGTAGTTCAGGCAGAGTTCAGGGAAGATATCTCTGTGCAGGGCCAGACATGGGGATGAGATTCTGATAATTTGGGAATGAATCAGGCCCCCAGCCCCTCCTCCCTCAGACTCAGCAGTCCAGGCACCCGGCCCTCCTCCCTCGGACCCAGAAGTCCATGCTCCCAGCCCCTCCTCCCTTGGACCCAGGAGTCCAGGCCCCCAGCCCCTCCTCCCTCAGACCCAGGAGTCCAGGCCCCCAGCCGCCTTCTCCTGCAGGACCCCAGGAGCTTGGGTACCCACAGGCTACTAGATCCTTGTTTCTGTGCATGGAAATTCTCAAATTATCTCCAAAAGTCTATGAAGAAGGTAAACACACATTTCCAGATGAGGGAATAGGCTGATATAGTTGAAAGACACACAGAGGGTCACAGTCTGGAATTGACAGTGGTGGGATTCGAACCTATTTCACTCCAGAACTGCGTAGCGCCTTATACGCTGCGGCAAGTGTGACGTCATTCGAACAAACCATAGGCCCCGCCCCCGGACTAGCCACGCCCACAGGCTCCTGAAACCACCAATCCCAGCTGTGACAGCGCTCAGGACCGATGCTCATAGGTCCCGTCCCTAGGATCCCCGCCCCCTCCGCCCGCGCCCCGCCCCTCGCAGCCCAGTTCCGGACGCGGGCCCAGCCGCGCCTGCGCCTCCGCTCGCCTGTGGCTGCGTCGCGCGCTCTTCCTCGGAGCTACCCAGGCGGCTGGTGTGCAGCAAGCTCCGCGCCGACCCCTGACGCCTGACGCCTGTCCCCGGCCCGGCATGAGCCGCTACCTGCTGCCGCTGTCGGCGCTGGGCACGGTAGCAGGCGCCGCCGTGCTGCTCAAGTGAGTACATTCTAGCCCCGCGTGCGCGGTCAAGGCGGGCCCCCAGCGCAGGGGCCGGGAAGGCGGCGGAGACCCCCGCCCCTCGCACCCGGGTCCAGGCCCCGTAGCTCCCGACCCGCAGTGCCCGCCCGGAGTGGGGCAAACCTGCGCTCTGGCCGGCCAGGTCACCGGCCCAAGGTCACTCGGAGGGAAGGGCGAGCCTGGGCCCTTGTAAATGTTGCTTTCCTTCCAGACTTTTAAACTCTTTATTTTGTTGTTTTGTATTATTTATTTGTTCGTTTATTTTTAAAGGCAGAATCTGGCTCTGTCGCCCAGGCTGGAGTGCAGTGGCGCGATCTTGGCTCACTGCAGCCTTGACCTCCTGGGCTCAGGTGATCCTCCCACCTTGGCGTCCCCAGGAGCTGAGATCACACGTGCGCCACCACGCCCGGCTAATTTTTGTATTTTTCGCAGAGACGGGGTTTTGCCATGTTGGCCAGGCTGGTCTCAAACACCTGCCCTCAGGTGATCCGCCTGCCTCGGCCTCCAAAGTGCTGGGATTACAGACGTGAGCCACCTCGCCCAGCCTACTTAATTTAAACTTTCTTAAAAATTAGCCTCTGTGGCTGGTGGCCACTGTATTGCATGGTGCCCTTCTCTCCTGTGGGTGCAGTGCTGTTTACCTGCTCAGCCTCCTGTTGCTGGACACTATCTTGTTGCCAGCGTTAGCCTCTGTGGGACATGGGTGTGGTGGGCAGAGTCGTGACTCCGTAGAGGGGTCCACGTCCTAATCCTCGGAAGGTGTGACGACATTACCTCACGTGTCAGAGGTTCTCGCTGATGTGTTAAGTGAAGCATCTTTTTTTTTTTTGAGACAGAGTTTCGCTGTTGTTGCCCAGGCTGGAGTGCAATGGCACGACCTCGGCTCACCACAACCTCCACCTCCCGGGTTCAAGCGATTGTCCGGCCTCAGCCTCCTGAGTAGCTGGGATTACAGGCATGTGCCACCACGCCTGTCTAATTTTGTATTTTTAGTAGAGACGAGGTTTCTCCATGTTGGTCAGGCTGGTCTTGAGCTCCCGACCAAAGGGGATCTGGCCACCTTGGCCTCCCAAAGTGCTGGGGTTACAGGCGTGAGCCACCGTGCCCGGCCAAGTGAAGGATCTTATGATTATCATGTAGTCTTTTTTTTTTTTTGGAGACAGGGTCTCTCTGTCACCCAGGCTGGAGTGCAGTCATGCTGTCACAGCTCACTGCAGCCTCACCCTCCCTGGGCTCAGGTGGTCCTCCCACTTCAGCCTCCCGAGTAGCTGACTCTACAGGCGTGCACCACCAAGCCCTGCTAATTTTTGTATTTTTAGTAGAGATGGGGTGTCAGCATGTTGGCCATGGCTGGTCTCGAACTCCTGACCTCAAGTGATCCTCCTGTCTTGGCCTCCCAAAGTGCTGGGATTACAGGTGTGAGGCACTGTGCCGGTCCTGCCTTGTAGTCTTATAGGGTCCTTATAAGAGGGAGCAGGAGGCTCAGTCAGAGGGGAGATGGAAGATAGAAGGAGAGGTTGTTGGGTGTGGTGGCTCACGCCTGTAATCGCAGCACTTTGGGAGGCCAAGGCAGGCGGATCACAAGGTCAGGAGTTCGAGACCAGCCTGACCAACGTGGTAAAACTCTGTCTCTACTAAAAATACAAAAGAAATTAGCCAGGTGTGGTGGCATGTGCCTGTAATCCCAGCCACTCAGGAGGCTAAGGCAGGAGAATCGCTTGAACCTGTGAGGCGAAGGTTACAGTGAGCTGAGATTGAGCCACTGCACTCCAGCCTGGGCGACAGAGCGAGACTCTGTCTCAAAAATAAATAAGTAAATAAATAAATAAATAAAGGAGAGGTTCCAGTGAGGATGCAGGTTGAAGATGGAGGCGGGGCCAAGAGTGGAGGAATGTGGCGGTCTGTAGGAGCTGGAAGTGGATTCTTCCCTAGAGCCTCCAGAAGGAACCTGACTCTACCAATACCTTGATTTATTCCAGTGAGACATGTTTTGGACTCTTGACCTGCCGAACTGGAGGAGGATGCACTTATGTGGTTTTAAGCCACTAAGTCTGTGGTAATGCGTACAGCAGCCTTGGGAATCTCGTGCAGCGGGCATTTTAAATTTAAATTTAAATTTTTTTGAGACAGAGTCTCGCTCTGTTGCCCAGGCTGGCACCATTTCGACTCACTGCAACCTCCGCCTTCCAGGTTCAAGCAATTCTCGTGCCTCAGCCCCCTGAGTAGCTGAGATTACAGGTGTGCACCACCACGCCTGTGAAGGGGTGGCCTGCCCCTCCACACCTGTGGGTATTTCTAGTTGGGTGGGACGAGAGACTGAGAAAAGAAATAAGACACAAAGTATAGAGAAACAACAGTGGGCCCAGGGGACCGGCGCTCAGCATACCAAGGACCTGCACCGGCACCGGCCTCTGAGTTCCCTCAGTTTTTACTGATTATTATCTTCATTATTTCAGCAAAAAGGAATGTAGTAGGAGAGCAGGGTGATAATGAGGTCAGCAAAAACCATGTGAGCAAAAGAATCTATGACATAATTAAGTTCAAGGGAAGGTACTATGCCTGGACGTGCACGTAGGCCAGATTGATGTTTCTCTCCACCCAAACATCTCAGCGGAGTAAAGAATAACAAGGCAGCATTGCTGTAAACATGTCTCGCCTCCCGCCATAGGGCGGCTTTTCTCCTGTCTCAGAATTGAACAAATGTACAATCAGGTTTTATACCGAGACATTCAGTTCCCAGGGTCAGGCAGGAGACAGTGGCCTTCCTCTCTCTCAACTGCAAGAGGCTTTCCTCTTTTACCAATCCACCTCAGCACAGACCCTTTACGGGTGTTGGGCTGGGGGACGGTCAGGTCTTTCTCATCCCACGAGGCCATATTTCAGACTATCCCACGGGGAGAAACCTTGGACAATACTCTGTGTTCAAGGGCAGAGGTCCCTGCAGCTTTCTGCAGTGCATCGTGCCCCTGGTTTATTGAGACTAGAGACTGGCGATGACTTTTACCAAGTATACTGCTTGGAAACATTGTGTTAACAAGGCACTTCCTGCACAGCCCTAGATCCCTTAAACCTTGATTTCATACAACACAGGTTTTTGTGAGCTCCAGATTGGGTCAAAGTGGCTGGGTCAAAGCTACAAATTAACAACATCTCAGCAAAGCAATTGTTCAAAGTACAGGTCTTTTTCAAAATGGAGTCTCTTATGTCTTTCCTTTCTATATAGACACAGTAACAGTCTAATCTCTCTTTTCCCTACACATCTGGCTAATTTTTGTATTTTAAGTAGAGACGGGGTCTCGCCATGTTTGCCAGGCTGGACTCGAACTCCTGACCTCAAGTGATCCGCCCCCGCCCCCCCCCACCCCCAAAACTTTGGCCTCCCAAAGTGCTGGGATTACAGGTGCAAGCCCCCTCACCTGGCCGGGAATCTCATGCAGTGAGCATTTATAAAATAATGACTGTCACTTGCTGAAGGCGTTCCACACGCCAGACACTGGGTGGAGCCACTTATGGAGAACATGACAGAGGTCCCTTGGTGTGATGTGATGATGTCTGTGTTTCAGTTGGGGTATGTGAGTGAGCTCAGACAAGGTTGCCTGAGATCATTCAGTCAGGGGCACGTGGGGTGAGAGTGGGCCCACAGGACTGACCGTGCCGCTTCTCACCCTCAGGGACTATGTCACCGGTGGGGCTTGCCCCAGCAAGGCCACCATCCCTGGGAAGACGGTCATCGTGACGGGTGCCAACACAGGCATCGGGAAGCAGACCGCCTTGGAACTGGCCAGGAGAGGTAAAATCTCCCCTGCTTTGGCTCTCAGAGAGATATCTGTACATCCATGCTCACTGCAGCATTATTCACAGTCCGGAGGTGGAAGGAACCCAGGCACCCATCCACAGATGAACAGGGAAACAGAATGTGGCTTCTATAGACAGGGGCATATGATTCAGCCTTAAAAAGGAAGGGCATTCTGGCCGGGCGCGGTGGTGCACGCCTGTAATCAGTACTTTGGGAGGCCAAAGCTGGCGGATCACGAGGTCAGGAGTTCGAGACCAGCCTAACCAACATGGTGAAACCCCCTCTCTACTAAAAATACAAAAATTAGCCAGGAGTTGTGGTGGGCACCTGTAGTCCCAGCTGCTTGGGAGGCTGAAGCAGGAGAATCGCTTGAACCTGAGAGGCAGGGGTTGCAGTGAGCAGAGATGGCGCCACGGCACTCCAGCCTGGGTGACAGAGTGAGACTCAAAAACAAAACAAAACAAAGCAAAACAAAAAAAAGGGCATTGAAACAGATGAACCTTGAGGACATTCCATGAAGTGAAATAAGCCAGTCGACAGAAGAGCAAATACGGTATGATTCCACTTACAGGAGCTACCTACAGTTAAATTCATAGAGAAGTTGGAATGGTGCTTGCCAGGGGTCAGGAGGGGAGGGGAGAATGGGGAGTTACTGTTTAATGGAAACGGAAGTTTAGTTTGGCAAGATGAAACAATTTGAGAGATGGATGGTTGTAATGGTTGCACAACATTAGGAATTATTATTATTGTTTTTTTTTTTTTGAGATGGAGTTTTGCTCTTGTCGCCCAGGCTGGAGTGCAGTGGCATGATCTTGGCTCACTGCAACCTTCGCCTCCCGGGTTCAAGCAATTCTCCTGCCTCAGCCACCCGAGTAGCTGGGATTACAGGCATGCAACACCACACCCAGCTAAGTTTGTAATGTGTTGGCCAGGCTGGTCTTGAACTCCTGACCTCAGGTGATCCACCTGCCTTGGTCTCCCAAAGTGCTGGGATTACAGGTGTGAGCCACCATGCCCGGCCCAGCCATAAATGTTTTTAATACCAATGAACTGGACACTTAAAAATGGCTAAGAGGGCGGGTCTCGGTGGCTCACATCTATAATTCCAGCACTTTTGGAGGCTGAGGCAGGAGGATCACTTGAGGCCAGGGGTTCCAGACCAGCCTGGACACCATAGCAACACCCCCATCTCTACCAGAGTTAGCCAGGCATGCTGGCACAGGTGGTACCTATAGTCCCAGGTCACTTGAGCCTAGGAGTTCAAGGCTGAATGAGCTGTGATGGCGCCAGCACTCCAGCCGCGGCAGCAGAGTGAGACTGACTCAAAAAAAAAAAAATAATAATAAACAAAAAGAAAAGGGGGTTAAGATGATAAATTTTAAGTGATTTGTATTTTACCACAACAAAAAAAATTGGAGGCTGGGCATTGTGGCTTATTTGTAATCCCAGTACTTTGGGAGGCCGCGGGGTGGATCACCTGAGGTCAGAAGTTCAAGACTAGCTTGGCTAACATGGTGAAACCGCTGTCTCTACTAAAAATAAAAAAATAAAAAATTAGCTAGTTGTGGTAGGTGCCTGTAATCCCAGCTACTCGGGAGGCTGAGGCAGGAGAATTGCTTGAACCCAGGAGGTGGAGGTTGCAGTGAGCCGAGATTGCGCCACCGCACTCCAGCCTGGGTGACAGAGTGAGACTCCATCTAAAAAAAAAAAAAAAAGGAGAGGATGGGGAATCCTCTTGCCTTGGCCTCCCAAAGTGCTGGAATTACAGGTGTGAGCCACCGTGCCCGACCAATTCAGTGATGTTTAGTATAGTCACAGAATGATGCAACCATCTTTAAAATCAATCTTAGAACATCTGTTACCCTAGAAAGAAACCTGCTCACTGTAACTATCAAGCTGTAATTCCCTCTCCCCACCCCCTGCCCTAGAAAACCAAGAATCTATTTTCTTTCTCTATGGATTTGCCTATTCTGGGCGTTTCATAGGTGTGAAATCATATACATAGAATTCATGTAAATGGGATTGTACGCTGTGTGGTCTTTCGTGTCTGGTTTCTTTCCCCGAGCACAGTGTTTCTGACGGTCATCCTTGCTGTAGCATGAGCCAGTGCTTCACTCCTTTTCACGGCCGTCTAATATTCCATCTCTATGGATGGACCACATTTTGTTGTCCCTTCATCCACAGATGGGCATTTGGTTGTTTCTACCTTTTGGCTTTTGTGAAGAATGCCGCAGTGAACATTGGTGGATGTGTTTTTGTGTAGACGTATGTTTTCATGTCTCTGGGGTCAGTACCCAGGAGTGGATTATTAATTTAAATCTTTTTCCATCCTGGGTTTTCAGGAGGCAACATCATCCTGGCCTGCCGAGACATGGAGAAGTGTGAGGCGGCAGCAAAGGACATCCGCGGGGAGACCCTCAATCACCATGTCAACGCCCGGCACCTGGACTTGGCTTCCCTCAAGTCTATCCGAGAGTTTGCAGCAAAGATCATTGAAGGTAGGAGAACGCTGGCCATGTGGGATGAGGACTGGGATAGGCGGCTCCCAGGGCCAGGCTCTGAGAAGTGAATGAAGCAAGCAAACTTTAGAGCAGAGTTTTGGCAAACTATGAGTTAGGGGCCAAGTCCAGTTGCTGCCTTTTTTTGTACAGCCTGCAAGCAACGACTTTATTTATTTATTACTACTGTTATTTTGAGAGGGAGTCTCACTCTGTCGGCCAGGCTGAGTGCAATGGCGCGATCTCGGCTCACTGTAACCTCTGCCTCCTGGGTTCAAGCGCGGACCTCAGCCTCCTGAGTAGCTGGGATTAAGATGCCTGCTACCATACCCTGCTAATTTTTGTATTTTTAGTAGAGACGGGGTTTCACCACGTTGGCCAGGCTGGTCTGGAACTCCTGACCTCAGGTGATTCTCCTGCCTCAGCCTCCCAGAGTGCTGGGATTACAGGCGTGGGCCACTGCGCCCGGCTGACTTTGTTTTGTTTGTTTGTTTTGAGACAGATGGGGTCTCGCTCTGTTGCCCAGGCTGGAGTGCAGTGGTGTGATCTTGCCTCACTGCAACCTCCGTCTCCCGATTTCAAATGATTCTCCTGCTTCAGCCTCCTGAGTAGCTGGGATTACAGGCACCCGCCACCGTGCCTGGCTAATTTTTTGTGTTTTAGGTAGAGACAGGGTTTCACCATGTTGGTCAGGCTGGTCTCGAACTCCTGACCTCAGGTGATCTGCTTCCCTTGGCCTCCCAAAGTGCTGGGATTACAGGTGTGAGCCACCGTGCCCTACCTGAATAATTAGTTTGTTTGAGACAGGATCCATCTCTGTCACCCAGGCTAGAGTGCAGTGGTGCAGTCATGGCTCACTGCAGTCTCAACCTGCTGGGCTCAAGGGATCCTCCCACTTCAGCCTCCCAAGTAGCTGGGAGTACAGGCATACGCCACCACACACAGCTAATTATTGTTTTATTGTTTTGTTTTGTTTTTAGAGCTGGGGTTTCACCATGTTGCTCAGGCTGGTCTCCAACTCCTGGGCTCAAGTGATCCACCCAGGTCAGCTTCCCACAGTGCTGGGATTACAGGCGTGAGCCACCGCACCTGACCTTATTAAGCATTTATTGATCAAGTGCCTTCCCCACCATGGTTAAAGAAATATGTGTTTGTTATGGGACATTTATAAAATACTGCAATGTAAAGAAGACAGAACTGGCTGGGCACAGTGGCTCACGCCTGTTAATCCCAGCACTTTGGGAGGCTGAGGCAGGTGGATCCCTTGAGGTCAGGAGTTCGAGACCAGCCTGGCCAACATGGTGAAACCCTGTCTCTACTAAAAATACAAAAATTAGCCAGGCGTGGTGGTGCACACCTGTAATCTCAGCTACTCAGGGTGCTGAGGCAGGAGAATTGCTTGAACCCAGGAGGCGGAGGTTGCAGTGAGCTGAGATTGTGCCAGTGCACTCCAGCCTGGGTGACAGAGTGAGACTCTGTCTCAATAAAAAAGAAGACAGAACTAAACAACTTTGATCTGCACCAGCCCCAGGAGAATCACTTTTATGGATCTTTCTAGTCTTGTTTATAATAGGTTTGTGTGTGTATTTATATATTTTTATGTAAAACTGGGACCATCCTCTAGCTTTTCTATTCTTGTTCATCTTTAAATAGACTCAAGAATACACTAAAATTATTTATTGTTTAGTTGACATGTATACTTGTATATATTATGTACAGCATGATGTACATTGTATACATTGTAGAATGGCTAAATCAAGCTAATTAACATATGCATTACCTCAAATACTTACCTGTTTTTGTGGTGACCACATTTAAAATCTCTTCTCTTAGGATTGCTTGAGCTCAGGAGTTAGAGACCAGCCTAGGAAGCATAGTGAGACCTTGTGTGTACCAAAGATTAAAAAAAAAAAAAAATTAGCCGGGCATCCTGGCATGTGCCTACAGTCCCAGCTACTCAGGAGGCTGAGGCAAGAGGATCACTTGAGCCCGAGAGTTCAAGGCTGCAGTGAGCCGTATTTGTGCCACTGCACTCTAACCTGGATGACAGAGCAAGACCTTTTTTTTGAGATGGAGTCTTGCTCTGTCACCCAGGCTGGAGTGCAATGATGCGATCTTGGCTCACTGCAGCCTCCGCCTCCTGGGTTCAAGCGATTCTCCTGCCTCAGCCTCCCAAGACTATAGGCGGGTGCCACCATGCCCGGCTAATTTTTGTATTTTTAGTAGAGACGGGGTTTCACTATGTTGGCCAGGCTGGTCTCGAATTCCTGACCTTGTGATCCGCCTGCCTCAGCCTCCCAAAGTGCTGGGATTACAGGCATGAGCCACCATGCCCAGCTGCTTTGTTTCTTTTCTAGTCTGGCACTGAAAGGGCCAAAGCTTTCTTCTTCAGAGTCAATGTGCCCCGCTCAGTAAACGGGTACTCAGGAAATGAACAAGGAATGGGGGAGTTGTGGGACCTCATTTATTTAGCAGACGTGATCTCAGACCTGACCAGGTGCTGGAGGTGTGAGATGAACCAGAGCTGTCCTTGTGCCACTCACAGCCCTAGGGAGGCAGGTGCAGGTGCACATTCGTTGGTTCATTCATTCATTCATACTGAGCCCCTGCTGTGCCCTTGGGGATCAAGAAAGAGCCGGCACTGTTGTCGGGTAGGTGAGAGGCACTACGGTGAGATCACAAAGAACAGTGAGAGGGCAATGCCTCAGAGTCTCAGAGGTGGATGAACATTTATTAAGCACCTGCTGTGTACCAGGTACAGCACTGTCACCTTCATGCACACTGTCCCAGGCAATCCCACCCAGGGCGCCTCTGATCCTGTCTCTGGCTTGTGGACACAGGTGTCCGGAGCACTGAGGTCCCTGAGACAGTGAGGACCCCGGCTGGACACACCTGGGCAGGTGATGCCTCCTCTCTTAGCCACACGTTCCTCTTCCGGGAAATGGAATAATTCCTTCTATTTTCTGGGATTCTCTAGAGGGGTTTTTTTTTTTTTCTGAGACGGTATCTTGCTTTGTCGCCCAGGCTGGAGGACAGTGGCACATCTCGGCTCACTCCAAGCTCCGCCTCCCGGGTTCATGCCATTCTCCTGCCTCAGCCTCCCGAGTGGCGGGGGACTACAGGCGCCTGCCACCACGCCCGGCTAATTTTTTATATTTTTTACTAGAGACGGGGTTTCACCGTGTTAGCCAGGATGGTCTCGATCTCCTGACCTCATGATCCAGCCACCTCGGCCTCCCAAAGTGCTGGGATTACAGGCATGAGCCACCACGCCCAGCCTCTCTAGAGGATTAAGTAAAGCTGTGTCTGTGACTTTTTTAGCAAATCAAGTACCAGCTTCTTGGTGTTTTCCTAAGATCAACAGCCAGGAATAAAGACAGCAGTGGATTTAAAAATAGTGAAGATCGTCCATTTTATGTGGTGTGTATTCTACCACACTGGGGCAGGCCAGGTGCAGCGGTTCACGCCTGTCATCCCGGCACTTTGGGAGACAGAAGTTTTGGGAAGATCAGTTTGTGAGATGACACTCTGACAAAGCTGGAAGCTGTGGCTCTTCCCAGCTCCCGACTAGAAAGAACACAAAGCAAAGAGCCCCAGGAAGCAGGTACCCACAGCCTTGTTTATCAGGGAGTTTGAGATCAGCCTGGGCAACATAGCAAGACCTCATCTCTACAAAAAATACAAAACAATCAGGCAGGCGTGCAGGCTCACGCCTGTAATCCCAGCACTTTGGGAGGCTGAGGCGGGCGGATCACAAGGTCAGGAGATCGAGACCATCCTGGCCAACACGGTGAAACCCCGTGTCTACTAAGAAACACAAAAAAATTAGCCGGGCGTGGTGGCGGGCACCTGTAACCCAGCTACTTGGGAGGCTGAGGCAGGAGAATGGCGTGAACCCGGGAGGTGGAGCTTGCAGTGAGCCGAGATGGCGCCACTGCACTCCAGCCTGGGTGACAGAGTGAGACTCCATCTCAAAAAAAAAATAAAAAACAATGAGGCAGGCGTGATGGTGTGCACTTGTAGTCCCAACTACTTGGGAGGTGGAGGTGGGAGGATTGCTTGAGCCTGGGAGGTTGAGGCTGCAGTGAGGGATTTTTTTTTTTTTTTTTTAAGACGGAGTTTTGCTCTTGTTGCCCAGGCTGGTGCAATGACGGGATCTTGGCTCACGGCATCCTCCACCTCCTGGGTTCAAGTGATTCTCCTGCCTCAGCCTCCCGAGTAGCTGGGATTACAGGCATGCGCCACCACGCCCGGCTAATTTTGTATTTTTAGTAGAGACGGGGTTTCTTCCTGTTGGTCAGGCTGCAACCTCCATCTCCTGGTTTCAAATAATTCTCCTGCCTCAGCCTCCTGAGTAGCTGGGATTACAGGCACCTGCCACCATGCCCGGCTACTTTTTTGTTTTAGGTAGAGACAGGGTTTCACCATGTTGGTCAGGCTGGTTGACCTCAGGTGATCTGCCCGCCTCGGCCTCCCAAAGTGCTGGGATTACAGATGTGAGCCACCACGCCCGGCCTGCAGTGAGCTTTGATTGTACCACTGCACTCGGGGTGAGACCCTGTGTCCAAAAAAAAAAAAAAAAAAAAAAAGTTGAGGCAGTTCCCAGATAAACAAAACAACAGGCCAGGCACTGTGGCCCACGCCTGCAATCCCAGCACTTTGGGAGGCCGAGGTGGGCGAATTGCCTAAGCTCAGAAATTCGAGACCAGCCTAAGCAACATAGCCAAACCCCATTTCTACAAAAAATTTTAAAAGTAGCTGCTTGTGGTGTCGGGCGCCTGTGGTTCAGCTATGTGGAAGGCTGAGGTGGGAGGATCGTTTGAGCCCTGGCGGCGGAGGTTGCTGTGAGCTGAGATCGCGCCACTGCACTCCAGCCTGGGCCACTGAGTGAGCTTCCCTCTCATAAAAAGAAAAAAAAAAAAACAGGCTGGGCGCGGTGGCTCACACCTGTAATCCCTGCACTTTGGGAGGCAGAGGCGGGTGGATCACGAGGTGAAGAATTCAAGACCAGCCTGACCAAGATGGTGAAACCCCGTCTCTACTAAAAATGCAAAAATTAGCAGGGTGCGGTGGCGGGCACCTGTAATCCCAGTACTCGGGAGGCTGAGGCAGCAGAATCGCCTGAACCCAGGCGGTAGAGGTTGCAGTGGGCCATGGGCCAAGATCACACCACTGCACTCCAGCCTGGGTGGCAGAGTGAGACTTCATCTCAAAAAAAAAAAGAAAAAAAACCAAAACAAAACACCAGAAGCTGGCGGCACTCCTGGGCGCCCAGCTGTGAGTGGAGTCTCCCTGTCCCGCCTTTGGGCCTTACCCGTGCTGCGCCTGCTGCCTGCATCCCCCTTCCCTGGGTCTCCGCACGTGGGCCCTGCCTCATTTTCCCGGTCCCAGTTTCTGCGTCACCTCCTGAGAGGGGCCTCCTGTCAGCTTCCACGCAGCTCTGTCACGGGTAGATTCTCTCACGAGTGGAAGTGGCTCTCAGCTGCACTGGAATGTCCGGTCCACACGGACGGGGCCTCGGCTGTGCTGTCCACCCTGTATTTCCAGTGCCCAGTAATAGGTGCTTAGAAAATACTTACTGAATGAGTAAGTATACAGTTGTACCAGGCAGGTGATGTTATTATCCTTTTTTTTTTTTTTTTTTTACAAGGAGTAAACTGAGTCACAGAGAAGTGATGTGACTTGGCCAGGATCATGCAGCTGGTCGGGGTGGAGCCAGGCTTTGAACCTGTCTGTCCTGCTCCAGAGCTGGTATTCATGACGGGTGTGCTGCAACCCCCTCCTTCTCACACAGAGAACCAGATGGTGTCTGTGTGTTACGCGCTGGACACCTAATTCACGATCCCCGCCGAAAACCACTTCGGGAGCATTATGAATTCCATTGTGTCCTCCACCCCCAAGGATAGGTTGGGATCCTGAACCCCCATCCCTCAGCATGTGACTTCATTTAGAGGTGGGTGTTTACAGAGGTCCTGAAGTGAAAATGAGGTCATTAGGGTGGGCCCTAATCCAGTGACTGGTGTCCTTATGAAAAGGGGAGATTTGCGCACAGAAACAGACGTGCTAGCTGGGCATGGTGGCGCATGCCTGTGGCCCCAGCTACTTGGGAGGCTGAGCAAGAAGACTGCTTGAGCCTGGGAGGTTGAGGCTGCAGTGAGCAGTGATTGCGCCACTGTACTCCAGCCCAGGTGTCAGAGGGAGACCCTGTCTCAAAGAAATATAAAAAATAGGCCAAGTAGACTGAGTGTGGTGGCTCACGCCTGCAGTCCCAGCACTTTGGGAGGCTGAGGTAGGTGGATCACGAGGTCAGGAGTGTGAGACTAGCCTGGCCAACATGGTGAAGCCCCGTCTCTACTAAAGATACAAAAAATTAACCCGGTGTGGTGGTGGATGCCTGTAGTCCAGCTACTTGGGAGGCTGAGGCAGGAGAATTGTTTGAACCTGGGAGGCAGAGGTTGCAGTGAGCCAAGATCGCACCATTGCACTCCAGCCTGGGTGACAAGAGTGAAACTCCATCTCCCCCCCCCAAAAAAAAAAAAATAGGCTGGGGGCAGTGAAATTGCAGCACTCTGGGAGGCCAAAGCAGGAGGATTGCTTGAGTTCAAGAGTTTGAGACCAGCCTGGGCAACATAGTGAGACCATGTCTGAAAAATCTAAAATTAAAAAAGGAAAAATGAAAAAAAAAAAAGAGACAGCTCCAAAGGGAAGAGGAAGGGAAGAGGGAGAGAGGAGATGGTCACCTGTGAGCCAAGGAGAGAGACCAGAGCGGATCCTCCCTGAGGGCCCTGAGAGGGAACCAGCCCTGCCCACACCTTGATCTGGGACTTCCAGCCTCTGGGACTGTGATTTTTTTTTTTTTTTTTGAGATGGAGTTTTGCTTTTATTGCCCAGGATGGAGTGTAATGATGCGATCTCGGCTCACTGCACCCTCTGCCTCCTGGTTTCAAGCGATTTTCCCGCCTCAGCCTCCTGAGTAGCTGGGATTACAGGTGCATGCCACCACGCCTGGCTAATTTTGTATTTTTAGTAAAGACGCGGTTTCTCCATGTTGGCCAGGCTGGTCTCAAACTCCTGACCTCAGGTGATCTGCCCACCTCGGCCTCCCAAAGTGCTGGGATTACAGGCGTGAGCCACTGTGCCCGGCCAGGTCTGTGAGGTTTTAAACCACCTGTCTGTGGCACTTTGTTACGGAACCCGAGCTGAGTGGTACAGGGAGGAAGGCCCTGTGGTTCAGCGCATTTTACAGCTGAGGAAACTGAGGCTGCAGTCTCCATCTGTGTGTCCTTTGGTTGCTTGTATGAGTGAGGTGGCAGGTTTGGGAATGAAACCACGCCTGCGGTGCCGGGGCTCCCACCGGTAACCTCCCGTTTTTGGCCTCGGGGCTCCGGCAGGAAGGAGTCCCAAGGCTTAGATGGAGGTGCGGAGGGCGTGTGAGTGTCCTGGAGCTGCTGTAACAATGTACTGCAAACCCAGTGGCTTACACCCTCAGACGTGCATTCCCTCACGGTTCCGGAAGCCGGCAGTCTGAATCGCGGTGTCCCTGTGGCTGTGACCTGTGAGACGGGCCATAATCCTCCCAGCCTCTTCCACTTCCAGCGGGGGCGGCCCACCCTCACCTTGGAGCTGTGCCTCTCCGGTCTTTGCCTCTGTCCACACATGGCCTTCTCCCCATGTGTCTCTGTCTCTGTTTTCCCTTCCTATAAGGACACCAGTCATTGGATTAGGGCTCACCCTAATGACCGCATCCTGACATGGCCACTTCGGCACAGACCCTGTTTCCGGCACAGGCCACATTCACAGGTTGTGGGAGCACAGGAGTGTTTCTGCTGGTGCATCAGGCTGGGGTCTGTCCTCACCGGGATGTCTCCTCCTCCACCCCTCTCTTCCAGAGGAGGAGCGAGTGGACATTCTAATCAACAACGCGGGTGTGATGCGGTGCCCCCACTGGACCACCGAGGACGGCTTCGAGATGCAGTTTGGCGTTAACCACCTGGGTGAGGCCTGGGCAGGGGCTGCACCATGGGTTCAAGCGATCCTCCCCCGTCGTCCTCCCAAAGTGCTGGGATTTTAGGTGTGAGTCAAAAGTGACCTTTTCATCATCCTTAATCCAGGTCACTTTCTCTTGACAAACTTGCTGCTGGACAAGCTGAAAGCCTCAGCCCCTTCGCGGATCATCAACCTCTCGTCCCTGGCCCATGTTGCTGGGCACATAGACTTTGACGACTTGAACTGGCAGACGAGGAAGTATAACACCAAAGCCGCCTACTGCCAGAGCAAGCTCGCCATCGTCCTCTTCACCAAGGAGCTGAGCCGGCGGCTGCAAGGTACGGGGGCGCTAGGCTCGGCCTCCCTCTTGCTTTACTCTGAGCCTAGAGCGGCCTTTCCATGATCCTAGGCTGATGGGAGGCCAAACGGTGGATCCAGAACAGAGTCAGCAAAAGTAGAGCATGTGGACCACGCTGCCCGCTTCTGGTGCCTGAAGCAGACATCACTAATCGATCGTTCTTCTGAGGATTGTCTGTTCATCCCAGGTGGTCTAGTCTGCCTGGATCAGATGTCCTTCCCTGCTGCTGTTGGGCAGGCAGCTCAGCCTTTTGGCTCCAGCCAGTGAGTCTCAACCAGGGGCAGTTTTGACCCGCAGTTGTCAATGCCTGGAAACACAGTGATCACAGCTGGCTTGGGGAGAGATTGCTCTGGGCATCTGGAGGGTAAAGGCCCAGATGCTCTCAATGTCCTACAGCGCACGGGATGGCCCCTCACTCCTCCCAACCCACAGCATCCACAGTGCTGAGATTGAGAAATCTGTGCTAGGCCTTTGCTTCTGAAAGACGGTCTGTGGACCAGCGGTGCCAGCCCCACTGGGAGCTGGTCAGAGTTACAGTATCTTAGGTCCCACCGCCACGCACCGATGCAGGCTCCCGGGGTAAGCTCAGCGTTCTGGGTTTATGAAGCCCTCCAGGAAAGCTCGGCTCCCAGCAGCCATGTGGCAGAGCCGCTCCGCAAGATAAGACCACTTCACTAAGATTCCAGAGCAAGAGGGACGATGGGGTTTGAGTGCAGGAAGCAGCCTGGTGCCCGGAAGCCCCACAGCTGGGTGTGGGCTGCCACAGCCTCCCAGGTGAGGCTGGACCCCTCCCTCAGTCTTCTCTTTCTTTCTTCCCCAGGCTCTGGTGTGACTGTCAACGCCCTGCACCCCGGCGTGGCCAGGACAGAGCTGGGCAGACACACGGGCATCCATGGCTCCACCTTCTCCAGCACCACACTCGGTGAGTCCCCTCCCAGCCTGGGGTCTCCACGTGGAGCCCTCCACCCCTGCTTTCTCAGCCCAGGGCCCAGGACCCTCCCTCAGAGACCGTCCCTGAGGCCTCATGCCTGCTCCTCGCCTACGTCTTCTGAGGCACAGAGCACAGGTCCCTTTCCTCCGTTGACCTGGCCTGCCAGCCTCTAACAGCCCCGGGAAGCAGGCAGAG
The DNA here is from genome assembly GCF_000001405.40 of Homo sapiens. Taxonomy (NCBI): domain Eukaryota; kingdom Metazoa; phylum Chordata; class Mammalia; order Primates; family Hominidae; genus Homo; species Homo sapiens. The sequence continues at coordinate 692,384 of NW_003571055.2, read as the reverse complement.
CCCTGCTGGCGGATGAGAAAACCGTGTCTCAGAGGAAGAGGCCGTGGAGCTGACGCCTGGAGTCAGGCTGTACTCAGGGTAACTCCAGCTTCACCCCAAACCAGCTGCACCTCCTGGGGAAGAGCTGTTACCCCTCTGAGCCTGTTTCTTCATCTGCAGAGTGCAGGCCTTAATAGGACTCACCTCACAGTCACTGGGGGGGTTATACGAGACCTTCCTTGAAAGGGCCAGCACAGGACCCCGCCCAGAGAATAGGTGGAACAAACAGTTGGAGCTTTACTTACTTATTTTTGAGATGAAGTCTTGCTCTGTCGCCCAGGCTGGAGTACAATGGCATGATCTCCACTCACTGCAACTTCCACCTCCCAGGTTCAAGCGATTCTCCTGTCTCCAAGTAGCTGGGATTACAGGTGCACACCACCACACCCAGCTAGAGGTGGGGTTTCACCATATTGGTCAGGCTAGTCTCAAACTCCTGACCTCAGGTGATCCAACTGCCTCCCAAAGTGCTGGGATTACAGGTGTGAGCCACCACCCCCAGGCAGTTCATGCTTTATGACTAGTGTTTATAATCCTGAAAAACATGGAGTGGGTGATTGGTTGGCATCAAGAATCTTAACTTGGCGAGGCTAATAGCCACGCCTGTAATCCCAGCACTTTGGGAGGCTGTGGTGGGCGGATTACCTCAGGTCAGGAGTTCGAGACCAGCCTGGCCACCATGGTGAAACCCCGTCTCTACTAAAAATACAAAAATTAGCCAGGTGTGGTGGTGTGCACCTGTAGTCCCAGCTACTCAGGAGGCTGAGGCAGGAGAATCGCTTGAACCCGGGAGGCAGAGGTTGCAGTGAGCTGAGATCACACCACTGCACTCCAGCCTGGGTGACAGAGCAAGACACCAGGTCTCAATAAATAAATAAATAAATGTCTTTTTTTTTTTGAGACGGAGTTTTGCTCGTCACCCAGGCTGGAGTGCAGTGGCACAATCTTGGCTCACTCCAACCTCTGCCTCCTCGGTTCAAGTGATTCTCCTGTCTCAGCCTCCCAAAGTAGCTGAGATTGCAGGCGCCCACCACCACACCCAGCTAAGTTTTTATTTTTAGTTGAGACAGGGTTTCACACGTTGGCCAGGCTGGTCTTGAACTCCTGACCTCAGGTGATCCACCTGCCTCAGCCTCCCAAAGTGCTGGGATTACAGGCGTGAGTCACCACGCCCAGCCCTTTTTTTTTTTTTTTTTTGAGACGAAGTCTTGCTATTGTCACCCAGGCTGGAGTGCAATGGTGTGATCTTAGCTCACTGCAACCTCCGCCTCCCAGGTTCAAGGGATTCTCCTGCCCCAGCCTCCCGAGCAGCTGGGATTACAGGCACCCGCCACCACACCCAGTTAATTTTTGTATTTTTAGTAGAAATGGGGTTTCACCATGTTGGCCAGGCTGGTCTGGAACTCCCGACCCCAGGTAATCCGCCCGCCTCGGCCTCCCAAAGTGCTGGGATTACAGGCCTGAGCCACCTCGCCTGGCCAAAAAAAGATCCTTAACCTGAGGCTGGTGCCAGGTGCATTTAATAAGATGTTATTAAAGGAGAAATGGGGTAGGGTGAGGACTGGGGCTGACCAAGAGGAAGAGAGCTTCCATTTTCCTGGACAAAGCCAGGAAGGCTCCTTGGGGGAGGCAGCTTTTGGTCTGATCCCTGGTCTGGTGGGATTTGCCTGGGCAGTGCCAGGGAAGGGAACTGCAGATGGAGGCAGCCAAGGGGAAAGGGCTAGAGGAGGGCTCTGTGGGACTCCAGGGACCCGGAGCTCCCTGACCGGGGAGCGGGGCTTCCTTCCTTCTCTCTGAGCGAGTGTGGACTAAATGCCCTGTGGGCTGATTGCAGGGCCCATCTTCTGGCTGCTGGTCAAGAGCCCCGAGCTGGCCGCCCAGCCCAGCACATACCTGGCCGTGGCGGAGGAACTGGCGGATGTTTCCGGAAAGTACTTCGATGGACTCAAACAGAAGGCCCCGGCCCCCGAGGCTGAGGATGAGGAGGTGGCCCGGAGGCTTTGGGCTGAAAGTGCCCGCCTGGTGGGCTTAGAGGCTCCCTCTGTGAGGGAGCAGCCCCTCCCCAGATAACCTCTGGAGCAGATTTGAAAGCCAGGATGGCGCCTCCAGACCGAGGACAGCTGTCCGCCATGCCCGCAGCTTCCTGGCACTACCTGAGCCGGGAGACCCAGGACTGGCGGCCGCCATGCCCGCAGTAGGTTCTAGGGGGCGGTGCTGGCCGCAGTGGACTGGCCTGCAGGTGAGCACTGCCCTGGGCTCTGGCTGGTTCCGTCTGCTCTGCTGCCAGCAGGGGAGAGGGGCCATCTGATGCTTCCCCTGGGAATCTAAACTGGGAATGGCCGAGGAGGAAGGGGCTCCGTGCACTTGCAGGCCACGTCAGGAGAGCCAGCGGTGCCTGTCGGGGAGGGTTCCAAGGTGCTCCGTGAAGAGCATGGGCAAGTTGTCTGACACTTGGTGGATTCTTGGGTCCCTGTGGGACCTTGTGCATGCATGGTCCTCTCTGAGCCTTGGTTTCTTCAGCAGTGAGATGCTCAGAATAACTGCTGTCTCCCATGATGGTGTGGTACAGCGAGCTGTTGTCTGGCTATGGCATGGCTGTGCCGGGGGTGTTTGCTGAGGGCTTCCTGTGCCAGAGCCCAGCCAGAGAGCAGGTGCAGGTGTCATCCTGAGTTCAGGCTCTGCACGGCATGGAGTGGGAACCCCACCAGCTGCTGCTACAGGACCTGGGATTGCCTGGGACTCCCACCTTCCTATCAATTCTCATGGTAGTCCAAACTGCAGACTCTCAAACTTGCTCATTTAAAAGAAAAAAAAAAGAAGAAAATGTACCCGAGTCGTAGATTTTATTTTTCCTCTGTGCATGGGTGAATGCCCATGAGCTGAACAAAGGCAACTCATGGCTTTATTCCTTTTAGGAAACAAGGCATCAGTTTATCACCAGGGCAACAGGCCATGCAAAAGTTCAGACTTGGCCGGGCGCGGTGGATCACGAGGTCAGGAGATCGAGACCATCCTGGCTAACACAATGAAACCCTGTTTCTACTAAAAAAATACAAAAAATTAGCTGGGCATGGTGGTGGGCGCCTGTAGTCCCAGCTACTCGGGAGGCTGAGGCAGGAGAATGGTGTGAAGCTGGGAGGCGGAGATTGCAGTGAGCCGAGATCATGCCACTGCCCTCCAGCCTGGGTGACAGAGCAAGATTCCGTCTCAAAAAAAAAAAAAAGTTCCGACTTTTTAGAGATGAAAGCCCCTTTCACCTGTTTCACAGGAAATAACCGTTTAAGTCCGGGCATCTTACAAGACTGCTGTGTTAGAAACTGGATAGAGATCAGGGTGAGATGAAGGGGCTCTTAGCTTAGGTGCAGAACCGAAGGAGGCACCGAAAAGCTCAGTAATCGAGATAGAAAACATGTTTTCATATTTGAGATACTGGGGAGGCCAGGGATGCTACTCAATATCCCACAGTACACAGAACAGCCACCTAGTCTCGCTCTGTTGCCCAGGCTGGAGTGCAATGGCATGATCTCAGCTCACTGCAACCTGTGTCTCCCATGTTCAAGCGATTCTCATGCCTCAGCCTCCCGAGTAGCTGGGATTACAGGCGCCCACCACCACACCTGGCTAATTAAAGACGGTATCACCATGTTGGCCAGGCTTATCTTGAACTCCTGACCTCAGGTGATCCACCCGTCTTGGCCTCCCAAAGTGCTGGGATTATAGGTGTGAGCCAGTGCACCCAGCCCTTTTTGCTTTTTTAGAGACGAGGTCTTACTGTGTTGCCAAGGCTGGAGTGCAGTGCCGTCACAGCTCACTACAACCTCGACCTGTGATTCTCCTGCCTCAGCCTCCTGAGTATCTGGGACTACAGGTGCATGCCACCACACTTGGCTAATTATTTGTAGAGGTGGCAACATAACATTTGCTATGTTGCCCAGGCTGGTCTCAAACTCCTGGGCTCAAGTGACCCTTCCGCCATGGCCTCCCAAATTGTTGGGATTACAGGCATGAGCCACCGTACCTGGCCTTAGTTTTCTTTCCGATGCCACACCAAATGGCTAGAGGGTGTGTTTGGGATGACCTGAGTCTGGTAGGCAACTTCCAGTGGACCCCACGGTGCGACCACCTCCCTTTGAGTGTGGGGGAGATGTAGCGACTGGCTTCTAGCAGTAGGATAGGGCAGAAGTGACAGTAGGTTAGTCTTGTGGTTAGGTTACAAAACTGACCTCTGTGATGGTAGCGTCCCTCGTCAGCCCTCTTGTCTTGCCCTCTCGCTGGCTGGTGGTGATGGAGCCGGCTGCCATGGTGAGCGGCCCTGTGGAGAAGCCAGGGAGGAATGGAGACAATCTGGAGAAACAGAATCACACCAACAACCACGTGCGTGAGCTTGCTGTGTGCTCTTGCTTGGGAGCAAGTTACAGGTTCAGCCCAAGAGGAGCGGACCACTCCAGGGTGTAAATACCAGGAGGGGGAATTGGAAGACTACCCTAAGCATGCCGACCGGAGACTGTGTGTGTGTAGTAGGTATTTCTTACTGGGAGATCACGGAAAAGCAAGTTTGAGAAACACTCCCATCAGATGGGTGGGCCGAGGATAACCTCAAAGCCTTTGGTTCTCCGAATAGGTGCGTAGGACTCACCCAGGCACTCTTTCCTTTTTTAAATTGTGGTAAAAACTACATAACAGTGGCCAGGCGTGATGGTGCACGCCTGTAATCCCAGCTATTAGGGAGGCTGAGGCAGAAGAACTGCTTGAACCAAGGGGGCACCGCTCCTGGCTGTAACATGTTTTCAATATCCCCCCTCTTCGGTGGCACAGGGGCTGGCCCCATATACATGTGCGATGGCAACTGACAGGGTCCCTGATAAACCGGAGTGCTCCAGAAACACCCCATTGCGTGGGACGGAGGATGTTAGGTGGCCCTCCTAGCGTTTGAGTTTGATAAATGAGCAAAGGAAGTGGTTTTTACTAGAAAGCCAGCTTTCCTTTTTTTTTTTTTTTTTTTTCCAGCCAGCAAACCCCAAACAGGAACCTATGGTTGGTGATGGATGTGCGTTCAGAAAGCAGGGAGGGAGGGGGAGTCAGAGGTGAGGGGGTCATCAGCCATAGCTGTCCGCTGCATCACCCCCTCGCTATCTCCAGGAAGCGTTCTGGGCTTTTCCTGTTGTGCAGTGTGGAAGTGCTCTATCTTCATTCATATCAAGGAAAGTCAAAGGACAAACTAAAGCCGGCAGCGTCTTTCTGGCTTCCTAGTCAGGCTGTTCGGTAGCGGAGTGTCACCCTGATTTCCAGCCCCGCAGCACACACAGTGAGAGCCTGCCTGGCGTGATTCAGAGGCAACGTATTTCCCAAGGTGGCTGTGAAGGAACCAGGGGGATAAACACAGCCCGTGAACCGCACGCCAGAGGACAGGTCCGGCTGCCTGCCGCGGAGTCGTCACGGCGTGTCGCGTCTGAGCGCTTCTCCAAAGCACCCAAGTGGCACCCGGGGTGACAGTTACATCATCTTGAGTACAGTTCTCTCAAGGAAAAAGCAAGCCCAGCATCTTCTGCCATGGCAACCCTGGCTTGGAGCCTCCATAAGAGAGAAGGCCCTAAGAATAATACCATTTTCTTGCTCTAAGTTGCTCTTACGGGAAAGAAGTGATAATATTCTTCCTAAACGCCATCATTCGTGCATCCTTCCCACCTATATGTGTCACCGGATCATTCTCCGCCTGGGCGGGGCCGTCCTGTGCACTGCAGAATGCTGAGCAGTGTCCTTGGCTTCGACCGACCACATGCCAGGAGCACCCCAATTTCTGCCATCGGGTGATTGACTTCACTGTTGCATTTGATTTTTTATGTATCTTTTAAAAGGACCCAATAGGGCCAGGCACAGTGGCTCACACTTGTAATCCCAGCACTTTGGGAGGCTGAGGTCGGTGGATTGCTTGAGCCCAGGAGGAGTTCAAGACCAGCCTGGGCAACATAGTGAAACCCCAACTCTACAAAAAACAAATGTTTTATTTTTATTTATTTTAGATGGAGTTTCACTCTTGTTGCCCAGGCTGGAGTGCAGTGGCGCAATCTCGGCTCACTGCAACTTCTGCCTCCCGGGTTCAAGCGATTCTCCTGCCTCAGCCTCCTGAGTATCTGGGATTACAGGCATGCGCCACCACACCCAGCTAATTTTGTATTTTTAGTAGAGATGGCGTTTCTCCATGTTGGTCAGGCTGGTCTCAAACTCCCGACCTCAGGTGATCTGCCTGCCTCGGCCTCCCAGAGTGTTGGGATTACAGGCGTGAGCCACCACGCCCAGCCGGGTTTATAGTTTTATAACCCTTATGACAAATCTCATAGTATTCTGCAGGGATAAGCATGAAACCACTCGTTCAATAAGTGCAAACAAAAACGCCAACAATTCTTAAGACATTTCTAATCTTATTTTACCAATAATTTTAAAGCCAGCTTATGTATTAAAGATTTATAACTACTTTTATTAACACGTTTAAAATTCTATGCAGCTTAAAGCATTTATAATGGATAAAACTGCCAATACTGAGTGCCTGACATAATATTTGAAAGGTGGCAGGCATTCAACCATGGTCACTGAATGAGAGATGTAGGGAAGATGATGGCAGGGAGGTTTTTAGATATCAACACCCTGATAGTTCTCATTTTAACCACCTGTAAGTGCACATACAAGTCAACGGCACTGGCCGGGCGCGGTGGCTCATGCCTGTATTCCCAGCACTTTGGGAGGCCAAATCACAAGGTCAGGAGATCGAGACCATCCTGGCTAACACGGTGAAACCCCGTCTCTACTAAAAATACAAAAAATCAACTAGGCATGGTGGCACGCACCTGTAGTCCCAGCTACTCAGGAGGCTGAGGCAGGAGAATCGCTTGAACCTGGGAGGCGGAGGTTGCGGTGAGCCAAGATCGCGCCACTGCACTCCAGCCTCGGCGACAGAGTGAGACTCCGTCTCAAAAAACCAAAAAACAAAAAACAGTCAATGGCATTAAATATAAATACATTTACAGTGTTGTGTAACCATCACCACTATGGATCCCCCAGACTTTGTCATCATCTTCAACCTAAGCGCTCCCTATTAAATAGTAACTCCCCACTTTTCCCAGGCCTTGGCAACCACCATTCTAATCCCTGTCTCTATGAATTTGACTCCTCTCGATACCTCAGATAAGCGGCACAATGCAGTATTTATCTGTCAAGTCCGGAATATTTCCTTTAGCATAATGTCTTCAAGGTCCATCACGTTGTAGCATGTATCTGAATTTATTCTTTTATAATATTTTTTATTTTTTGGAGACAGAATCTCGCTCTGTCACCCAGGCTGGAGTGCAATGGCGCGATCTCGGCTCACCGCAACTTCCGCGTCCCGGGTTCAAGCCATTCTCCTGTCTCAGCCTCCGGAGTAGCTGGGACTACAGGTGCCTGCCGCCATGCCCGGCTATTTTTTTTTTGTATTTTTTGGGGGTTTTACTGTGTTGCCCAGGCTGGTCTTGAACTGCTGAGCTCAGGCAATCTGCCTGCCTCAGCCTCCTAAAGTACTAGGATTACAGGCATGGGCCACCACGCCCGGCCTTATTTTTATTTTTGAGACAGTCTCACTCTGCCGCCCAGGCTGGAGTGCAGTGGTGCGATCTCGGCTTACCGCAATCTCTGCCTCCCAGGTTCAAGCGATTCTCATGCCTCCGTCTCCCAAGTAGCTGGGATTACAGGCACCTGCCACCATGCCCGGCTAATTTAACGCCCAGCTAATTTTTGTATTTTTAGTAGAGATGGGGTTTCACCATGTTAACCAGGCTGGTCTCGGACTCCTGACCTCAGGTGATCCGCCCGCCTCGGCCTCCCAAAGTGCTGGGATTACAGGCGTGAGCCACTGTGCCTGGCTGATTTTTATTCTTTTAGTTAAGGCTGGTTGATATTACCTTGTGTGTATATACCACATGTTGTTTATCCATTGTTGTTGATGGACATGTGGGTGGTTTCACCTTTTGGCTATTGTGAATAAAGCTGCTATGAACACTGTGTACAAATATGTTAGAGACCCTGTTTTCAGTTCTTTTAGGTGTGTACCCCGAAGTGGAATTGCTGGATTTTATGGCAATCCCACGTTTAACTTCTGGAGGAGCTGCTGGAACTGTTTTCCACAGCAGGGGCGCCATGTTACGTCCCTGCCAGCAATGCACGCGCAGTTCAATTTCTCTGCATACTCACCAATATCTGCTGTTTTCCATTAAAAAAAATTATAGCCGGTCGGGTGCAGTGGCTCATGCCTGTAATCCCAGCACTTTGGGAGACCGAGGCAGGTGGATCAACTGAGGTCAGGAGTTCAAGACCAGCCTGGCCAACACAGTGAAACCCCATCTCTACTAAAAATACAAAAATTAGCCTGGTGTGGTACATACCTATAATCCCAGCCACTTGGGAGGCTGAGGCAGGAGAATCGCTTGAACCTGGGAGGTGGAGGTTGTAGTGGGCCGAGATGGCGCCACTGCACTCCAACCTGGGCAAAAAGAACGAGACTTTGTCTCAAAAGAAAAAAAAAAAATACAGCCATTCCAGAAGGTGTGAAGTCATATCTCACTGTGGTTTTGATGCGTATTTTCCTAGTGACATCAGGGAGTTTATGGGAGCACGGGAACACAGACCAGGCCCCAGCAGGCGGACAAACGGTGCAACGCCAGGCTGGCCAGAGGAGATAAGCGCGGCTCCTTGGAGCTTGTGTGCAAGTCACTGTACTGAGGAGCCGGCTACGGCTCGATGAGTCTCAATTAGGAAAGGCCGGGGCTGGTGGAGGAAGGGAGGAGAGCATTCTTCATCCTCATCACATCCTGAGCCTGTGCCCCAGGCTCCCACCACTTCCCTCCCTGGCCACAGAGCTCAGGACAGGGCTGAGGAACCATGTCTCCATCCCCGACCGCCCTCTTCTGTCTTGGTGAGTCCTGAGGGTCAGATCTGGGAAATGCTGAAGGACAGGCATGGACTGCCAGACAAAGGATTTTTAAGAAATTTGCATTGGTGATGAATTTCAGGACAAAAAGGAACCTGTAAGAGCCCCTTCATTTGTTGGGTGGGGAAACGGGGGGCCAGCGAGCTGGCATTTTGCATGAGTTATTCCAGTGTATTCATGGCTGGGTCAGGAAATGAACAGAGTATCCTAGCATTGGTCACAACTTTGTTCTACTACACTGCAGTTGCCCCTTTTTTAAAAAATGTGGGCCAGGCACAGTGGCTCACGCCTGTAATCTCAACCTTGGGAGGCCGAGGTGGGTGGATCACCTGAGGTCAGGAGTTCAAGACCAGCCTGGTCAACATGGTGAAACCCCATCTCTACAAAAATTAGCCGGGCGTGATGGCGGGTGCTTGTAATCCCAGCTACGTGGGAGGCTGAGGTGGGAGAATTGCTTGAAACTGGGAGGCAGAAGTTGCAGTGAGCTGAGGTCAGGCATTGCACTCCAGCCTGGGCAACAGAGAGAGCCTCCATCTCAAAAAAAAAAAAAAAAAAAAAAAAAAAGGCTGAGTGCCATGGCTTACACACTTTGGGAGGCCGAGGCGGGTGGGCCATCTGAGGTCGGGAGTTTGAGACCAGCCTGACCAACATGGAGAAACCCCATCTCTACTAAAAATACAAAATTAGCCGGGTGTGGTGGCACATGCCTGTAATCCCAGCTACTCTGGAGGCTAAGGCAGGAGAATCGCTTGAACCTGGGAGGTGGAGGTTGCGGTGAGCCAAGATCACACCATTGCACTCTGGCCTGGGCAACAAGAGCGAAACTCCGTCTCAAAAAAAAAAAAAAAAAAATTGTGGAATTGATATCTGGACTAGGTATGGATTTAATTTGTCAGTATCCCCTACAGTAGTGGAGTAAATAGTCTCCTGATGGATGGGTGGCAGGTCGAATGCATTTCTGCTGCCTGATCTTCACTTGTGCTGGGCATGTCGAATGCATTATTTCCTGATTTCTTCAGAATTTGACCACTAAAGGGACAGCATCTCCAAAAGGCTAAGCAGGAAGAAGATGGTTGCATTACTGGAGATGAGAGGGTTAACTGTGAATATAAACAACCTCTCATTCATTATCCATCCATGGATGTATTCTTTTTTTCTTTTTGTTTGTTTTTTGAGATGGAGTCTCGCTCAGTCGGTCGCTCAGGCTGGAATGCAATGGCATGATCTCAGCTCACTGCAAACTCTGCCTCCCGGGTCCAAGTGATTCTCCTGCCTCAGCCTCCCGAATAGTTGGGATTACAGGCATCTGCCACCAGGTCTGGCTAATTATTGTATTTTTAGTAGGGGCGGGGTTTCACCATGTTGGCCAGGCTGGTCTCAAGCTCCTTACTTCAGGTTCCACCCGCCTCGGCCTCCCAAAGTGCTGGGATTACAGGCGTGAGCCACCGCACCCAGCCTGTTTTAACTTTTATTTATTTAATTTTATTTGAGATAGGGCCTCACTTCTGTCACCCAGGCAGGAGGGCAGTGGCATGATCATGGCTCACTGCAGCCTCAACCTCCCAGGCTCAACCAGTGCCTCCCCATCAGCCTCCTGAGTATCTGGAACTACAGTTGTACACCATCATGCCTGGCTTGTTTTTGTAATTTTTTTAGTTACGGGGGTCCGCTATGTTGCCCAGGCTGGTCTTGAACTCCTGGGCTCAAGCGATCCACCCACCTCGGCCTCCCAAAGTGTTGGGGTTACAGGTGTGGCCTGTACAGGTTACTGCATCTGGCTTGTTGCTTCAGTAGCTTTTGGGATACAAGTGGTTCTTGGTTACATGGATGAATTATATTCTGGTGAATTCTGAGATTTTAGTGCACCTGTCACCTGACTAGTGTACCTTGTACCTAATGTGTAGTTTTTCATCCCTGCCCCACTTCTGCCCTTCCCTTCTGAGTCTCTGAAGTCCATTACATCACTCTGCATGCCTTTGCATACCCACAGCTTAGCTCTCACTTATAAGTGAGAATATACAGATTTTTGTTTTCCACTCCTGTATTACTTTACTTAGAATAATGCCTTCCAGCTCCATCCAAGTTGCTGCAAAAGACTTTTTTTTTTTTTTTTTAAAGACGGAATCTCGCTCTCTCACCAAGGCTGGAGTGCAGTGGTGTGATCTCGGCTTACTGCAAACTCCACCTCCCGGGTTTAAGTGATTCTCCTGCCTCAGCCTCCCGAGTAGCTGGGACTACAGGCACCCGCCACCATGCCCGGCTAATTTTTGTATTTTTAGTAGAGATGGGGTTTCACCATGTTGGGCAGGATGGTCTTGATCTCTTGACCTCGTGATCCACCCACCTCGGCCTCCCAGAGTGCTGGCATTACAGATGTGAGCCACTGTGCCTGGCCAAAAGACATTATTTCACTCCTTTTAATGGCTGAGTAGTATTCCACGCTCATTTATTTTTATTTATTTTTATTTTTTGACATGGAGTCTCACTCTGTTGCCCAGACTGGAGCGCAGTGGCATGACGTTGGCTCACTGCAACCTCCACCTCCCAGGTTCAAGCGATTCTCCTGCCTCAGCCTCCCAAGTAGCTGGGATTACAGGCTCCTGCCACTACGCCCCGCTAATTTTTGTATTTTTAGTAGAGACAGGGTTTCACCATGTTGGTCAGGCTGCTCTCGAACTCCTGACTTCAGGTGATCCGCCCACCTTGGCCTCCCAAAATGGGATTACAGGTGTGAGCCAGCGCGCCCGGCCGGTGAGAACATTTAAAATCTACTATCGGTGATATGCAAGTGTACAATATGTTGTTATTAACTACAGTCACCATGATGTGCAGTAGATCTCCAAGACATACTCCTCTTGTCCAACTGAAACTGTCCTCCTCTGACCAACATCTCCCCAAACCTTACCCCACCGCCCCGGTAACCACCACTGTGCTCTCTACTCCTGTAAGTTCCCAAGTCCACACTCTTTACCACTAATTGGTGCTGCTAGGGTTTGAATCTACTCCTGCCAGCTGTAGGACTGTGGATAAGATACTGTCTCACTAGCCTGATGTATAAGAGGGGACTGATAATGGTGGGTAACCCGTACGATTATGGCGACTTGGAGTCCATGCACAGAAGGCGCTCAGCACGGCGCCTGGAAGACTCCCAGCCATGGTACAGCGTCGCATGGAAACCTACAAAGAGGCTGAGGTGGGCTGTGATGCGGCAGGAGGAGGGGGACAGAGAAGCGGCCGGAGCTTGCGTTGGGGTGCAGAGGGAGCCTGGGGTGGACAAAGGGTGGTGGCTATGGGGGCGCTGGTGACAAGTTGTCACTCTCTGAGCTCAGAGTCAAGACATGAGCTGGGTTCACCCACTTCTTGCTATGTGAGCTACACAAGGTTGCTTGGCCTCTGCCCAGTTTCCTTATGTTTACAGTGGGAATGACAACTATCCCGCCTTTGTGTGTGTGTGTGTGTGTGTGTGTGTGTAAGAATGAGGGTTACCAGATAAAACACTGGATGCCTGGTTAAATTGGAATTTCAGATAATTAGTACTTTTTTTTTCCTCCTCCTCTTCGTTTTCTGAGACAGGGTCTTGCTCTGTTGTCAGTCTGGAGTGCAATGGGGCAATATCATTTTTTTTTTTCCTCGAGATGGAGTCTTGCTCTGTTGCCCAGGCTGGAGTGTAGTGGCGTGATCTTGGCTCACTGCAACCTCCGCCTCCCGGGTTCAAGTGATTCTCCTGACTCAGCCTCCCCAGTAGCTAGGATTACAGGCACGTGCCACCATGCCCAGCTAATTTCTGGTATTTTTAGTAGAGATGGTGTTTCACCATGTTGACCAGGCTGGTCTTGAACTCCTGACCTTGTGATCCGCCCACCCTGGCCTCCCAAAGTGCTGGGATTATAGGCATGAGCCACCGTGCCCGGCCAGTGGTGCAATCTTACCTCACAGCAGACTTGACCTCCTGGGCTCAAGCAATTCCAGGAGGGGATCGCTTATGTACATGTATTTGTATACATATGTATACACACACACACACACACACACACACATGCATACATATATACATATACATACATATACACGTGTGTATGTACACACGTGTATATGTACATACACATGTATGTATAGATGTAGGTTTACATATATGCACTATATGTGTATATACATATAGTAATCAGATCAGGGTAAGTAGCACACCCATCTTCTCAAACATGCATCCTTTCTGTGTTGGGAACTTTCCCCATCCTCCTTCAGGCTATTTGAAACGATTATTATATATATTATATCCTATCATGTAATCATGGAATACTGATTCAAGCAAATGTTGTAAATACCGGGAAACCCATGGCCAGCACATGCTGAGACGTCCTGACTTACACGCTGAGGCTCCATCCTGCTCCATCCTTGGAGCCCAATGCATCCCATTAGTGTGGGGTTTTATCGCATATATTACATAGACAATAAAATACAATAATATACAATATGCAATAGTATTTACAATACTTGTCTATACAATTGCATACTATTGTAATGTACTTGGATATTATTTAATATTGGGAGACTGAAGGGAGGAAACGAAGGGACAGCAATGTCTCAGGTCCCATTCCTCACATCCACTGAGGAAGTCAATGGGCAATGTCTAACACGAACGAGCCCACCGTGTCTAACACAACACAAACGAGCCCACCGTGTCTAACACAACACGAACGAGCCCACCGTGTCTAACACAACACGAACGAGCCCACCGCGTCTAACACGAACGAGCCCACCGCGTCTAACACGAACGAGCCCACCGTGTCTAACACAACACGAACGAGTCCACCGTGTCTAACACAACACGAACGAGCCCACCGTGTCTAACACAACACGAACGAGTCCACCGTGTCTAACACAACACGAACGAGTCCACCGTGTCTAACACGAACGAGTCCACCGTGTCTAACACGAACGAGTCCACCGTGTCTAACACGAACGAGTCCACCGTGTCTAACACAACACGAAGGAGTCCACCGCGTCTAACACGAACGAACCCACCGCGTCTAACACGAACGAACCCACCGTGTCTAACACGAACGAACCCACCGTGTCTAACACGAACGAGTCCACCGTGTCTAACACAACACGAACGAGTCCACCGTGTCTAACACAACACGAACGAGTCCACCGTGTCTAACACGAACGAGTCCACCGCGTCTAACACGAACGAGTCCACCGTGTCTAACACAACACGAACGAGTCCACCGTGTCTAACACGAACGAGCCCACCGTGTCTAACACGAACGAGCCCACCGTGTCTAACACGAACGAGTCCACCGTGTCTAACACGAACGAGCCCACCGTGTCTAACACGAACAAGTCCACAGAGAGCAGTACGCCACCATGCCTTGCCCTCCTCTCCCACCACCCCCAGCCATGGATCTGCTTTCTTCTCCATCTCCTATAGATTTACCTATTCTGGATATTTCATGTAAATGACCTCATAAACTATGTGGCTTTTTCTGACCGGTTTCTCTCACTTAAATTACATTCCTGTGTGTCTTTTGAAGAAATTATTAGGACAGAGTAAAGCATATGCATGCAAATGTCTTATCACCGCGCCCAGCAGGCAGGAATGTCCATAAAAGCGAGTCCTGGCATCTGGTCCCTTTCTTCTTTCCTCAGGGCTGTGTCTGGGGCGTGTGCCAGCGCAGAGTGGTGAGTCCTTCCCCAGACCCCTTCCCTCCTGCGGGATCCGCCAGCGCGGGAGCAGCGGGGTCCAGGCGGGGTCTGCGGGGAGGCTGACCCAGCCCTGCTCCTCTTCCAGGACCGCTCCCCAAGCCCTCCCTCCAGGCTCTGCCCAGCTCCCTGGTGCCCCTGGAGAAGCCAGTGACCCTCCGGTGCCAGGGACCTCCGGGCGTGGACCTGTACCGCCTGGAGAAGCTGAGTTCCAGCAGGTACCAGGATCAGGCAGTCCTCTTCATCCCGGCCATGAAGAGAAGTCTGGCTGGACGCTACCGCTGCTCCTACCAGAACGGAAGCCTCTGGTCCCTGCCCAGCGACCAGCTGGAGCTCGTTGCCACGGGTAAAGGAAGGGGGATCGGAGCCTGGGACTGCGTGGTCCTCCGTTCAGGACACAAATACGGGGGACATTGAGGGCAGGGATTAGGGTGAGGCAAACGAGGCACTGGCCTAGCGGGTGGTGGTGCCACGACATTTATGGATCAATGTGAATAATATTTTGTTTTTTGGACACAGGGTCTTGCTGCGTCACCCAGGGTGGAGAGCAGTGGCGCGATCTTGGCTCACTGCAGCCTCCACCTCCAGGGCTCAAGCGATTCTCCCGCCTCAGCCCTCCAAGTAGCTAGGATTACAGGTGTGCACCACCACGCCCAGCTCATTTTTTATGTTTTTATAGAGATGGGGTCTCTTGACAGTTTTCACAAAAGGCATTAAAATACAAAAGAGAGAGAGATAGGGTCTCGCTATGTTGCTCAGGCTGGTCTCGAACTCCTGTGGGCTCAAGCTATCCTTCCACCTTGGCTTCCCAAAGTGTTGGGATTTCAGGCGTGAGCCACTGCATCTGGCTGTGAATAACATTTTCATGCAATTTTTAAAAAAATCAAAATAAATTGCAAAAACATCCACAATGAAAAAAACCAGAATTTCAAATAAAGGCAGAATCAGCCAGTGCCTGTGTCAAGTCATACCAGAGTCTGTGCCAAAACGAAAAACAGGCAACCCTTTATCTGTGTTTTAATGCACTTAAAAAAATTAGCGATGGGGTCTTGCTACACTGCCCAGGCCGGAGTGCAGTGGCTGTTCATAGGAGCAGTCATAGCTCACTGCAGCCTGGAGCTCCTTGCCTTGAGCAATCCTCCTGCCTCAGCCTCATGAGTAGCAGGGACTACGGTCACGGGCCACCGTGCTTGGCTCGGGATTCTTTTTAAAACTTTGTTTTGGAGTAATTTTTAGACTGACAGAAAAGTTCCAAAGATAATATTAATGGAAATATTTCACCCAGGATCCCCTCATGTTAACATCTTACATTTGTTACAACCAAAAAATAAACGTAGCACTGGTCCCAGTGGTTTACACCTGTAATCCCAGCACTTTGGGAGGCTGAGGCGGGAGGATTGCTTGAGCTCAGGAGTTCAAGACCAGCCTGGGCAACATAGTGAGACCTCATCTTTAAACAAAATTAAAAATTAGTGGGGCATGGTGGCATACACCTATAGTCCCAGCTACTCAGGAGGCTGAGGCAGGAGGATCGCTTGAGCCAGGGAGGCCGAGGCTGCAGGGAGCTGTGATCACGCCACTGCACTCCAGCCTGGGTGACAGAGTGAGACCCTGTATCAAAAAACAAACAAAAAACTAACCATAGACACAACTATATTATATCAAGTAAACTCCAGGCTATTTGAATTTCACCAGTCTTTCCACTAATATCCTATTTCTGTTCCCAGACCCCGTCCAGGGCCCCACAGTGCATTTAGTATTTATGTCTCCTTAGACTCTTGATTGGTGCAAATATTCTAATTTCTTTTCTTATTTATTTATTTTTTTTAAGAGAAGAGGTTGGGCCGGGCGCGGCGGCTCACGCCTGTAATCCCAGTACTTTGGGAGGCTGAGGTGGGTGGATCACTTAAGGTCAGGAGTTTGAGACCAGCCTGGCCAACATGGTGAAACCCCGTCTCTACTAAAAAAAATAATAATAATTAGCTGGGCGCGGTGGCGCACTCCTGTAATCCCAGCTACTCCGGAGGCTGAGGCAGGAGAATCGCTTAAACCTGGGAGGCGGTGAGCCGAGATTGCACCACTGCAGTCCAGCCTGGGCGACAGAGCAAGACTCCGTCTTGGGAAAAAAAAAAAAAGAGAAGAGGTCTTACTATGTTGCCCAGGCTTTAGTACACTCGCTGTATTCACAGGCATGATCATAGCTCACTTTAGCCTCAAATCCCTGGGCTCAAGTGGTCCTCCCTAGTAGCTGGGACTATAGGTGCACCCAGTTAGTGCACTTTTAAATGGTTATTTTCTAGAAGTAGGTTTTGGAAATAGCACTGATGCGCTTGCATCCACAAAAGCCTAGAATGTAAAATTCTAATAAATCTTTCAGGGGAATAAAGTATTCAAACAGAATAATGTGAGTTTTAACGACCTACTCTTCAAATTTTCAATAATTTTTTCAAATATGTTAATTGTTTGGGAATAATTAAATTTTACATCCCAGGAGAGTGCCTCACTCACGCCACCCTAATTCCTGGCCAGCTGCACTGTGGTCTATTCCGCGTTATAAATCCTGCCTCCCTCCCCTCTTCCCTGCCTCACTCCCCTCCACAGCATCACTGGCCTCCTCTCTGCTACTAGAATGGACCAGCCTGGCTGCCTCATTACTTCTTTCAGGGTCAGACTCAAATACTCTCTTCTCGCTAAGTATATCCCCCACCACCCTAGTCAAAGTGGCCCTCCTCACTATCTGGTATGTGAAGTATACCTTTTTTTATCTTGGTGGTGGTTGTCTATTTTTAATTCCTGGTCGGGCACGGTGGCTCACGCCTGTAATGCCAGCACTTTGGGAGGCCGAGGTGGACGGATCACCTGAGGTCAGGAGTTCGAGATCAGCCTGGCTAACATGGTGAAACCCTGTCTCTACTAAACATACAAAATTAACTGGGCATGGTGGTGCATGCCTGTAGTCCCAGCTACTCGGGAGGCTGAGGCAGGAGAATCGCTTGAACCCAGGAGGTGGAGGTTGCAGTGAGCTGGGATCATGCCACTGCACTCCAGCCTGGGCAACAGAGTGAGATTCTGTTTCCCAAAAAAAAAAAAAAAAAAAAAAAAAAAAAAAATATATATATATATATATATATATATATATATATATATATATATATATATATATATATATGCCATTGCACTCCAGCCTGGGTGACAGAGCGAGACTCCGTCTCAAAACAAAACAAAACAAAACAAAACAAATGAAACAACAAAAAAAGAATACAGACAGACACATAATAGTTGCTTAAGTGAAAATTAAGAGAAAATATTGCTGAGTGAATGTTACAGTTATCAGGCAGCTTATATATTTCCTTCCTTCCTTCCTCCCTCCCTCCCTTCCTTCCTCTTTCTTTCTTTTTCTTCTTGTTGAGTGAATGCCATAATTATTAGGCAGCTTATATTTTTATCTTCCTTACTTCCTTTCTTTTGCTTTCTCTCTCTGTCTTTTTTTGAGACAAGGTCTCACTCTGTCACCCAGGCTAGTGTACAGTGATCATAGCTCACTGCAGCCTCGCCTTCCTGGGCTCAAGCGATCCTCCCACCTTGGCCTCCCAAAGTGCTGGGATGACCGGTGTGAGCCGCCGCACCCAGCCTCAACCTTTGTTTTTCTGACTCCTGTGTGCAGGCATGCATCACCACACCGGTCTATGACAACAACCTCACATCAGAGTAGTGTAGGTTCGTGTTTAGGAGCGGAGACCCTGGAATCAAACTCTGTGAGTGCAGATTTCAACTCTGCCACTTATGATCTTGGACAAGTTTTTTATTTATTTTTAAATTAAAATATGTCCAGCTTTGTTGAGGTATAATTGAAAAACAAAAATGGAATATATCCAAGGTGTACAAGTTGATGTTTTGATATACGAATCCACTGTGAGACAGTTACTACTAGCAAGCTAATTAACATACATCACCTGACACAGTTAACTTTTTTGTGTGTGAGAATACTTATAATCTACCCTCTTAGCAAATTTCAGCTGTACACTGCAGTATTGTTACCTAGAGTTGGACAAATTATTTAATGCCATGTGCCTTAGTTTCATTTATAAAATAGGGACATTAAGAGTGAGGACTCCATAGGTCTCTGAGGATTCACTGAACTGATATACATCATAAGTTTGGAAGGCACCCGGAAGCTAGCACTGTCAGCCACATTTACAACGTAACAATTGTATGTGGCAATACAAGCTTACAGCACAGTATAAGCTTAAGCTATTTACTTACTCCAGCGCTTGCTAGGCAACAGGCACTCTGCAAATTACTGTGTACTGTCTCATTCAGTCATCCCCATTTTAACAGAACAAGGCAGTGAGGCTCAGATACAGAGGGAGATTTGTCTCCAGGGCCACCAGGCCCCTGAAGGCAGAACTAGGATTTGCACCCAAGCACTAGGACGTGAGCACAGCCTCCTTCCTCAACCACTGGGTGACTCGACCTCTCTGTGAGCTTGGGTGGGGGAGTGCGCTCTCTGGGAGGGATACAGCCAAAAAGCTCCCCAGCTCTTAGGCAGGTGTGGGGACCTCCCCAGTCTCAGCTGAGATGCTGGCTCCTGCCTTCAACATCAGACTTTCTTTTTCTCCCAGGAGTTTTTGCCAAACCCTCGCTCTCAGCCCAGCCCGGCCCGGCGGTGTCGTCAGGAGGGGACGTAACCCTACAGTGTCAGACTCGGTATGGCTTTGACCAATTTGCTCTGTACAAGGAAGGGGACCCTGCGCCCTACAAGAATCCCGAGAGATGGTACAGGGCTAGTTTTCCCATCATCACGGTGACCGCCGCCCACAGCGGAACCTACCGATGCTACAGCTTCTCCAGCAGGGACCCATACCTGTGGTCAGCCCCCAGCGACCCCCTGGAGCTTGTGGTCACAGGTAGGGGTAGTGCAGACCAAACCTTTCTTCCTCAGCCTTTATAGGTCCTGATGGCCATTCCAAGGGAGGGGCCATAAGTGGGAAGGAAGTGGGAGGGCAGGAAGCCCTGGGCTGCAGGGGCGGGGCCGTAGGTGGGAAGGAAGTGGGAGGGCAGGAAGCCCTGGGCTGCAGGGGCGGGGCCGTAGGTGGGAAGGAAGTGGGAGGGCAGGAAGCCCTGGGCTGTAGGGGCGCGGCCATAGGTGGGAAAGAAGTGGGAGGGCAGGAAGCCCTGGGCTGCAGGGGCGGCGCCAGAGGTGGGAAGGAAGTGGGAGGGCAGGAAGCCCTGGGCTGCAGGGGCGGGGCCGTAGGTGGGAAGGAAGTGGGAGGGCAGGAAGCCCTGGGCTGCAGGGGCGGGGCCGTAGGTGGGAAGGAAGTGGGAGGGCAGGAAGCCCTGGGCTGCAGGGGCGGGGCCGTAGGTGGGAAGGAAGTGGGAGGGCAGGAAGCCCTGGGCTGCAGGGGCGGGGCCGTAGGTGGGAAGGAAGTGGGAGGGCAGGAAGCCCTGGGCTGCAGGGGCGGGGCCGTAGGTGGGAAGGAAGTGGGAGGGCAGGAAGCCCTGGGCTGCAGGGGCGGGGCCAGAGGTGGGAAGGAAGTGGGAGGGCAGGAAGCCCTGGGCTACAGGCAGCTGGGAGAATGGAGGTTTCTTTTTTTTTTTTTTGACGAAGTCTCACTCTGTCACCCAGGCTGGAGTGCAGTGGCGCGATCTCAGCTCACTGCAACCTCCGCCTTCCGGGTTCAAGCGATTCTGCTGCCTCAGCCTCTCGAGTAGCTGGAATTACAGGTGCCTGCCACCATGCCCGGCCAATTTTTGTATTTTTAGTAGAGACGGGGTTTCACTATGTTGGTCAGGCTGGTCTTGAACTGACCTCATGATCTGCCCGCCTCGGCCTCCCAAAGTGCTGGGATTACAGGCGTGAGCCACCGCGTCGGACTTGACTACCATTCTTAAAGGGGGTTTCTTTCAAAAAAGAGCAGCATACCTCATAATGTGGTTATATACATGCAATGGAATATTATGCAGCCTTAAAAAAGAAGGAAATTCTGACACATACTACAACATGGATATACCTTGAGGACATTATGCTAAGTCAGTCACAAAAGGACAACTACTGTATGATTCTAGTCAAAGGAGGTATCTAATGTCAACACTGTAGAAACACAAAGTACAATGGTGGTTGTTAAGGGCCAGAAAGAGGAGAGAGAAGGAATTAGTGTTTAATGGGCACAGAATTTCAGTTTTGCAAGAAAAATAAGTTCTAGAGGTCAACATATTGTACCACAATGTGAACATACCCAACGCCACTGATCAGTACATTTAACAATGTCATATTAAATCAAACAAAATACATCATTTAGTTTTTGGTAGAAAAATCTGTTTTGCCCCCAGGGTCACAGTGAGGGGTAGGACACAGGAATCCAGAAGAAATAGAACTGAGGTTGAAAAAGGTGGACGGGAGCTGCATGCATTTCCTTGTTAATAGCCCAGAATGTGCCAGGTGTGCTTTACAAATGCTGCTGCTTTTTTTTTTTTTTTTTTTTTTGGGGGGAGTCTCACTTTGTCACCCAGGCTGGAGTGCAGTGGAGTGATCTCAGTTCACTGCAACCTCCACCTCCTGGGTTTAAGCGATTCTCCTGCCTCAGCCTCCTGAGTAGATGGGATTACAGGCACCTGCCATCATGCCCAGCTAATTTTTGTATTTTTCGTAGAGACAGGGTTTCACCATGTTGGCCAGGCTGGTCTTGAACTCTTGACCTCAGGTGATCTGCCTGCCTCGGCCTCTCAAAGTGCTGGGATTACAGGTGTGAGCCACCACGCCTGGCTAAGCCTTTTTTTTTCAGATGGAGTCTTACTGCGTCACCCAGGCTGGAGTGCAGTGGTGCGATCTCAGATCACTGCAACCTCTGCCTCCTAGGTTCAAGTGATTCTCCTGCCTCAGCCTCCCGAGCAGCTGGGATTACAGGTGCACACCACCACGCCTGGCTAATTTTTGTATTTTTAGTGGAGACGGGGTTTCACCATACTGGCCAGGCTGGGCTTGAACTCCTGACCTCAAGTGATCTGCCCTCCTCAGCCTCCCAAAGTGCTGGGATTACAGGCATGAGGCACTGCACCCAGCTCAAATGCTTATTAACATCCACAACAGTCCAGTGATGTAAGCTACTTTAGGCTCATTTTTCCGGTGAGGAAACTCAGTCACGGAGATGTTTCGTTATTTGTTCAGGACCCACAGCGACAGAGCACAGATTTATCTCATTTTCTGATTTCCCAGGAACCTCTGTGACCCCCAGCCGGTTACCAACAGAACCACCTTCCCCGGTAGCAGGTAGGTTCTGCAGGGTCCATTCTGGTGCACAGCGTATGAGGTACACGGACCCCTTCTCTCTCTCCTCTCTGCCTAGACTTCTCGATTTAATTCAGTTGGTTCTTTCACAGATTTGCTTTGTTTTAAAAATCCTTTATTTCTGCCTGTAAACAGGGTGGGTGTCCTAAGTAGTTAGATGTTAAGATGCTGCCCCCAATCCTACTCTAGGTGGATGGTTTATCACATATAACATGCAGAAGAATAATCGGAGTGGCTTGCTATACTGTGGAGTCCAGCTGGTTGAATATGGGTGACAAAAACAAACAAACTAACCAACCAACCAACCAACCAACCAACCAACAAACCTGTAGAGTCCGGGACTCTGTTTCTGAGTCACTGAATGCATTGATCAGCGGTTCTCAAACTTCCATGAGCATAAGAATCACCTGGAGGCTTAAAGAATAGATTTCTGAGCCCCCAGGGCTTCTGCTTCAGTAGGTCTGGGGTGAATCCAGTCATTTTCATTCCTAGTAAGTTCCCAGGTGATGCTGATGCTATGGCTCCAGAATGCTGCTTTGAGAACCACTGCGGTAAGTTTTGTGTGAGGCGTGTTATCCCCTCCACTTTCACAAACATCTCAGCTGAATACGGTGTACCAGACTACGGCCTGCACTTTAAGAATATCATACGCTAGGCTGGAGGCTGGGCGTGTCTAACATTCCCTGTGTCTCAGAGTGAAGCACCAAGGCAGGAGAAACATGCTGGAAAGAGCCGAGGTTGATAAGGATGAGATTTGCGGGGTTGAGGGCAGAGTGAGGGCTATTATGCCTAGTGGGCAGGGACATGGAAGATGGTCACATACTGTGTGCGTGCATATGTGTGTGTGCGTGCATGTGCGTGTGTGCGTGCATATGTGTGTGTGCGTGCATATGTGTGTGCATGCGTGCATATGTGTGTGTGTGCATGCGTGCATATGTGTGCGTGTGCTTCTGACTGAATTTTTGAACTTTCTCTTTTGAAATGGTTCTAGAGTCACAGGAAGTCTACAATGATAGAACAGAAGAATCCCATGTGCTCTTTTTCCAGTTTCCTCTAATGGTTACATCTTACGTAATTAGAGTACAACATAAAAACCAGGAATTTGACATTGGCATAAAGTAGGTGTCTAGTTCTATGCCAATTTGTCACAGTTGTAGATTCGCGTCACCATCACCGCAGTCACTGTACAGAACTCTTCCGTCTCACAAGGGCCTCCCTTGGGCTACCCTTTTATATTCACACCTACACCCTTCTCCTTCCCTTGCCATCCCTAACTCCTGGTATCCATTAATTTGTTCTCCATCTCTATAATCTTCCATTTCTAGAATCTGATGTAAATGGGATCATCCAGTATGCAACCGTTTGAGATATCCTTTTGTCACTCAGTGCAATGCCCCTGAGGCCCATCCAAGCTGCTGTATGTATCAATGATGTGTTCCTTTTGATTGCTGAGCAATATTTCATGCTATATTAGGCCGATTTTGTGCTGCTATAAATATCTGAGACTGGATCATTGATAAGAAAAGAGGTTTAATTGGTTCATGGTTCTGAAGGCCGTATAGGAAGCAGAAGGCTGGCTTCTGCTTTTGGGGAGGCCTCAGGAAGCTTACAGTCATGGCAGAAGGCAAAGAGGGGGTAGCTGTCTCATGTGGTGGGAGCAGGAGCAAGAGAGAGAGAGAGTTGGGACTGGGGGACATGCCACACTTTGCAATAGCCAGATCTTGTGAGAATTCACTTACTATTGCAAGGAAAGCACCAAGCAATGAGGGATCCACCCCTATGATCCAAACACCTCCCACCAGGCCCCCACCTCCAACATTGGGGATCATAATCCAGTATGAGATTTGGTGGGAACACATATTCAAACTGTATCACATGGCATGCAAATACCACACGCTGTGTTGAAATCAAAATCAAAACAAGGTGTATTAAATAGGGAATCCTTTCCCCATTGCTTGTTTTTGTCAGGTTTGTTGAAGATCAGATGGTTGTAGATGTGTGGTCTTATTTCTGAGATCTCTATTCTGTTCCATTGGTCTATGTGTCTGTTTTTGTACCAGTACCATGCTGTTTTGGTTACTATCACCTTGTAATATAGTCTGAAGTCTGAGCCTGAGGCCTCCAGCTTTGTTCTTTTTGCTTAGTATTGTCTTGGCTATATGGGCCCTTTTTTGGTTCCATATGAATTTTATAGTTTTTTCTAATTGTGTGAGGAATGTCAATGATAGTTCAATGGGAATAGCAATGAATCTATAAATTACTTTGGGCAGTATGGCCATTTTCACGATATTGATTCATCCTATCCATGAGCATGGAATGTTTTTCCATTTGTTTGTGTCCGCTCTGATTTTCTTGAGCAGTGAATTGTAGTTCTCCTTGAAGATGTCCTTCACTTTCCTTGTTAGCTGTATTCCTAGGTATTTTATTCTCTTTGTAGCAATTGTGAATGGGAGTTCCTTCATGATTTGGCTCTCTGCCTGTCTATTGTTGGTGTATAGGAATGCTTGTGATTTTTGCACATTGATTTTGTATCCTGAGACTTTGCTGAAGTTGCTTATCAGCTTAAGAAACTTTTGGGCTGAGATGATGGGGTTTTCTAGATATAGGATCATGTCATCTGCAAACAGAGATAGTTTGATTTCCTCTCTTCCTATTTGAGTATCCTTTATTTCTTTCTCTTGCCTGATTATCCTGGCCAGAACTTCCAATACTATGTTGAATAGGAGTGGTGAAAGAGGGCATCCTTGTCTTGTGCTGGTTTTCAAGGGAAATGCCCATTTAGTATGAAATTGGCTGTGGGTTAATAAATGGTGCTGGGAGAATTGGCTAGCCATATGCAGAAAATAGAAACTGGACCCGTTCCTTACACCTTGTACAAAAATTAACTCAAGATGGATGAAAGACTTGGATGCAAAACCCGAAAACTATAAAAACCCTAGAAGAAAATCTAGGTAATACCATTCAGGACACAGGCATGGGCAAAGATTTCATGACAAAAACGTCAAAAGCAATTGTAACAAAAGCAAAAACTGACAAATGGGATCTAACTAAACTAAAGAGCTTCTGCTCAGCAAAAGAAAGTATCATCAGAGTGAACAGACAACCTACAGAATGGGAGAAAATGTTTGCAATCTATCAATTCACAAAAGTCTAATATCCAGAATCTACAAGGAAGTTAAACAAATTTACAAGAAAAAAAAAACCATTAAAAAGTGGGTAAAGGACATGAACAGTCACTTCTCAAAAGAAGACGTTTATGCAGCCAGTAAACATACAAAAAAAAGCTCAACATCACCAATCATTAGAGAAATGCAAATCAAAACCACATTTAGACACCATCTCACACCAGTCAAAATGGCGATTATTAAAAAGTCAAGAAACGCCGGGCACGGTGGCTCACGCCGGTAATCCCAGCACTTTGGGAGGCCGAGGCAGGCAGATCACAAGGTCAGGAGATCGAGACCATCCTGGCTAACACGGTGAAACCCCGTCTCTATTAAAAATACAAAAAATTAGCCGGGCGTGGTGGCGGGCGCCTGTAGTCCCAGCTATTCGGGAGGCTGAGGCAGGAGAATGGCGTGAACCCGGGAGGCGGAGGTTGCAGTGAGCCAAGATTGTGCCACTGCACTCCAGCCTGGGCGACAGAGCAAGACTCCATCTCAAAAAAAAAAAAAAAAAACCAACAAAAGTCAAGAAACAACAGGTGCTGGCGAGGCTGTGGAGAAATAGGAATGCTTTTACACTGTTGGGAATGTAAATTAGTTCATTGTGGAAGACAGTGTGGTGATTCCTCAAAGACCCAGAACCAGAAATCCTTTTTCCTTTTTTTTTTTTTTGAGATGTAGTATTGCTCAATAGCCCATGCTGGAGTGCAGTGGTGCGATCTCGGCTCACTGCAACCTCCACCTCCCAGGTTCAAGCAATTATCCTGTCTCAGCCTCCTAAGTAACTGGGACTACAGGCGCCTGCCACCATGCCTGGCTTTTTTTTTTTTTTTTCTTTTAGTAGAGATGGGGTTTTACCTTGTTGGTCATGCTGGTCTCAAACTTCTGACCTCAGGTGATCCACCTGCCTCGGCCTCCCAAAGTGCTGGGATTACAGGCGTGAGCCACCGCACCAGGGCCACCTTTTTTTTTTTTTTTTTTTTTTAAACAGAGTCTCACTCTGTCACCCAGGCTGGATTGCAGGGGCATGATCTCGGCTCACTGCAGCCTCTGCCTCCAGGGTTCAAGTGATTCTCCTGCCTCAGCCTCCCGAGTAGCTGGGACTGCAGGTGCATGCCACAACGCCTGGCTAATTTTTGGATTTTTGCTAGAGACGGGAGTTTCACCATGTTGGCCAGGGTGGTCTTGAGCTCCTGACCTCAGGTGATCTGCCCACCTCGGCCTCCCAAAGTGCTGGGATTACATGTGTGAGCCACTGCGCCTGGCCAGAAATACCATTTGACCCAGCAATCCCATTACTGGTTATATACCCAAAGGAATATAAATCATTGTATTATAAAGATACATGCACACATATGTTCATTGCAGCACTATTCACAATAGCAAAGACAAGGAATCAACCCAAATGCCCATCAATGATAGAAAGGATAAAGCAAATACAGTACATATACACCATGGAATACTATGCAGCCATAAAAAGGAATGAGATCATGTCCTTTGCAGGGACATGGATGGAGCTGGAAAACATTATCCTCAGCAAACTAACACAGGAACTGAAAACCAAACACTGCATGTTCTCACTTGTAAGTGGCAGCTGAACAATGAGATCACATGGACACAGGGAGGGGAACACCACACACTGGGGCCTGTAGGGGGAATTGGGGGAGGGAGAGGATCAGGATAAATAGCTGATGCGTGTGGGGCTTAATACCTAGGTGATGGGTTGATGGGTGCAGCAAACCACCATGGCACACGTTTACCTATGTAACAAACCTGCACGTCCTGCACATGGATTCTGGAACTGAAATTTTAATTGAAAAAAAAAAAAAAGGTTTATTAATGCATCTCACACGAAGAGAAATAACAAAGACCAAATAATACCCACACTCTCATTATGCCACCGAGAGCTGAGCATAAACTAGTTTTTTCCAAGCTGGTTCCACCATAAAAAGACTCCCAGGATAGTACCCACTGCAACAAGAGCTTCGTATTTATCAGCTGAGGCAGTTCAGGAATATTTTGGTGGCCTCAGGAGGCCCCTGGTTAAGAAAATGGCCTGGCCGGGCGCGGTGGCTCACGCCTGTATTCCCAGCACTTTGGGAGGCTGAGGCGGGTGGATCACAAGGTCAGGAGATCGAGACCATCCTGGCTAACACGGTGAAACCCCATCTCTACTGAAAATACAAAAAAATTAGCCAGGCGTGGTGGCGGGTGCCTGTAGTCCCAGCTACTCGGGAGGCTGAGGCAGGATAATGGTGTGAACCCGGGAGGCAGAGCTTGCAGTGAGCCGAGATTGCACCACTGCACTCCAGCCTGGACGACAGAGTAAGACTCTGTCTCAAAAAAAAAAAAAAAAAGAAAAAAAGAAAATGGCCTAAGTTGGAAGGTGGAGATCCCGTGTTCTGAGGCTAACACGAGCTCATTCTTCCTCTAGGCTCACGAAGACATGGATCCACATCTTATTATTCAAACTGAGATATAATTCACATACCATAAAATTCACCATGCCAACTAGGATGACTATGATTTTTAAAACAAAACAAACGGACAAGAAGTATTGGTGAGGATTTGGAAGAACCTTCTTATATTGCTGGTGGGAATATAAAATGGTGCAGCTGCTTTGAAAAACAGTCTGTGGCCAGGCGCAGCCTGTAATCCCAGCACTTTGAGAGGCCAAGGAGGGTGGATCACGAGGTCAGGAGATCGAGACCATCCTGGCCAACATGGTGAAACCCCGCCTCTACTAAAGTACAAAAAAAAAAGTTGGCCAGGCGTGATGGCAGGTGCCTGTAATCCCAGCTACTCGGGAGGCTGAGGGAGGAGAATCGCTTGAACCCAGGAGGTGGAGGTTGCAGTGAGCTGAGATCGCGCCACTGCACTCCAGCCTGGGCAACAGAATGAGACTCTGTCTCAAAAAAAAAAAAAAAAGAAAAAAAAGAAAGAAGTCTGGTAGTTCTTCAAAAAGTAAAACACAGAGTTACTGTATGACCCAGTGATTCCACCACCCCTGGGTGTGTACCCAAGAGAACAGAAAACTTATGTTCACACAAAAACCTGTACGTCAATGTTCACAGCAGCAATATTCATAACAGCAAAACGTGGAAAAAAAACCAAGTGTCTATCAATTGCTGAACGGATCTGCTTCTTACTAAGCCGGTCATGGAAGATAAGTCTTACACCTTTCGAATTTGTCTGTCTTCAGTGTCTGTGCAGTGTGTCAGAGAAAGGGGTTTCAGGGAGCCTAGATATCTCAAAAGGGGAATGGAGATATCTAGAGGATATAGGGAACCACGGGGAAGACCTAACATTGTTTTGCTTTCTTAGAATTCTCAGAAGCCACCGCTGAACTGACCGTCTCATTCACAAACGAAGTCTTCACAACTGGTGAGTAACCAGGCATTTCATGCTCAGCAGAAAGGAGTGTGAGGACGGAGCTCTCTCTTCCATTATCTAAGCCTGTAGGCTTTTAATCACTTCACCGAACTGTCCGTCTCTTACCAAGAAAGTCCTTGGTGTGAGGCTAGAGCATGGGTGCAGAGTGGAGCTCTGGGGTTCAGAAGGAGGAGCGTTTTGGGTGATGGGGCCATTTCAAAGATGGCGGAGCCAAGGCTGTGGCGGGACGACCGCCATCCCTACGCACTGCTCCCAGGATGAAGTCCTAGGCTTTGGACTCGGCTGTGATCCAGGTATTTAATCTCGCTCCTCACTGTGTCCAGGTAGAGCCCATGCTCGGACGCACACAGACTGTAGGCACCTGGACACAGCACATCTTCTAACCGCTCCAGGCCTCTGCAGATACGCTTTCCTCAGTCTCTTTCCCCTTGCCTGTCCTGGAAAATCTCCATTTCCTTCCAGACTAAACACCTTCACAGATTCCCTGATAATAGGTTAGATACTTCCACTGGGCCCACATGACTCTGGCTTTCATGAGGCACCTGATCCCACGTAGTTCTATTTTTTATTTTTTTGAGGTGGAGTCTTGCTCTGTCGCCCAGGCTGGAGTGCAGTGGTGCGATCTCGGCTCACTGTAACCTCTGCTGCCCGGGTTCAAGCGATTCTCCTGCCTCAGCCTCCCGAGTAGCTGGGATTATAGGTGCATGCCACCACACCTGGCTAATTTTTGTATTTTAGTAGAGACGGGGTTTCAGCATCTTGGGAAGGCTGGTCTTGAACTCCTGACCTCATGATCCACCTGTCTCGGCCTCCCAAAGTGCTGGGATTGGAGGCATGAGCCACCGCGCCCGGCATATCCCAGGGAGTTCTGTGATGGAAGCCTTCCCTATCTTCAGTTCGGAACCTCCCAATCACCCTCAGGATGCAGTTCCAATTCCTCAGCTTGCTATTCTGTGAGCTTAGATATCCAGCCCCTGTTGATCCCTCCAATTTTGTCTGCATACCTTCCACGCATTCCCATGCTGTTCTCAGCCACACACAGTCACTTGAAGCTCTCCTGGAGGCTTCCTAACCTCTCCTGACTCTGCACCCAACCCACTCACTCTGCCTTTTCTTCCATTTCCCCATGGCATCAATTCCTCAAGAAAGCCTTGACCGTCCAGGCTGGATCGATGGTTTCCTCTGCTCTCGCTCAGTGTCTTGTGGGCTGCCTATTACAGCAATTTTTACAGTATATTAAAATTATCGCTTTGTCTGTAATCCCAGCACTTTGGGAGGCCAAGGTGAGTGGATCACCTGAGGTCAGGAGACCAGCCTGGCCAACATGCTGAAACCCCGTCTCTACTGAAAATACAAAAATTAGCCGGGCGTGGTGGTGGGCACCTGTAATTCCAGCTACTTGGGAGGCTGAGGCAGGAGAATCGCTTGAACTCACGAGTTGGAGGTTGCAGTGACCTGAGATCACACCACAGCACTCCAGCCTGGGCAACAGAGTGAGACTCCGTATTAAAAAAAAAAAAAAATCGCTTTACTTTTTGGTCTCCTGCAATAGTCTGGGAACCGCAGATGGACAATGTCTTATGGTTTTTTTGTTTTTTGTTGTTGTTTTTGAGACGGAGTCTCACTCTGCTCACTCTGTGATCTGTGATTTCGGCTCACTCTGCGATCTCAGCTCACTGCAATCTCCGGCTCCTGAGTAGCTGGGACTACAGGTGTGTGCCACCATGCCCAGCTATTTTTTGTATTTTTAGTAAAGACGGGGTTTCACCATGTTGGCCAGGATGGTCTCGATCTCTTGACCTCAGGTGATCCGCCCACCTTGGCCTCCCAAAGTGCTGGGATTACAGGCATTCAGCCAGTGTCATGCCTGGCCTGACAATGTCTTATTAATATTTGGGTTCCCATGGCCCAGCACATGGCTGAGTACCTGGCGAGTCTCAGGAGATACTTGAGGAATAAGAGAGCTGGAGGCCGGGTGCAGTGGCTCACGCCTGTAATCCCAGCACTTTGGGAGGCCTAGGCGGGCGGATCACAAGGTCAGGAGTTCAAAACCAACCTGGCCAATATGGTGAAATCCCATCTCTACTAAAAATACAAAACTTAGCTGGGCGTGGTGGCGGACGCCTGTAGTCCCAGCTACTCGGGAGGCTGAGGCAGGAGAATCGCTTGAGCCCAGGAGGCGGAGGTTGAAGTGAGCCGACATCGGGCCACTGCACTCCAGCCTGGGAGACAGAGCCAGACTCTGTCTCAAAAAAAAAAAAAAAAAAGCTGGCACGTATGAGGTGCTCATATGTCAAGCACGGTGCTTTATATTTCTACCATTATTATTATCTTGACTTTCACATCAACCTATAAGGGATCTTGTTAATTTTATTGGACACATGGGGAACTGGCTCACAGATGCTGAGTCACTTGCCAGATAACTGACATCTAATAGGTGATAGAGTTGGGGTTCAAATCTGGAGGACAGCCTGACTCTACAGTTCTTGCTTTTTTTTTTTTGGACAGGGTCTCGCTCTGTTTCCCAGGCTAGAGTGCAGTGGTACAATCCTGGCTCACTGCAGCCTCAACCTCCCAGGGCTCAGGTGATCTTCCTGCCTCAGCCTCCACTGAGTAGCTGGGATTACTGGCACGTGCCACCACGCCTGGCTAATTTTTGTATTTTTTTGTAGAGATAGGGTTTTTCTATGTTGCTCAGGTTGGTCTTGAACTCCTGGACTCAAGCCAGCCTCCTACCTCAGCCTCCCAAAGTGCTGGGATTATAGGCATGAGGCACCGTGCCCGGCCCATGCTTTTCTTAAATGCTGTGGAATTGTGCCTCCCCATGTGTGTGTGTGTTCGGAGTAGGCACAGTGACAGGGGGCGGGAATATGGTTTCATTTCACACTTAGCCTTTGTTTGGTTCCCAGAGACTTCTAGGAGTATCACCGCCAGTCCAAAGGAGTCAGACTCTCCAGCTGGTGAGTAAGTCATCCTCTCCAGACCCCCTTCCTTCTCACCCGTCTCTTCACCAAAGCCAACTCCTTTGTCTACGCAGGGGCTGCAGCTCTCAGATCTTGGGTTCCAGTGTGTAGAGTAAAGGCAGAATATCAGCGTATGGGGTTCAGAATTGGGCATTAAGATCAGGTGGGAAGGTTGAGATTTTAAAAAGGGTCAGAGAAAGAGAGATTCCATCTCTTCCCCACCCCTTATAACTGTCCTCTCTTTTGCAATGCATCAGATAACGAGGCAGCATCTGTGTCTGGGGAGGAGTTGTCTCAGAGCCCTGTGAGAGCACAGGAGGGAGAGGTGCTACTTAGAGAATTGGGGTCATCTGGCCCTGACCCCTACTCGGGAAGGGAGGGACCCTCCAGGAAAGTGAGCGGCATCCCCTAGCTAGTAGAGAATAATAGGATCTCTGAGAAGCCCAGATGTGGCTTGGAGGGGGTCCTGGAGGTGGGCTCTTTCACCTGCTCCTGCCTCTCCTCATTCCTCCAGGTCCTGCCCGCCAGTACTACACCAAGGGCAACCTGGTCCGGATATGCCTCGGGGCTGTGATCCTAATAATCCTGGCGGGGTTTCTGGCAGAGGACTGGCACAGCCGGAGGAAGCGCCTGCGGCACAGGGGCAGGGCTGTGCAGAGGCCGCTTCCGCCCCTCCCGCCCCTCCCGCTGACCCGGAAATCAAACGGGGGTCAGGATGGAGGCCGACAGGATGTTCACAGCCGCGGGTTATGTTCATGACCGCTGAACCCCAGGCACGGTCGTATCCAAGGGAGGGATCATGGCATGGGAGGCGACTCAAAGACTGGCGTGTGTGGAGCGTGGAAGCAGGAGGGCAGAGGCTACAGCTGTGGAAACGAGGCCATGCTGCCTCCTCCTGGTGTTCCATCAGGGAGCCGTTCGGCCAGTGTCTGTCTGTCTGTCTGCCTCTCTGTCTGAGGGCACCCTCCATTTGGGATGGAAGGAATCTGTGGAGACCCCATCCTCCTCCCTGCACACTGTGGATGACATGGTACCCTGGCTGGACCACATACTGGCCTCTTTCTTCAACCTCTCTAATATGGGCTCCAGACGGATCTCTAAGGTTCCCAGCTCTCAGGGTTGACTCTGTTCCATCCTCTGTGCAAAATCCTCCCGTGCTTCCCTTTGGCCCTCTGTGCTCTTGTCTGGTTTTCCCCAGAAACTCTCACCCTCACTCCATCTCCCACTGCGGTCTAACAAATCTCCTTTCGTCTCTCAGAACGGGTCTTGCAGGCAGTTTGGGTATGTCATTCATTTTCCTTAGTGTAAAACTAGCACGTTGCCCGCTTCCCTTCACATTAGAAAACAAGATCAGCCTGTGCAACATGGTGAAACCTCATCTCTACCAACAAAACAAAAAAACACAAAAATTAGCCAGGTGTGGTGGTGCATCCCTATACTCCCAGCAACTCAGGGGGCTGAGGTGGGAGAATGGCTTGAGCCTGGGAGGCAGAGGTTGCAGTGAGCTGAGATCACACCACTGCACTCTAGCTCGGGTGACGAAGCCTGACTTTGTCTCAAAAAATACAGGGATGAATATGTCAATTACCCTGATTTGATCATAGCACGTTGTATACATGTACTGCAATATTGCTGTCCACCCCATAAATATGTACAATTCTGTATACATTTTTAAAATCATAAAAATAAGATAATGCACCGTCTCCACCCCTCTCATATTTACTTTCTGAAGGAAATGTTAGGTCTTCTCAAGGTAAAGTTCTATATTTATTATAGCGTTTAGGCATTTCTTGACCATCTAATGAGTGTAAAACTGTACCACTGGGCCAAGTGCAGTGGATCATGTCTGTAATCCTAGCACTGTGGGAGGCCAAGGCAGGAGGATCGCTTGAGCCCAGGAGTTCAAGACCAGCCTGGGCAACATAGTGAGACCCCATCTCTACTTAAAATAAAGAAGATAAAAATTGTTTTAAAAAAGGAAAAGAATGGCTGGCCACAGTGGCTCACGCCTGTAATCCCGGCACTTTGGGAGGTTGAGGTAGGTGAGTCACTTGGGAAAAGACAGAAGGATGGCACCAAGAAGTTCCAGGACGACGGCTGTGAATCAGGGCTAGTGAGCACACAGCTTGGGTGAAGGGGGAATGGGAAAGTTGCTTAGAGAAGCCTCCAAATGTAAGAATGGGTCAATTCCTCGTCTTAACATAGTGGAAAATCATACTGAGATGCTATCAGAAGACAGAGGAAAAATAATTTTAGAGGTCAAGTAAACTAAGTAGATTTTAAAAAGACCAGTATAGCCTAGGCACAGTGGCTCACACCTGTAATCCCAGCACTTTGGGAGGCTGAGGCGGGATCGCTTGAGCCTAAGAGTTCGAGACCAGCCTGGGCAACATGGTGAAACCTTGTCTCATATACAAAAAATATAAAAAATTAGCTGGGTGTGGTACCACATGCCTACTCTCAGGTACTCAGGAGGCTGAGGTTGGGGATCACCTGAGCCCGGGGAGGTTGAGGCTGCAGTGAGCCATGATTGCACCACTGCTGTCAAACCTGGGTGACAGAGTGAGACCCTGCCTCAAAAGAAAATAAAAATAAAAAACAAATATAAACTTTAGGGGAACAATAACAACAACAAAAATAAAAGAAGCAAGTTATATTACCCGAAAATTCTCGGCTGCGAATATCTGTGGGTATAAACATGTGATACTGGCCGGGCGTGGTGGCTCATGCCTGTAATCCCAGCACTTCGGGAGGCTGAGGTGGGCAGATCACGAGGTCAGGAGATCGAGACCAGCTCAGCCAACATGGTGAAACCCTGTCTCTACTAAAAATACAAAAATTAGCCAGTCGTGGTGGCACACGCCTGTAGTCCCAGCTACTCAGGAGACTGAGGCTGCAGTGAGCTGAGATTGCGCCACTGCACTCCAGCCTGGGTGACAGAGTGAGACTCTGTCTCAAAAAAAAAAAATGTGATACTGAATGTTGATATGCAGACATAGAGATAAACATTGGAAGAGAAAAAACAGTAAGAACAACGCTGTAGAATAACTAAGGCCCCGCCTATTATGATAGGAATCCAGTAAGTCTAAGCTCATTCACATGGTTACATGTTTTTAGAAACCTAATATTAACAAGTTCCTAAAGAAAACAGCTAAAAGTGGGTGTCTCTTAGGCGGAGCAATGGAGGAGATGGTTAGTCAGCCACTGCATTTTGTACACACCCTTTTAGTGCTATTGGAATTTTTTAGGTAGGTGCTGTCAGGCCTCTGAGCCCAAGCTAAGCCATCATATCCCCTGTGACCTGCACGTACACATCCATATGGCTGGTTCCTGCCTTAACTGATGACATTCCACCACAAAAGAAGTGAAAATGGCCTGTTACTGCCTTAACTGATGACATTGTCTTGTGAAATTCCTTCTCCTGGCTCATCCTGGCTCAAAAGCTCCCCTACAGAGCACCTTGTGACCCCCACTCTGCCCGCCAGAGAACAACCCCGCTTTGACTGTAATTTTCCTTTACCTACCCAAATCCTATAAAACGGCCCCACCCCATCCCCCTTCGCTGACTCTCTTGTCGGACTCAGCCCACCTGCACCCAGGTGATTAAAAGCTTTATTGCTCACACAAAGCCTGTTTGGTGGTCTCTTCACATGGACGCACATGAAATTTGGTGCCGTGACTTGGATCGGGGGACCTCCCTTGGGAGATCAATCCCCTGTCTTGCTCTTTGCTCTGTGAAAAAGATCCACCTACGACCTCAGGTCCTCAGACCCACCAGCCCAAGGAACATCTCACCAAGTTTAAATTGGGTAAGCGACCTCTTCTTACTCTCTTCTCCAACCTCTCTCACTGTCCCTCAACCACTTTCTCCTTTCCACTCTTCAATCTCTCCCTTCTCTTAATTTCAATTCCTTTCATTTTCTGGTAGAGACAAAGGAGACACGTTTTATCTGTGGACCCAAAACTCCGGCGCCGGTCACGGACTAGGGAAGGCAGCCTTCCCTTGGCGTTTAATCATTGCAGGGACGCCTCTCTGATTATATACCCACGCTTCAGAGGTGTCAGATCACGCAGGGATGCCTGCCTTGGTCCTTCACCCTTAGTGGCAAGTCCCACTTTTCTGGGGAAGGGGCAAGTTCCCCAACCCCTCCTCTCCATGTCTCTACCCCTTCTCCACCTTTCTGGGGGGCAAGAAACCCCCAACCCCTTCTCCTTCACTCTTAGCGGCAAGTCCCGCTTTTCTAGAGGGGCAAGTACCCCAACCTCGTATCTCTGCACCCTGATCCCTTATTTCCATGCCCCAACCTCTTATCTCTGTGCCCCAACCCCTTATATCCATGCCCCAACCCCTTTCCCGCTTTTCTGGAAGGTAAGAACTCCCGAACCCCTTCCCTCCGTGTCTCTACTCTCTCTTTTCTCTAGGCTTGCCTCCTTCACTATGGGCAACCTTCCACCCTCCATTCCTCCTCCTTCTCTCCCTTGGCCTGTGTTCTCAAAAACTTAAAACCTCTTCAACTCACACCTGACCTAAAACCTAAATGCCTTATTTTCTTCTGCAATGCCGCTTGACCCCAATACAAACTGGACAGCAGTTCCAAATAGCCAGAAAACAGCACTTTCAATTTTTCCATCCTGCAAGATCTAAATAATTCTTGTCGTAAAATGGGCAAACGGTCTGAGGTGCCTGACGTCCAGGCATTCTTTTACACATCAGTCCCTTCCTAGTCTCTGTGCCCAGTGCAACTCGTCCCAAATCTTCCTTCTTTCCCTCCTGCCTGTCCCCTCAGTCTCAACCCCAAGCGTCGCTGAGTCTTTCTAATCTTCCTTTTCTACAGACCCGTCTGACCTCTCCCTCCTCCCCAGGCTGAGCTAGGTCCCAATTCTTCCTCAGCCTCCGCTCCTCCACCGTATTATCTTTTTATCACCTCCCCTCCCCACACCTGGTCCAGCTTACAGTTTCGTTCAGTGACTAGCCCTCTTCCACCTGCCCAGCAATTTACTCTTAGAAAGGTGGCTGGAGCTAAAGGCATAGTCAAGGTTAATGCTCCTTTTTCTTTATCCCAAATCAGATAGTGTTTAGGCTCTTTTTCATCAAATATAAAAATCCAGCCCAATTCATGGCTCGTTCGCCAGCAACCCTGAGAAGCTTTACAGCCCTAGACCCTTAAAAGTCAAAAGGCCGTCTTATTCTTAATACACATTTTATTACCCAATCTGCTCCCGACATTAAATAAAACTCCAAAAATTAAATTCCGGCCCTCAAACCCCACAACAGGATTTAATTAACCTCGCCTTCAAGGTGTACAATAATAGAAAAAAGTTGCAATTCCTTGCCTCCACTGTGAGACAAACCCCAGCCACATCTCCAGCACACAAGAAGGGAACTGAACCGCAGCGGCCAGGCGTTCCTCCAGAACCTCCTCCCCCAGGAGCTTGCTACAAGTGCCAGAAATCTGACCACCAGGCCAAGGAATGCCTGCAGCCCAGGATTCCTCCTAAGCCGTGTCCCATCTGTGCGGGACCCCACTGGAAATCGGACTGTTCAACTCACCTGGCAGCCACTCCCAGAGCCCCTGGAACTCTGGCCCAAGGCTCTCTGACTCCTTCTCGGCTTAGCGGCTGAAGACTGATGCTGCCCAATCGCCTCGGAAGCTCTGTAGACCATCACGGATGCCGAGCTTCGGGTAACACTCACGGTGGAAGGTAAGTCCGTCGCCTTAGTCAATACGGAGGCTACCCACTCCACATTACCTTCTTTTCAAGGGCCTGTTTCTCTTGCCTCCATAACTGTTGTGGGTATTGACGGCCAGGCTTCTAAACCCCTGAAAACTCCCCCACTCTGGTGCCAACTTGGACAACACTCTTTTATGCACTCTTTTTTAGTTATCCCCACCTGCCCAGTTCCCTTATTAGGCCGAGATATTTTAACCAAATTATCTGCTTCCCTGACTATTCCTGGACTACAGCCGCATCTCATTGCCACCCTTCTCCTCAACCCAAAGCCTCCTTCGCGTCTTCCTCTCCTATTCCCCCACCTTAACCCACAAGTATGGGACA
The DNA here is from genome assembly GCF_000001405.40 of Homo sapiens. Taxonomy (NCBI): domain Eukaryota; kingdom Metazoa; phylum Chordata; class Mammalia; order Primates; family Hominidae; genus Homo; species Homo sapiens. The sequence goes on along the minus strand of NW_003571055.2, from coordinate 654,824 downwards.
TCTCTACTCCTTCCCTGGCAACTGATCACATACCCGTTACCATCCCATTAAAACCTAATCACCCTTACCCTGCTCAATGCCAATATCCCATCCCACAGCACACTTTAAAAGGATTAAAGCCTGTTATCACTCGCCTGCTATAGCATGGGCTTCTAAAACCTATAAACTCTCCTTACAATTCCCCCATTTTACCTGTCCAAAAACCGGAAAAGTCTTACAGATTAGTTCAGGATCTGCGCCTTATCAAATTGTTTTGCCTATGCACCCTGTGGTGCCCAACCCCTACACTCTTTTGTCCTCAATACCTTCCTCCACAACTCACTATTCCATGCTTGATCTTAAAGATGCTTTTTTCACTATTCCCCTGCACCCCTCGTCCCAGCCTCTCTTCGCTTTCACTTGGACTGACCCTGACACCCATTAGGCTCAGCAAATTACCTGGGCTGTACTGCTGCAAGGTTTCACAGACAGCCCCCATTACTTCAGTCAAGCCCAAAGTTCATCCTCATCTGTTACCTATCTCGGCATAATTCTCATAAAAACACACGTGCTCTCCCTGCTGATCGTGTCTGACTGATCTCTCAAGCCCCAGCACCTTCTACAAAACAACAACTCCTTTCCTTCCTAGGCATGGTTAGCGCGGTCAGAACTCTTACACAAGAGCCAGGACCACACCCTGTAGCCTTTCTGTCCAAACAACTTGACCTTACTGTTTTAGCCTAGCCCTCATATCTGCGTGCTGTGGCTGCCGCTGCTTTAATACTTTTAGAGGCCCTCAAAATCACAAACTATGCTCAACTCACTCTCTACAGCTCTCATAATTTCCAAAATCTATTTTCTTACTCACACCTGATGCATATACTTTCTGCTCCCTGGCTCCTTCAGCTGTACTCACTCTTTGTTAAGTCCCACAATTACCATTGTTCCTGGCCCGGACTTCAATCTGGCCTCCCACATTATTCCAGATACCACACCTGACCCCCATGACTGCATCTCTCTGATCCACCTGACGTTCACCCCATTTCCCCACATTTCCTTCTTCCCTGTTTCTCACCCTGATCACACTTAGTTTATTGATGGCGGTTCCACCAGGCCTAATCGCCACACACCAGCAAAGGCAGGCTATGCTATGGTACAAGCCACTAGCCAGCCTCTTAGAACCTCTCATTTCCTTTCCATTGTGGAAATCTATCCTCAAAGAAATCACTTCTCAGTGTTGCATCAGCTATTCTACTACTCCTCATGGATTATTCAGGCCCCCTCCCTTCCCTACACATCAAGCTCAAGGATTTGCCCCCGCCCAGGACTGGCAAATTAGCTTTACTCAACATGCCCCGAGTAAGATAACTAAAATACCTCTTAGTCTAGGTAGACACTTTCACTGGGTAAGTACAGTCCTTTCCTACAGGGTCTGAGAAGGCCACCGCAGTCATTTCTTCCCTTCTGTCAGACATAATTCTTCAGTTTAGCCTTGTCATTCCCTTCTGTCAGACAAAATTCCTCAGTTCAGCCTTCCCACCTCTATACAGTCTGCTAACAGACCAGCCTTTATTAGTCAAATCAGCCAAGCATTTTTTCAGGCTCTTAGTATTCAGTGACAGACTAATGGTCTATTAAAAACACACCTCACCAAGCTCAGCCACCAACTTAAAAAGGACTGGACAATACTTTTACCATTTTCGCTTCCAGAATTCAGGCCTGTCCTTGGAATGCTACAAGATACAGCCCATTTAAGCTCCTGTGTAGACACTCCTTTTTATTAGGCCCCAGTCTCATTCCAGACACCAGACCAACTTAGATTGTGCCCCAAAAAACTTGTCATCCCTACTATCTTCTGTCTAGTCATACTCCTATTCACCGTTCTCAACTACTCACACATGCCCTGCTCTTGTTTACACTGCCAGTTTACACTGTTTCTCCAAGCCAGCACAGCTGGTATCTCCTGGTACTATCCCCATACCGCCACTGTTAACTCTTAAAATAAATAAATAATCTTTGCTGGCAAGGCTATGCTGAACCTCCTTAGGCACTTTCTAATTAGATGTCCTGAGTCGTCCCAATTCTTAGACCTTTAATACCTGTTTTTCTCCTTTCCTTATTCCCTTTAGTTTTTCAATTCATACAAAACTGTATCCAGGCCATCACCAATAATTCTAAATGACAAATGTTTCTTTTAACAATCCCACAATGTCACCCCTTACCACAAAATCTTCCTTCAGCTTAATCGCTCCCACTTTAGGTTCCCACGCCGCCCCTAATCCTGCTCAAAGCAGCCTTGAGAAACATCACCCATTATCTCTCCATACCACCCCCAAAAATTTTTGCTGTCCCAACACTTTACCCCTATTTCATTTTATTTTTCTTATTAATATAAGAAGACAGGAATGTCAGGCCTCTGAGCCCAAGCTAAGCCATCATATCCCCTGTGACCTGCACGTACACATCCAGATGGCCGGTTCGTGCCTTAACTGATGACATTCCACCACAAAAGAAGCGAAAATGGCCTGTTCCTGCCTTAACTGATGACATTGTCTTGTGAAATTCCTTCTCCTGGCTCATCCTGGCTCAAAAGCTCCCCTACTGAGCACCTTATGACCCCGACTCTGCCCGCCAGAGAACAACCCCCCTTTGACTGTAATTTTCCTTTACCTACCCACATCCTATAAAACGGCCCCACCCCTATCCCCCTTCGCTGACTCTCTTGTCAGACTCAGCCCACCTGCACCCAGGTGATTAAAAGCTTTATTGCTCACACAAAGCCTGTTTGGTGGTCTCTTCACACGGACGTGCATGAAAGGTGCGTGTATATTTTTGTAACACAATAAATAATAACAGTATACACTTTTTCTTTTAGAAGTATGCTGTTAAACAGAATTAAGAACAGGAAGTCTCAAAATTGTTTCTTTCAGGAGAGAAGACTTATTAATGGGGGAGAGTTCTGAACCACTTGCTTTGCATACTGCCACTTAGTTAAAAAATCGCATTTTAACTTAAAAATATCCAAAAATAACACAGTTTTATAATAAATTATTACGAATATCACAAAATAATAAAAATACAAGTAATGCAGAGTGGAAATGCAAAGCTATGAGTGCTAGACGGCTAACAAGTCATAACAAACAACACCAAAATTAAAGAACAAGATAGTTGTGACTTACCTTGGTCAATCACTTTCCATAGTAGTCATTCAATCCAGGATCTCATCTCTGAAAATGAAGGAAAAAAGCAACAGAAAATAGTGTAGAGGTCTCTGGTGTTCCAAGAATAGGCGCTGCAGAGAGATGTGGGTGCCTGGGCTGTGCCCAGTCACTGAAATGGCACACCTGATGCTACCTGTTCACTTCGGGCTGAGCAGGAGAGAGAAAAGACGTTCCCCTCAGCCACTTCCCGTCTTCTGATTTCACTTCTTGCCTGCCTCCGACTGCAAATCCTGGTTTGACGTCACTTCCTGTCTTCTGATTTTACTTCCTGTATGACCTCACTTCCTGTCTTCTACAACCACTTCCTGTCTTCTTACTTCACTTCCTGTCTTCTGACTTTACTTCCTGTATGACTTCACTTCTTGTCTTCTACCACCACTTCCTGTCTTCCGAATTTACCTCCTATCTTGACTTCACTTCTTGTTTTTTTTTTTTTTTTTTGACAGGGTCTCGCTCTGTCTCCTAGGGTGGAGTGCAGTTGTGCCAGCTTGAAACCACCTTTCCAAAATTATGACTGAGACAGTGAAAGAGATTTAACTGACTCCATTTTGCTTCTAACCTCCAAGCTGTCCTTTTTCATTCCTGGGCATAGGCTGAACTTTGGGAGAAACTTATAGTTTAAACAAAGATGATAGCCCTTTTCCAAAGCACACCTCTTTGTTGCCTGGGGACTAGATTGGCCCTGTAGGACGAACATTAGCCACGAGATTAGAAATTATGACTTAGGAGTCATGCAGCTGGAGGCTACAAGATTGTGACCCTCCCTAAACTGCTTCTAAGATCAGCGTTTAACTTGCAGACCCTGTACTTGATGGATCAGCTGGCACCACCCATATCAATAAACTGGCCCATCTTATCTTTTGGCCTCCACTCAGGAACTGAGTGCAAGAAGATAGCTTTGGCTCCCACGATTTCATCCCTGACCAAACAGCACTCCTGGCTCACTGGCTTCCCACCCACCCACCAAGTTATCCTTAAAAACGCTTCCTGAATGCTGGGAGACACTGATTTGAATAATAATAAAACTCTGGTCTCTCGTAGAGCCAGCTCTGCATGAATTATTCTCTATTGCGATTCCCTGTCTTGACGAATCAGCTCTGTCTAGGCAGTGGGCAAGGTGAACACATTGGACTATTACAATCTTGGCTCACTGCAACCTCCACCGCCTGGGTTCAAGTGATTCTCCTGCCTCAGACTCCCAAGTAGCTGAGATCACAGACGTGCACTACCATGCTCAGCTACATTTTTTTTTCTGTCCCCCGGGCTGGAGTGCAATGGTGCGATCTCGGCTCATTGCAACCTCCGCCTTCCGGGTTTAAGCGATTCTCCTGCCTCAGCCTCCAGAGTAGCTGGGATTACAGGCATGCACCACCAAGCCTGGCTACTTTTGGTATTTTTAGTAGAGACAGGGTTTCACCATGTTGGCCAGGCTGGTCTCAAACTCCTGACCTCATGTGATCCACCTGCCTCTGCCTCCCAAAGTGCTGGGATTACAGGTGCGATCCACCATGCCCAGCCCATTCCGTCTTCTGACTTGACTTCCTGCCTGACTTCACTTCCTGAAGGATGTGGTTACCATGGAAGTTGTTTTGGGGCACAGGATGTGGTCTGGGATTGGGGATTGTGAAAAGCAAGACCCTCACCGGGGTCTTTCTTCCAGAGCTGCAGCTGAGCCACAGGATCTTGAACAGGAGAGAGTTCTTCCTATTCTTGTGGAAGAGCTGAGGATTGAGAAAAGCGCGGCTTAGCTCATGGGAGTGACCTTAGCTTTGAGAAGCCTGAAAATGAGGCTTGGAGGTAGAGAGTGGTGTGTGTGTGTGCGCGTTGGGGGAGGGGGTCAGGCTCTCATGACTTCTGGCTCTTTTTTTTGCTCCAGGAACATTTCCCAAGCCCACCATCTGGGCTAACCCAGCCCTCGTGGTTCCTGGGTGCAAACATGGCCGTGGAATTGTGGAATGGTTTTTTTTGTATCCTTAGCAGAGAACCCAGTGAATACTTTGTTCTTGATCATCAATGTGATGAGATCCAGAGCAAGCAAGTGCTAATGCTGCTGTGAGCCTGAGGCCACATTTTCAGAATTCAGTGATGGGCGGAGGCGAGTGGTCACAGGTATAGGGAGAGCAGTACTTGTTCATCTCTGAACGTATAGATTCAGACACACATGAACCCATGTGCCACAGGTTTCCCTGTTTAGGACTTGTAGGTCATGGGGGTGGGCATCTGAGAGTGTGGCTACATGAAATACACACGTTGGAGAAAGATGGTTAATTGTGAGTGCGAGTTTACATTTCATGGGCCCCTGGGGTGTCGATAGTTCCTCAATGGATGTAGATCCGTTACTCAATTTCTTCTCTAAAGATGGGGCTAGATTACAATGGTTCTCAACCTAAGAAAACTTTGCATTTCAGGAAATATTTTCTACTGCCCAGAGACATTTTTGATCACTGTTAACTGTGAGGATGTGAGCTGGTATCTAGGGGGTAGAGGCTAGGGATGGTGCCGAACACCCTGGAAATGTACAGGACGTTTCCCAACGAGTAGTGATCCGATCCCAAATGTCAATAGTGTGGAGAAGGAGAAACCTTTAGTTTCTTCACGCAATGTCCTTTTTAAACTTTGTGCCTCTCTTTTTACCAACCTTCCCCCTTCTTCCCGCTGAAACTGAGAATAAAGATGCTCTGGAGGCCGGGCACGGTAGCTTATGTCTGTAATCCCAGCACTTTGGGAGACCGAGGCAGGCAGATCGCTTGAGGTTAGGGGTTCGAGACCAGCCTGGCCAGCGCGGTGAAACCCTGTCTCTACTAAAAATGCAAAAATTATCCGGGAGCCTGAGGCAGAATTGCTTGAACTTGGGAGGCAGAGGCTGCAGTAAGCCGAGGTCACACCACTGCACTCCAAACCGGGCAATGGAGCGAGACTGTCAAAAAAAAAAAAAAATGCTCAGGGAATGACCCATGCCGCATTGAACAAGGACACCTTGAACCAGGAAACCTCAGAAGCCCACACTGTATGCAGTGGAACTGGAAAGTGATGGAGTGGTTTAAAGGTAGTATCAGAGAACTTGGATCTAGTCGGTGGGAATAAACCAATAGCCCCTGATGAAGAAATGAAAGTAGGAAGAGAGATTAACTTTTTTAGTTTTAAATTTAAATATTAAAACTACTTTTGACCAGGTGTGGTGGCTCATGCCTATAATCCCAGCATTTGGGGAGGCCAAGGTGGGCAGATCACCTGAGCTCAGGAGTTCAAGACCAGTCTGGACAACGTGGCAAAACCCTATCTCTACCAAAAATGCAAAAATTACCTGGGTGCAGTGGTGCACACCTGTGGTCCCAGCTACATGGGAGGCTGAGATGGGAGAACTGCTTAAACTGGGGAGGTGGAGGCTGCAGTGACCCGAGATCGTGCCATTGCATTCCAGCCTGGGTGAAAGAGCAAGATTCTGCCACCAAAAAAAAAAAAAAAAAAAAAAAAAAAAAAGAAAAAAATGTTGCCAGGTGCGGTGACTTATACCTGTAATCCCAGCACTTTGGGAGACCAAGGCTGGTGGATCACCTGAGGTCGGGAGTTCGAGACCAGCCTGACCAACATGGAAAAACCCCGTCTCTGCTAAAAATTCAAAATTAGCCAGGCTTGGTGGCACATGCCTATAATCCCAGCTACTCAGTAGGTCGAGGCAAGAGAATCGCTTGAACCCGGGGAGGCGGAGGTTGCAGTGAGCCAAAATCGTGCCATTGCACTCCAGCCTGGGCAACAAGAAGAAACTGTCTCAAAACAAACAAAAAAAAACATGATTAGTGTTTAATAAAAATTTGTACTGTTCTTTTTCCCCCTTACCGTCCATTTGTTTGCTCATCCAGTAAACACAGACAGCAACAAAGTCTCCCCATGAGAAGCAACTTTGCCAACTAGTGTTGTCTTTATAGTACAGTTCGTTTTGTTTGTGGTTTTACAGCGTAGAGCTTGCACTGCTGCTTTGTTGAATTTGGAATTCTGTATCACAAGGAAATAATGGAGACTCTATAGTGAAAAACTATGCATACCATGAGATTTTGTTTTTTTTTGGAGAAGGAGTCACTCTGTTGCCCAAGCTGGAATGCAGTAGTGCAGTCTTCAGCACAGTGCAACATCCACCTCCTGGGTTTAAGCAATTCTCCTGCCTCAGCCTCCCAAGTAGCTGGGATTACAGGCATGTGCCACCATGCCTGGCTAATTTTTTATATTTTTAGTAGAGACGGGGTTTCACCACGTTGGCCAGGTTGGTCTCCAACTCCTGACTTCGTGATCCACCCACCTCAGCCTCCCGAAGTGCTGGGATTACAGGTGTGAGCCACCGTGCCTGGCCGAGATTCTATTTTAAGTTAGAATTTTTAAAAAGCAAAATCAGAGCAATGACATGGTCATATATGAGCTACACCGAAGCACCTAAAATATTGTAGATTGGTAGGAGAAATCCTCTGGCAAGTAATACTCAGCAGGCAGTGATCCACGCAGGTCAACAAGTAACAAGACAGGCTAGGCACAGTGGTTCACACCTGTAATCCTAGCACTTTGGGAGGCTGAGGCAGGAATATTACTTGCGCCTGGGAGTTTGAGATCAGCCTGGGCAACATAGTGAGACCCTGTCTTCAAAAAAAATCCCACAAAAATTGGCCTGGTTTGGTGGTGTGCACCTGTAGTCCCAGCTACTGAGGAGGCTGAGGCTGGAGGATCGCTTGAACCTGGGAGCTTGAGGCTGCAGTGAGCTATCATCATGCTGCTGTATTCCAGCCTGGGCAACAGAGCAACACTCATGCTTGAGGAAAAAGAAAAAGAAAAAAAAAAAAGCCGGGTACAGTGGCTCATGCCTGTAATCCCAGCACTCTGGGAGGCTGAGGTGGGTGGATCACTTGAGGTCAGGAGTTTGAGACCAGACTGGCCAACATGGTGAAACCTCATCTCTATTAAAAATACAAAAAAATTTAGCCGGGTGTGGTGGGGGATGCTTGTAATCCCAGCTACTCAGGAGGCTGAGACAGGAGAATCGCTTGAACCTGCCAGGTTGTAGTAAGCTGAGATCGTGCCAGTGTACTCCAGCGTGGGCAACAGAGTGAAACTCAGTCTAAAAAAAAAAAAAAAAAAAAAGAAAAGAAAAAAGAAAGGAAATACCAAGGCAAGGCAAAGATTGACAAGGCAATAGAAATCAATGCAATTAAACACTGTCACTTCCCCCACCCCCCAGGTTCTACCCAGTAAGATATCTTTTCTCTAACTTGTCAAAGCCCATTATTAAGTAACAGCTTCATTTGTGAATGCTCTCACCTTTATTTCTCTCAATATACCCGTGATACAGATATTTCATATGTAACAAAGATAAGGATGTGTGCAGGTATAAAACAGAGGCAGAATCATGGCTAAAACATCTAGCCCAGCAATGAACTCATTATCCCTGAGGGGTAGGGGCCGGGGAGGAGAGGAGTCACAGGCAGTTCACCAACACCTGGAAAATCGATGACTTCATGGAGAATGAATGACTCGGGGGGATTCAGATCATGAAGTCATGAGAAGAAGGCCTTTCTGCCCAGGGATGATGTTTCTCAGTATCAATAATCAGTTGTGGGTTTTTTTCTTCTATTTCTTCCAGCAGCTTATTGAGTTCATCATTAAAGTCATCGATTTTCAACCTGGGGTACAATGGGGGAAGAAAAGGTTACTTTGTGCATCAAGGAGATTTGTTTCAAATTCCCAAGTACCTGAAAGTCTGTTAAGGAGGCACAGGGCATGGGTCACCTTTCCTGATTATTCTAGGTGGCAAAGGAGTGTTCCACATTGATTTTTTTTTTTTTTTTTTAAAAGACAGTCTCAGGTGGGGCGTGATGGCTCACGCCTGTAATTCCCAGCACTTTAGGAGGCTGAGGCGGGTGGATCACGAGGTCAGCAGATCAAGACCATCCTGGCTAACACGGTGAAACCCTGTCTCTACTAAAAAAATACAAAAAATTAGCCGGGCGTGGTGGCGGACGCCTGTAGTCCCAGCTACTCAGGAGGCTGAGGCAGGAGAATGGTGTGAACCCGGGAGGCGGAGCTTGCAGTGAGCCGAGATCGTGCCACTGTACTCCAGCCTGGGCGATCTCAAAAAAAAAAAAAAAAAAAAAAAAAAAAAAAAAAAAAAAGACAGTCTCTCTGTTGCCCAAGCTGGAGTGCAGTGGTACCATCTCAGCTCACTGCAACCTGTGCCTCTTGGGTTCAAGCCATCCTATCCTCTGCCTCCCGAGTAGCTGGGACTACAGGCACCTGCCACCATGCTCAGCTAATTTTTGTATTTTTAGTAGAGTTGGGGTTTTACCATGTTGCCTAAACTGTACCTGGCTTGATTTGCTTATTTTTTATTTTTAAATATAAAATGAGGCCAGATGTGGTGGGTCATGCCTGTAATGCCAGCACTTTGGGAGAGTGAGGTGGGCAGATCACTTGAGGTCAGGAGTTTGAGACCAGCCTAGGCAAGATGGTGAAAGTCCATCTCTACTAAAAATATAAAAGTTAGTTGGGTGTGATGGTGCATCCCTATAATCCCAGCTACTCAGGAAGCTGACACAGGAGAATCACTTGAACCTGGGAGGCGGAGGTTACAGTGAGCTGAGATCGGGCCCCTGCACTCCAGCCTGAGCAATAGAGTGAGATTTTTGTCTAAAAAATAAATGAAGTAAATAATAAAATGTAATATTAAAGACTTTCATTTCTCTTTTTAATCCTTTTTTTCATTCCTCTTATTCTCAACCATGTTGATCTGATAGAGAAAAACATAACATCAGGTTAACCTTGTAATGGTATATAGCCATTGTGCAGTTTGAGATGCTTGTTGATTATCATACACAGAAAATGGAATTGCTGAGTACAGCTGGGCTATAGCTCTAATACCTGCTTACCCGCTCTATCACCCACTTTGGCAACTTCTACTCAGTGGACCCCGGAGTACCAGTTAAACAGAGGAGATGCAGGCCAGGCATGGTGGCTCACGCCTGTAATCTTAGCACTTTGGGAGGCTGAGGCAGGCGGGTCACCTGAAGTCAGGAGTTCGAGACCAGCCTGACCAATATGGAGAAACCCTGTCTCTATTAAAAATACAAGATTAGCCAGGTGTGGTGGCACATGCCTGTAGTCCCAGCTACTTGGGAGGCTGAGGGAGGAGAACCTCTTGAACCCGGGAGGCGGAGGTTGCAGTAAGCCGAGATAGCGCCATTGCGCTCCAGGCTGGACAACAAGAGTAAAACTCTGGCCGGGCGGGGAGGTGGGGGGGTCAGCCCCCCGCCCAGCCAGCCGCCCTGTCCGGGAGGTGAGGGGCGCCTCTGCCCGGCCGCCCCTAATGGGAAGTGAGGAGCCCCTCTAACCGGCCAGCCGCCCTGTCCGGGAGGGAGGTGGGGGGGTCAGCCCCCCATTTTGTTCTGTACTAAGAAAAATTCTTCTGCCTTGGGATCCTGTTGATCTGTGACCTTACCCCCAACCCCGTGCTCTCTGAAACATGTGCTGTGTCCACTCAGAGTTAAACGGATTAAGGGCGGTGCAAGATATGCTTTGTTAAACAGATCCTGAAGGCAGCACGCTCGTTAAGAGTCATCACCACTCCCTAATCTCAAGTACCCAGGGACACAAACGCTGCGGAAGGCCGCAGGGTCCTCTGCCTAGGAAAACCAGAGACCTTTGTTCACTTGTTTATCTGCTGACCTTCCCTCCACTATTGTCCTATGACCCTGCCAAATCCCCCTCTGTGAGAAACACCCAAGAATGATCAATAAAAAAAAAAAAAAAAAAAAAGGAAAAAAAAAAAAAAAAAAGAAAAAAGATGCACCCCAAAAAAAAGAGTAAAACTGTCTCCAAAATAAATAATAAATAAACAAACAAACAAACTTAAAGCTTAAAAAAACCCTTAGTGTCCATATGTCTTTTGACTTACAAAGTATCTTAGGCTGAGTTTCATGTTAAATAAACAAGTAATCTATGTTTCTTCTACATAAAGATTATTTTAAGCCAGCAGTAGAGTATATTGCTTGTGAGAATTTCTGAAGTTCCCACATTCCTAGGAAGGGGCTTCTTGGTTCTTTGATGCCATGGTATCAAAATACAACTCAGGCCGGGTGCGGTGGCTCATGCCTGTAATCCCAGCACTTTGGGATGCTGAGGTGGGCAAATCACGGAGGTCAGGAGTTTGAGACCACCCTGGCCAACATGGCAAAACCCTGTCTCTACTAAAAATACAAAAATTACCTAGGTGTGGTGGTGCATGCCTGTAATCCCAGCTACTTGGGAGGCTGAAGCATGAGAATAGCTGGAACCTGGGAGGTGGAGGTTGCAGTTAGCAACCACTGCACCCCAGCCTGGGCAACAGAGTGAGACTCCATCTCAGAAAAAAAAAAAAAAAAAGAAAGAAAAAACAAAACAAAACCCCAAAACCCTGACAAAATGCAACAAACAAAACACAGCCCAGTGACAAATGGCTATCATGAGCAGGTAGACGGCAGCCGTGGCTGGGTGCAATGGTTCATGCTTATAAACCTACCTACTCAGGAACTGAGGCAGGATTGCTTGAGCCCAGGAGCTGGAGCGAGCCTGCAGCGAGCCATCATTGTGCTGCTGGACTCCAGCCTGGGGAACATAGTGAGTTCTTGCCTCAAAGGAAAAAAAAAAAAAAGGTGGCCGGGTGCGGTTGCTCACGCCTGTAATCCCAGCACTTTGGGAGGCCGAGGCGGGCGGATCACCTGAGGTCAGGAGTTTGAGACCAGCCTGACCAACATGGTGAAACCCCGTTTCTCCAAGTGAAATACAGAAATTGGCTGGGTGTGATGGCGGGAACCTGTAATCCAGCTACCAGATCAGTCTCCTACAGCAGGTCCATGTCATTATGCTTCCCCTAAACCTACCACTCTGGAGAAAGCCTGATGGGGAAGTAAATGGATCATACCTGAGTGTCCGGAGGGTGCCACTGGAACATGTCAAGGTTTCAAACAGCATCTTCACTCCACTAGACCCCAAGGGATTCTGACCCAGGTCCAGAGTGACGAGGCTCTGGTTGCAGCTGAGGGCAGAGCAGAGGTCTTCACAACTGAACGGAGGGATGGAACATCCCCACAACCTGGGGAAACACAGAAATCAACACGTTAATGCAGCCAGTGCTGATCGATGCCCTCCGGCAAGCCAAGCCCACCCTCGTGTGTTGGGGATCTGCATGACCAACAGAAGTCTCAGGCCGGGCACGGTGGTTCACGCCTGTAATCCCAGCACTTTGGGAGGCCGAGGTGGATGGATCACCTGAGGTCAAGGAGTTCAAGACCAACCTAACATGGTAAAACCGTGTCTCTACTAAATATACAGAAGTTAGCTGGGCGTGGTGACAGGCACCTGTAATCCCAGCTACTCAGGAGGCTGGGGCAGGAGAATCGCTTGAACCCAGGAGGCGGAGGTTGCAGTGAGCCGAGATCGCGCCATTGCACTCCAGCCTGGGTGACAGAGTGAGACTCCGGTCTCAAAAAACAAACAAAACGTCTCCGCCCTCAGGGCTCATCTGCTAACAGGAAAATATGGAGGCGATGAGGGGTTCTGAAGGGCAAGGGGTACAGGGAATAACTGGGGGTTCTGGCTACAATGGTTGGAGGTGAGGGGGTGAAGAGACCGAGTCATAGAGCTCGGGGGGGAGTTCTCCAGGCAGAGAAATAGCTTGTGCAGAGGCCCTGAAGATACATGTGACTGACACGTAAAATAGAACATCCAGGCAGCGGGCATGAGTGAGACAGGGAGGATTGTCAAGATGAGGTCATAGGTAAGCAGTGGCCAGCTCACAGAAGACCCTGAAGCCATCGTCAATATAGGATTTTACCTGGATTGACATAGGGAAGCACTGAGGCTTTTGAGCAGAGAGGTTAAATAACTTCCATCTTTGAAGTTATTCTTTGAGACAGTCTTGCTCTCTCGCCAGGGCTGGAGTGCTGTGGCATGATCTCGGCTCACTGTAGCCTCTGCCTCCTGGATTCAAGCAGTTCTCGTGCCTCCAAGTAGATGAGATTATAGCTATGTGCCACCATGCCTGCCTGATTTTTGTGGTTTTAGAGAGACAGGGTTTCACCTGTCTCTTTAGTAGAGACAGGCTGGTCTACGAACTCCTGACCTTAGGTGATCCACCTGCCTCGGCCTCCCAAAGTGCTGGAATTACAGGCATGAGCCACTGCACCCTGCCACTTTATTTTTTGAAACACGGTCTCACTCGGTTGCCCAGGCTGGAGTGTGGTAACGCCATCTTGGCTCACTGCAGCCTTGACCTCCTGGGCCAACCAGCAACTCAAACTTTTTGCTCCTCTACACGTGTCAGTGAGTGATTAAAAAGGCGCCTTTGTTTTTTTTGTTTTTTTTTTTTTTTTGAGACAGGATCTCACTGTCACCCAGGCTGGAGTGAGGTGACGTGATCTCAATTCGCTGTAACTTCTTCCTCCCAGGCTCAAGTGATCCTCCCACCTCAGCCTCCTGAGTAACTGGGAGCAGAGGTACACAGCCATGCTCAGCGGATTTTTGTACTTTCAGTAGAGACAGGGCTTCATTGTGTTGGCCAGGCTGTTTTTAAATTCTTGGCCTCAAGCAATCTACCTGCCTTGGACTCCCAAAATGCCAGGATTACAGGCATGAGCCACCTTGCCCATCCCGAGTCAAATTCTTTTAAGATTGCCTCCCAGATAGGATTCCAGGTTCAAGTGCATCTGATTGTAGCTAACTCACAAGGTATTTGTAAGATAGCCAAGTTGAGACCACTCACCTGCTGATAGAGCCAGCATTTTCTGGCACGATATCTAATTCCTACCTCTTTTTTATTTTTTCCTGAGATGGAGTCTTGCTCTTGTAGCCCAGGATGGAGTGTAGTGACAGGATCTCAGCTCACTGCAACCTCTGCCTCCAGGGTTCAAGTGATTCTCCTGCCTCAGCCTCCCAAGTAGCTGGGATTAAAGGCACCTACTGGCTGGGCACGGTGGCTCTCACCTGAGGTCCGGAGGTCGAGACCAGCCTGACCAACATGGAGAAACCCCGTCTATACTAAAAATACAAAATTAGCCAGGCATGGTGGCACATGCCTGTTTATTTGCAGCTATGTGGGAGGCTAAGGCAGGAGAATCACTTGAACCCAGGAGGTGGAGGTTGCAGTGAGCTGAGATCGCGCCATTACACTACAGCCTGGGCAACAAGAGTGAAACTATCTCAAAAAAAAAAAAAAAAAAAAAAGAGGCACCCACTACTATGCTCGGCTAATTTTTATATTTTAGTAGAGATGGAGTTTCAAGTTGGCCAGGCTGGTCTTGAGCTCCTGACCTTAAGTGATCCGCCCGCTTCGGCCTCCCGAAGTGCTGGGATTACAGGTATGAGCCACTGTGCCTGGCCCAATTCCCACCTCTCTGAATGTGGGGTGCTGGGCAGTGGCTTTTGGCTGAATGGCTTGAGGCACTGTATCCTTAAAATTTCACAGGTGTTCTTTGCATGACACAGACTAGAACTTAGACATAGGGCCTGGCGCAGTGGCTCACGCCTGTAATCCCAGCACTTTGGGAGGCCGAGATGGGCGGATCACCTGAGGTCAGGAGTTTGAGATGAACCTTCAACATGGCGAAACCCTGTCTCTACTAAAAATACAAGAATTAGCTGGGCATGGTGGCGGGCGCCTGTAATCCCAGCTACTCGGGAAGCTGAAGCAAGAGAATTGCTTGAACCTGGGAGGCGGAGGTTGCAGTGAGCCAAGATCACGCCACTGCACTCCAGCCTATGTGACAAGAGCAAAACTTCAAGAAAAAAAAAAACAAAAACTTAGACATAGACTAGAACTTATTCCTTTAACCATCCTAGTAAATGCTCGATCGACTCTATAAAGGTCCTCTCAATTATATAACTTGGGAAGTCGGCTTCACTGATTATTTTACACTAGCCACAGATTCAGTAAGGTGTAAGTATAGGAAGTTGAACTTATAAGTTAACTCACCACAGACATCTCAAGTTGCACAGTGGTTTCCTCAAAGCCTCACACAGGAACTTCATTCCCTTAACTCCTATGTGATTCAGCCCCAGATCCAAACACAACAGGCTTGATTTTTCTTGGAGAAGCTTTGTGAGATCGCAGCAGCCATCGCTAGTTATGTCGCAGTTCCAAAGCCTAGAAATCAACCACAGGAAGAAAGCAAACCCGAACCTGTGAGTTCTCACTGCTGTGATGCACCTTTGACTCTTGAGCCGTGGGTTAGACACACTTAGAGACAGTGGTGACATGGAAATGGAATCATGGGGTGGTGTGGTGGACAGAAGAATGGCCTCCCCTAAAGATGTCCAAGTCCCAACTCCTGGCACCTGCGAGCAAAAGGGACCTCGTAGAGGTGACTGAGCATCTTAAGATGGTTTATATCCTGGTTTATTTGGGTAGGTCCAGCAATCACAGGGATCCTCATAAGAGGGAGCTGAGAGTCAAAGCCAGCAGGAGGTGACGTGATAAGGGAGCCAGGGCAACGTTTGAAGATGCTCTGCCGAAGTTGGAGGAAGGGCCACAAGCCAAGGAATGCAGGTGGCCAACAGAAGTTGGAGAAGTAAAAAGGATTCTCAGCTGGCACGGTGGCTCACTTCAACCTCCGCCTCCTGGTTTCACGCGATTCTTGTGCCCCAGCCTTCCGAGTAGCTGGGATTACAGGGGGGTGTGTGTGTGTACACACATGCGCGTGCCACCACACCCAGCTAAGTTTTGTATTTTTAGTAGAGACAGGGTTTCCCCATGTTGGCCAGGCTGGTCTTGAACTCCCGACCTCAGATGATCTGCCCACCCTGGCCTCCCTAACATGCTGGGATTACGATTGTATTTGCTAAATTCAGTTGCTAGAGAGGTAGTGTCTTACAGGCAGAAGACACCAGCTCACACTCCAACATATCTGGTACTAGGATCCTAGATATTAACCAACACAGATTATCAGAGATATTTCACCTTAGCTCTGTTTTCTTTCTTCTGTCTCAATAGAGTTCTAAACTTAATTATAATTTGAACTATAATGCCCATGTATCTCTGGGTCCCAAGTGAAGCATACCACTAGCTGAGGGACACAGGACCTGGAAGGGCCTTGGAAATAGATGGCAGATTGGAGTCCATGACGATGGAGAAGTGAAAACACACCCCCAAATCTTGAAACTTTATGAATGTATAGAAACTTTTTTTTTTTTTTTTTTGAGACAGTCTCGCTCTGACACCCAGGCTGGAGTACAGTGGCACAATCTCAGCTCACTGCAACTTCCGCCTCCCAGGTTCAAGCAATTCTCTGCCTCACCCTCCCAAGTAAGCTGGGATTACAGGCTCCGACACCACGCCTGGCTAATTTTTGTATTTTTAGTAAAGACAGGGTTTCACCATGTTGGCCAGGCTGGTCTTGAACTCCTGACCTCATGATCCACCTGCCTCGGCCTCTCAAAGACCCTACCCGGCCTTCTAGAAACTTCCATGACTGTAATGGAGGAAAACCCACATAAGACTAAAGGGAAGTTGACAACTTAGCAAAATAGGGGCATGGATCAAAAAGTTGAATTGAGGGGGCCGGCACGGTGGCTCACACCTGTAATCCCAGCACTTTGGGAGGCTGAGGTGGGTGGATCACCTGAGGTCAGGAATTCGAGACCAGCTTGACCAACATGGTGAAAACTCGTCTCTACTAAAAATAAAGAAGTTAGCTGGGCGTGGTGGCATGCACCTTAATCCCTGGGAGGCTGAGGCAGGAGAATCACACCTGAACTCAGGAGGTGGAGGTTGCAGTGAGCTGAGATGGAGCCACTGCATTCCAGCCTGGGCGACAGAGCAAGACTATCAAAAAAAAAAAACCAAAAAAAAAAAAAAAAGAAAACCCCCCCCCCCCCAAAAAAATACCACACACACCACACACCACACACACACACAACCAAAAAAACTAGACATTCATTTGAAGATACAGTTAGTGAGTCGGTGACATCTCACTGCTTGTGGGACTTCTTTTTTAATGTTTCAGGGCCTAGATATAGTGGGTGTGGGAAGAATCCTTTCCTTCTACTCATCGTCTCCAGCCATGAACTGAATATGTCATTAAATTTAAGTGGGTAGTTTTCAGATGCCAGGTACATATCCTAGATTAGTTACTTCATAGGAAGAGGACAGTTCCTAACTGTTGGAGGTGATGTTAGAGACAAAGAATACCAGAGATATGTATGGCTGGACGCAGTGGCTCATGCCTGTAAATCCTAGCACTTTGGAAGGCTGAGGCGGGCGGATCATGAGGTCAGTTCGAGACCAACCTGGCCAACATGGTGAAATCCCATCTCTACTAAAAATATAAAAATTAGCCCGGCGTGGTGGTGAGTGCCTGTAATCCCAGCTACTCAGGAGGCTGAGGCAGGAGAATCAACCTCCTTGAAGCCGGAGGTTGCAGTGAGCCTAGATCATGCCATTGCCAGCGTGGGCAAGAGTAAAACTCCATCTTAAAAAAAAAAAAAAAAAATACCAGAGATGTTAACATAAAATCGAATCTCTGAACAGAAACCATCAGTGCAGATACAATTTTTTTTTTTTTTTGAGACAATCTCGTTCTGTCACCCAGGCTGGCACGATCTCGGCTCACTGCAACCTCCCGACTTCAAGCGATTCTCCTGCCTCAGCCTCCCAAGTAGCTGGGATTACAGGACCATACCACCACGCCTAGCTAATTTTTGTATTTTTAGTAGAGACAGGGTTTCACTGCATCAGCCAGGCTGGTCTCAAACTCCTGACCTCAGGTGTTCTGCCCGCCTCCTAAAGTGCTGAGATTACAGGCATGAGCCACCATGCCAGGCCCCAATTCCTTTCTAAAGATTTGTCCTATAATTTTTTTTTTTTGAGAGAGTCTTGCTCTATTGGCCAGACTGGACTTCAGTGGTGCCATCTCAGCTCACTGCAACCTCCACCTCCGAAGTTCAAGTGATTCTCCTGCCTTAGCCTCCTGAGTAACTGGGATTACAGGCATGTCCCACCATGCGTGACTAATTTTTGTATTTTTAGTAGAGAGACAATGTTTCACCATGTTGGGCAGGCTGGTCTTGAACTCCTGCCCTCAAGGGATCTGCCTTGCTTCGGCCTCCCAAGGTGATGGGATTATAGGCGTGAGCCACTATGCCAGGCCACGTGTCCTGTGATTTTAGTATTAAAAGGAGGATCACATTGAGCATGTAGCTTCCAATAGCTTCCATTGGGAGTCTGAGCGTACACTGGCCCAGAAGACTACCTGATTTGCAAATCATTCATTAAAAAATAAGTAAATGAATTCCATTTACAACCAATTGCATGCAATTTATGTTACAGTTATAGTTCTAAGAACACAGATTAAGAGAAAACACAGCATGGGGTGACATGGCTCATGCCTGTAATTCTAGCACTTTGGGAGGCCAAGGCAGGCAGATCTCTTGAGCTCAGGAGTTTGAGACCAGCCTAGGCAACACGGCGAGATCCCATCTCTAAAATACATACATACATAAAGAGGAAAAAAAAAACCCGAAAACCAGCTACATTCCCCAAATCCCTATAGAATATTACTACTACTCTACTACTACTTATACTTTTTTCCTACCATCATCTACCCAGGTCTTACCAGTTGTCATTAGCATCATGCTTGGAACTTTTAGAGGAATTAAGTGTTCTCATAACCACCCTACTCAAACCCGGAGGTGGGGGGCGTGTGCATATACACCCACGCACACAGGCAGCCAGCACGGACTTACACCAAGGTCTGCAGTTTACACTCGGGGTACCTCAAGCCCTCACACAGAAACTTCACCCCTGTATTCCCAATGGGGTTCTTGGCCAAGCACAGGTGTGTCAGCTCCCGGCTGACAACCAACACAGCAGCAAGGTCCTTGCAATTGGCTTCTGTAAGGTGACAGTTTTCCAACCTACAAAAGAATCACAAATGGCAACACGGTTGACAGGTCCAACTTCAACCTTCCCGGCTAGCTCCACAAGTGCCAGCATCCAAAAGCCCCTTCTTGTGAACTCCCCACCTTCTATCATGCACTGGTGATCCTATGAAGGAATAGGAATGAGAGAAGAACAAAATTCACAGGCCATCGGCCTGGATCTAAACATGGGAACAGGTGTTCACATCAGCGAGAGGTTCCATACAGCCAAGTCAGGCATGACCATTGCTCGTCTGTGGCCCCAGATCGAAAGCACAGCTGCTCTGTAAGAGAGGAGAGACTTACGACAACCTCTGCAGAAAGCACTTGGGGTGTCTCAAAGTTGTGTACAGCAACTTAGCACCCTCATCCAGAAGCTCATTGTCGGAGAGGTTTACGCACGTCAGGGACTGGTTGACTTCAAGGGCCAAGGAGAGATCAGCCCACTGCTGAGTGGTAGCGGAACAAGACACCAACCTGTGGGAGAAATAGGACCACGTCATTTTTTTTTTTTTTTTGAGACTGAGTCTCACTCTTGTTGCCCAGGTGGCGCAATCTCGGCTCACAGCAACCTCCGCCTCCTGGGTTCAAGTGATTCTCCTGCCTCAGCCTCCCGAGTAGCTGGGACTGCAGGCATGCACCATGCACCAACATGCCCAGCTAATTTTGTATTTTCAGTAGAGGTGGGGGTCTCTCCATGTTGGTCAGGCTGGTCTCAAACTCCCAATCTCAGGTGATCTGCCCACCTCGGCCTCCCAGAGTGCTGGGATGACAGGCGTGAGCCACCGCGCCCGGCAGAACAAGTCATTCTTGAGAATCTAACCGTGGAATCGTCTTTGGTTTACATCTCACTGGTTGTGTTATACCCCGACTTGAATTATCTGGAGCAGCAGTTGTCAAAGGGTGGTCAGACCAGTGGCACCAACATCGCCCAGGAATCAGCTGGAAATACAGAACTTAGTCAATCTGACTCTAATGTTGGATGCAGACTCCGCTAACCTATGTTTCATTGTTTGGTTTTTTGAAAGGGAGTTATTTATGCTCTGTCGCCCTGGCTGGAGTGTAGTGGCGCGATCTCAGCTCACAGCAACCTCTGCCTCCCAGATTCAAGAGATTCTCCCGCCTCAGCCTCCTGAGTAGCTGGGATTACAGGCAAATGCCATCTTGCCTGGCTAATTTTTGTATTTTTTAGTAGAGATGGGGTTTTACCATGTTGGCCAGGCTGGTCTCAAACTCCTAACTTTGGCCGGGGCAATGGCTCATGCCTGTAATCCCAGCACTTTGGGAGGCCGAGGTGGGCAGATCAGGAGGTCAGGAGTTTGAGACCATCCTGGCCAACATGGTGAAACCCCGGCTCTACTAAACATACAAAAGTTAGATGGGCGTGGCGACACGTGCCTGTAGTCCCAGCTACTCAGGAGGCTGAGGCAAGAGAATCACTTGAACCCAGGAGGCGGAGGTTGCAGTAAGCCGAGATCACTCCACTGCACTCTAGCCTGGGCGACAGAGCAAGACTCCGTCTCAAAACAAAAAACTCCTGACTTCAAGCGATACACCAGCCTAGGCCTCCCAAAGTACTGGGATTACAGGCAGGAGCCACCATACCCAGCCCACTAACCTATGTTTCAAGGTGCCCTGTTCATCCGGAAAATGTGTTAGAATAAATTCATAAGAAATGAGTGGCTGGGCACAGTGGCTCATGCCTGTAATCCCAGGACTTTGGCAGGCCAAGGCAGGTGGATCATGAGGCCAGGAGTTTAAGACCAGCCGGAACAACATGATGAAACCCCATTTCTCCTAAAAATACAAGAATTAGCTGGGCGTGGTGGCACATGGCTGTAATCCCAGCATTTTGGAAGATGGATGTCACTTGAGGTCAGGAGTTCGAGACCAGCCCAGCCAACACGGTGAAACCCCGGCTCTACTAAATATACCAAAAATTAGCTGGGTGTGGTGGATTGCCCGAGGTCAGGAGTTTGAGACCACCCTGGCCACCAGCATGGCGTAACCCTGTCTCTACTAGAAATACAAAATACTAGAAATACAAAAATACAGGTGGGTGCCTGTAATCCCAGCTACTTGGGAGGTTGACGGAGAAGAATCACTTGAACCCGGGAGGCAGAGGTTGCAGTGAACCAAGATTGTGGCACTGCACTCCAGCCTAGGAGACAGAGCAAGACTATATCTTGAGAAAAAAAGAAAGAAATTAGTGACCCAAATCTTTAATTCACCCAATATTCCCCCTCACCCTGCATCCCATTATTCTCAGGCAAAAAGAAAAGAGGGTAATTGCAACGGTTAGTAATGATAGCAGCCACTATTGAATGCATGGGCTTGGTTTCATTCAACCTTCCAATACCTGTAAGATGTACAGCATCCTATTCAACTAAGATCCCATTAAGCAGCCTAAGATTGTATCAGTAGAGCCAGAGCAATCAATTTTTTTTCTGTCCTCGAGATGGAGTTTTGCTCTGTTGCCCAGGCTGGAGTGCAATGGCGTGATCTTGGCTCACTGCTACCTCTGCCTCCTAGGTTCAAGCAATTCTCTTGCATCAGCCTCCATGAGTAGCTGGGATTACAGGCACGCGCCACCATGCCCAGCTAATGTTTTTGTATTTTTAGTAGACGTGGGGTTTCACCATGTTGGCCAGGCTGGTCTTGAACTCCTGACCTTGTGATCCACCTGCCTTGGCCTCCCAAAGTGCTGGGATTACAGGCATGAGCTACCGCACCCAGCCAAGATTTTTTTTTTTTTTTTTGAGACAGTCTCACACTGTTGCCCAGACTGGAGTGCGGTGGTGTGATCTCAGCTCACTGCAACCTCCGCCTCTCAGGTTCAAATGATGCTCCTGCCTCAGCCTCCTGAGTAGCTGGGACTACAGGCGTGCGCCAACATGCCCAGCTAATTTTTGTATTATTAGTAGAGACAGAGTTTCACCATGTTGACCAGGCCGGTCTTGAACTCCTGACCTCAAGTGATCCACCCACCTCGGCCTCCCAGGCGTGAGCCACTGCGCCTGGCCCAGGGCAATAATTTGAGGCCAATGACCACCTACTACACCAGTGTGGCCAAGTGAGGCTTCATGGAACCCCATGATGCATGTAGGTTCTCATCGCCTGGGCAGCCACTGGACAGCTTCCCAAGGGGAGAGCTCTCAAACCAGAGGACTAACAGAAAAGGGGCAACTTGATGTTCCTGAAGGGTTCTTGCTTGAAAAATGTCAATAGCTGGTATTCTGAATCATCATACAGGAGAAGCATGAACCATGAGTGAATGATCTCTGATAGAAGATAAAGATTCTGGGCTGGGCACGGTGGCTCATGCCTCACTTTGGGAGGCCGACGGCGGGGTGGGGTGGGGGTGGGGGGGTAGATCACCTGAGGTCATGAGTTCGAGACCAGCCTGGCCAATGTGGTAAAACTCCATCTCTACTAATAATACAAAAATTAACCAGGTGTGGTGGTGTGCACCTGTAATCCCAGCTACTCAGGAGGCTGAGGCAGGAGAATCACTTGAACCTGGGAGGTGGAGGCTGCAGTGACCTGAGATCATACCAACGCACTCCAGCCTGGGTGACAGAGCGAGACTCCATCTCAAAAAGAAAAAAGAAAAAGAAAAAACCAAAACCAAAACCAAAACATAAGGACTCTGGCTGGGCATGGTGGCTCATGCCTATAATCCCAGCACTTTGGGAGCCTGAGGAGGGCAGGTCACCTGAGGTCATGAGTTCGAGACCAGCCTGGCAATGTGGCGAAACCAGCTCCACTAAATGCACAAAAATTAGCCGGGCGTGGTGGCGGGTGCCTGTAATCCCAGCAACTTGGGAGGCTGAGGCAGCAGAATTACTTGAACCCAGGAGACAGAGGTTGCAGTGAGCCAAGATCGTGCCATTGCACTTTGGCCTGGGCAACAGAGCAAGACTTCATAAAAAAAAAAAAAAAGATGATAAAGATTCTGGGAGTTTCTTTGGATTCAGGGTCCTCACGTATGGTTGTCCAGGGTGTTTACTGTTCAAGGCAAGTAGAAACTCAAGTTCAGCCCATGCTGCATCCTGGGTCATCTGCCCTTAGTACTGTTTCTAGTCAGAATAACGAACTTTTTCTTATTTACACAAAATTGCCACATAAGCTTGTGGTAGCTTATGTTTGTATGATGAAGGATTTTAATGATTAAGAGATATACCCGAGATATCGCAGGTTACATTCTGGATGTCTCAAGACCTCACACAATGCGGGAAACATATCATCCTGGTCATTGCCTTGAAGGGTCAGATACGTTACAGTCTTGTGACCTCGAAGAGCTAGGCAGAGGTTCCGATGAGCATCAGCTGGGGAAATGTTTTTGAACCTAGGGAAAAGAGAACGAAAGTGAAATCTTTAGTGTGTACACCTGTATCGTACTTAAATGGAAACCAGGGGCTCGATATATTTAAACTTTAGGAACTATTTTTTCCATGTTTAAATTTTTGTCCATCTTTACAGATTTTTTTTTTCTTTGAGATGGAGTCTCACTCTGTTGCCCAGGCTGGAGTGCAGTGGCGCGATCTCGGCTCACTGCAAAGCAAACTCTGCCTCCCGGATTCAAGCGACTCCTACCCTCAGCATCCGGAGTAGCTGGGATTATAGGCACCTGCCACGACACCTGGCAAATTTTTGTATTTTTCGTAGAGACAGGGTCTTGCACCATCTTGGCCAGGCTGGTCTTGAACTCCTGACCTCAAGTGATCCCCCCACCTTGGGCCCCCAAAGTGCTGGGACTACAGGCGTGAGCCATTGTGCCCGGCCCTTTTTTTCTTTTTCTTTTTTTTTTTTTTTTTTTTTGAGACGCAGTCTCGCTCTGTCACTCAGACTGGAGTCCAGTGGCAGGATCTTGGTTCACTGCAACCTCCGCCTCCTGGGTTCAAGTAATTCTCCTGCCTCAGCCTCCCAAGTAGCTGATATTACAGGTGCCTGCCACCACGCCTGGATAATTTTTGTATTTTTAGTAGAGGCAGGGTTTTGTCACGTTGGCCAGGCTGGTCTCGAACTCCTGACCTCAAGTGATCTGTCTGCCTCGGCCTCCCGAAGTGTTGGAATTACAAGTGTGAACCACCATGCCCAGCCCCTAGAAATTACTTTATACGATTATCCCACAAAATAAATTTAAGGACAGGACTCTCTCAATTCCCTGTGTCTCGAGCACTTAAGAGTCTAGTACAGGAATCTGAATATTGCTCCGATGTTAACATTGTACCATTTTCATACCCTAAGGATTTGAGTTCATGAATTAGTTTCTACTTACACCACTCTCTGGAGATGACAGGTGTCAGAGGCTATTTGTTCACACAGGATCCTTACTAGGGAGGCACTGAGAAAGCTATCATTGATTGCTAGACCCATCAGATCCTTATTTGATCCAAATATGGAACAAAGGTCCGTCCAGAAAGGAAGCATGTGCTGATCATCCTGGGATCTATAGGGAAGAGAAGAAAGGGTTACACCAAATGTGTGTCCATCACGGCTGAAGTATTTAGGGTTTCTCTGGGCATATACCCCTGACAAATGAGTACAATTGAAAGCTGGACCATGTAATCACTTATTAGCACCACCATCAGACAACTCAACACCCAAGAAGCATCACAGGAGAAAGAACCTATTCTTCTTAGACAAAAATCCAATAGAGGGTAAAAATAAGTTAAAATGCTAAGCACATCATTGATAAAAGATAGAGAATATAGACCGGGCACGGTGACTCACGCCTATAATCCTAGCACTTTGTGAGGCTGAGGCGGGTGGATCACCTGAGGTCGGGAGTTCGAGACCTGCCTGGCCAACATGGTGAAACCCCGTCTCTACTAAAAGTACAAAAATTAGCTGGGCATGGTCGTGGGTGGCTGTAATCCCAGCTACTCATGAGGCTGAGGCAGGAGAATCATTGAACCTGGTGGGGCGGAGGTTGCAGTGAGCCGAGATCGAGCCACTTCACTCCGACCTGGGAAAAAGAGTGAAACTCCGTCTCAAAAAAAAAAAAAAAGATTGGGAATATACATATCTATACATATCAATAAGAAATATTCAGGCAGGGCGTGTGGTAACTCATGCCTGTAATCTCAGTGCTTTGGGAGTTCAAGACCAGCCTGGACAACATAGTGAGATTTTGTCTTTCCAAAAAAAAAAAAAAAAAAAAAAACACAAAAAAAAACCCCCACTTAAGTTAGCTGGACATGATGGTGCACACTTAATACCTGTCATCCCAGGTACTCAGGAACATCACTTGAACCCAGAAGTTTGAGGATGCAGTGAGCTGATTTCACCACTGTACTCCAGCCTGAGCAACACAGCAAGACCCTGTCTTAAAAAAATATATTTGGGCCGGGCATGGTGAATCATGCCTGTAATCCCACTTTGGAGGCTGAGGCAGGTGGATCACCTGAGGTCAGGCGGAGTTCAAGACCAGACTGGCCAACATGCTGAGATCCCGTCTCTAATGAAAATATAAAAATTAGCCGGGCAAGGTGGCAGGCGCCTGTAGTCCCAGCTACTCAGGAGGCTGAGGCAGAAGAATCACTTGAACCCGGGAGGCGGAGGTTGCAGGGAGCCAAGATCGCGCCACTGCGCTCCAGCCTGAGCGACAGAGCAAGACTCCATCTCAAAACAAAAACAAACAAAGAGTCCAACAAGAGGGAATTCCTGACCCTAAGCCACAGTGCATAGGAGGCTCTGGCCTCTTCCTAAGGGGGCATGGGATGAGGCTAAAGATGGAACGACTGGTAGAGTGAAACGGTTCTCACCTCTCAACCTCGGCGTCTGATTCAGACGCAGTGACATTCTCCGGGAGATTCTCCTTTATTACCTGCAGTGACATTTTCTGCAGGTTTCGACAGTGCTTGACGCAGAATGAAGATGGCACAACGTCTACTGCATTTAAGTGCAGGGATATTTCTTTGAACTGAGCCATCACCTCCTTCACCAGCTCCTCCTCCTGAGACTCGTACAGACAGCCGAGGAGCTCCTGCAGGTCTGTCACCGTTGAATGTCCACCCTTACAACTTATGTCGCATCGCAGCAATTCCTGTTTGATGTCCGGTGACATCCGGCAGCCAAAAGTGGCCTCCAACTCCTTGGCTCTCTTCTCGTTAGCGAGGCCAAAGGAGTAGTAGCCTGCTTGGATCAGGTCGGGGTTCCTGAGTCTTTCTACTCCGGAAAGCAGCTTCTGTACGTCCCCAATGTCCCAGGTGTGGCCGTCCCTATCCTCTTCCTCCTCCTTCTCCAGGGTGTAGAACAGGGCAGTGAGAAACTGCTGGAAGCTGAGGTGGATGAAGGAGTAGCAGCCTTTGGAGACTCTGTCCTGGCGGAGGATGTCTCCGTCCAGGAACAGACGGAGGTCGGACTCCTGCACCCCGAGCCTTTCCAGATCCTCTCGGTGAAGCACGGACGTCTGCGCCCACAGGCCCTGCGCGGCCAGGAGGCTCAGCGTCCGCAGCGCGCCCCGCAGCTGTGCGCCCTGCGGGAACCGGCTGCAGAGGAAACGCAGGAACAGCCCCGTGCGGGTGAGGCAGGTGGGGACCGGGTCCTCCCCCTTCTCCATCTGCAGCTTCAGAGTCGTGCACACGATCCAGCACACCGCGGGGGCCGAGCCCAGCTGGAACAGGGCCGCGTTGCTCCTCATTAGCTCAAAGGCACGCATGGCTTGGTCCTCGTCTCCAAAGTGTCTCAGGAAATAGGCCCTCCTGTCCTCCTCCAGGAAGCCCTCCACCCTTATGTAGATCGGCTCCTCCGCCAGGATCCGGAGGTCCCTCAGGGCCCTGGGCCGCGTGGTGACCAGCAGGGCGGCCTTGGGTAACATCACCCTGTTCAGCAAACTCCCCAGGAGGACGGGCACCGGCTTCTTCTTCTCCCAGTCCCCGCAGATGTCCTCGATCAGCGCCCCAGGTGCGGCTCCCAGCTCATCAAAGCCGTCAATCACGAACAAGATTTTCCGTGCTTGGGCTAGGATGTGTGGAATGTCATCCTGCAATTCAGGCCAGTCCCTGAAGACCAGCTCTGCAAAACTGCACGGGCCCAGGCGGCTGAGCTCCCTGCAGCTGAGGTAGAACGCATATTTGAATTTGTGGATGAGGTTGTCCTCTGCCCAGTCTAGCATTAGTTTCTGGGCCAGCGTGGTTTTCCCAAGGCCTGCAGGACCATACAGCACCACCGTGTATGAGAAGGGCCCGGGAAGCACCCTGGGGTTGCTGAATGGGATCAGCATCTTGTATCTCTCAGCCATAACCTGGACCTCTTTGCTATCTCCAGGCCAGCTCTTCCACATCTCCCGGAACTTCGTCTTCAATATATACCTGCACCTATTGTCTTTGTCTTTATCATTGGTGAGGAGGGAAGGGAGAGAGGATGCAATCAGTTACCCATAGGGAAAACCAAAATAACAAAATGCCTTGTGTTGGCCGGGCACAGTGGCTCATGCCTGTAATCCCAGCCCTTTGGGAGGTCGAGGCAGGCAGATCACCTGACATTGGGAGTTCAACACCAGCCTGACCAACATGAAGAAACCTTGTCTCTACTAAAAATAAAAAATTAGCCAGTCATGGTGGCGCATGCCTGTAATCCCAGCTACTCGGGAGGCTGAGGCAGGAGAATTGCTTGAACCTGGGAGGCGGAGGTTGCAGTGAGTCGAGATCACGCCACGGCACTCCAGCCTGGGCAACAAGAGCAAAACTCCGTCTCGATACATACATACATAAATAAATGCTTTGTGTTACATAGGAAAGTTAAGAGGACTTCAAGTTTATAAAGAGAAATCTGATCCCAAGCTCCCTGCAGGAAGATATGGTACAGACCTGGCTTTTTTCCTTTAAAGACTTCTTTACCCAGGCAGATGACATTTCCTTTCGTTTCTGTAAACGCTACAAAATACAAACTCATGTGAGATTGACACAAAATCAGGTGTATTTCCTGTGGAGTCCCAATTAGAGAAAAGGAGGCAGGCTGATGGGGCGGGGGGGAGGGGGGGCACGGGATCAGATAAAGCAAATAAGCTACAAATGTGTTTTCCGGCCAGGTGTGGTGGCTCATGCCTATAATCCCAGAACTTTGGGAGGCTGAGGTGGGGTGGATCACTTGAGCTCAGGAGTTCGAGACCAGCCTGGCCAACACAGAAACCCCATCTCTACTAAAAATGCAAAAATTAGCCAGGCGTGGTGGCGCATGCCTGTAATCTCAGCTACTTGGGAGGCCAAGAGGCTCGAGAATTGCTTGAACCTGGGAGATGGAGGTTGTAGTAAGAGATCGCACTACTGCACTCCACCCTGGGCAACAGAGCAAGACTCCATCTCAATAAAATAAATAAATAAGCTTTCCTCCATGGTTCAGGGCATACAAACAAGAGGAAACAGGTCAGCTATAGGTCTGTTTGAGACAGTCTCACTCTGTTGCCCAGGCTGGAGTGCAGTGGCGCAATCTCAGCTCACTGCAACCTCCGCCTCCCGGGTTCAAGCGATTCTCCTGCCTCAGCTTCCCAAGTAACTGGAATTACAGGCATGTGCCACTGCGTCTAGGCTAATTTTTGTATTTTTAGTAGAGATGGGGTTTCGCCATGTTGGCCAGGCCAGTCTAAAACTGCTGACCTCAGATGATCCACCCACCTCAGCCTCCCAAAGTGCTGGGATTGCAGGCATGAACCACTGCACTGGGCCAGGTCTGCTTTTATGGTCCAGGAGATACGGCCCAAGATGTTTGGCCTTCCTGGCCAGATCACACACAGAGCTCACAAACTCCCTGTTTGCCATGAAACGCCTCAGTTTATCAAACACTTCTGCTGAAAGAAGACCGCAAGTTAAACCCCCTGTTGACATTATCAATCAGCCCAAGCCCTATTCTATAAAATCTGCAGGAAGCTTTGGTCTCCTGGCAGTGAGCTACTCATGACAACCTGCCCGCTGGGGTCTCTCTGCCAATGTCTTTTCCTACTTTCTCCAATAAATCTGCCTTCCTTTACCTACGATTGTCTTCATAAATTTCTTTACCCGCGGCTGGGCGCGGTGGCTCACGCCTGTAATCCCAGCACTTTGGGAGGCCAAGGCGGGTGGATCATAAGGTCAGGAGATCGAGACCATCCTGGCTAACACGGTGAAACCCTGTCTCTACTACAAATACAAAAAATTAGCCGGGCGTGTGGCGGGCGCCTGTAGTCCCAGCTACTGGGGAGGCTGAGGCAGAATGGCGTGAACCCGGGAGATGGAGCTTGCAGTGAGCCGAGATTGCGCCACTGCACTCCAGCTTGGGTGACAGAGCAAGACTGTCTCAAAAAAAAAAACAAAACAAAACATTTCTTTACCTGCCATGCCACCAGGCACTATTCACCCACATTTCCTGCTGAAGCATGATGATAGAGCAGGCACCACAGTACCCCAAGTCGCACCGAAATTCTTTGTCAAGATTGTGTGCTAGGCTGGGCACAGTGGCTCACGCCTGTCATCCCAGCACTTTGGGAGGCTGAGGCGGACGGATCACGAGGTTAGGAGATCCAGACCATCCTGACTAACACGGTGAAACCCTGTCTCTACTAAAATACAAAAAATTAGCTGGGCGTGGTGGCACACACCTGTACTCCCAGCTATTTGGGAGGCTGAGGCAGGAGAATCGCTTGAACCTGGGTAGCAGAGGTTGCAGTGGGCCAAGATTGCACCACTGCACTCCAGTCTGGGCAACAGAGTGAGACTCCATCTCAAGAAAAAAAAAGATTGTGTGCCAGGAATGACATTGGCCGTGTCTAGAGAGATGAACAGGGCAAACAATTCCTTCAACCAAGTTACTCACCTCTATTATACAGAGCCATAGCAAGAAATACTTGCTGTATCAAAAGTCAATGTGGGCTAGGTACGGTGGCTCATGCCTGTAATCCCAGCACTTTGGGAGGCCGAAGTGGGTGGATCACCTGAGGTCAGGAGTTCAAGACCAGCCTGCCCAACATGGTGAAACCCTGTCTACTAAAAATAAAACTAACAAATGCAAAAATTAGCCAGATGTGGTGGTGGGCGCCTATGATCCCAGCTACTCGGGAGGCTGAGGCAGAATCACTTGAACCTGGGAGGTGGAGGTTGTGGCGAGCCGAGATCACACCATTGCACTCTAGCCTGGGCGACAAGGGCAAAACTCTTTCTCAAGAAAAAACAAAAATGCTACCAGGAAGATAAGAGGGAATGTGGAGTAAGCAAGGCTGATCTGAAACTGATCACAGGCTAGGTGCGGTGGTTCACAGCTGTAATCCCAGCACTTTAGGAGACCGAGGTAGGTGGATCACTTGAGGTCAGGAGTTCTAGACCAACCTGGCTACCCTGTTGAAACCCCATCTGTACTAAAAACACAAAAGTTAGCCAGGCATAGTGGTGGGCACCTATAGTCCCAGCACCTGGGGAGGCTGTGGCAGGAAGACCCCTTGAACCCAGGAGGCAGAGATTGCAGTGAGCCAAGATGGGGCCACTGCACTCCAGCCTGCATGACAGAGTGAGACTCTATTTCAAAAACAAAAAAAACAGAAAAAACCTATCACAAAGTCAGCTCAGGCAAGTCACCTACCCAAAAGACTCAATTTTCTCTGTAAGTTGTTTATATTAAAGTTGTCTGAGCAATGTACCATAAATACATTTATGCCTGTCAATTTTTTTTTTTTTTTTTTAAGATGGAGTCTCGCACTGTTGCCAGGCTGGAGTGCAGTGGCACAATCTTGGCTCACTGCAACCTCCACCTCCCGGGTTCAAGCGATTCTCCTGCCTCAGCCTCCTGAGTAGCTGGGACTACAGGCGGGTGCCACCACACCCGGCTAATTTTTGTGTTTTTAGTAGAGTTGGGTTTCACCATGTTGGCCAGGATGGTCTCGATCTCTTGATCCACCCGCCTCAGCCTCCCAAAGTGCTGGGAGATTATAGGTGAGAGCCACCACACCTGGCCACCTGTCAACTTTTAAATAATTTAAAGAAGGCCGGGTACGGTGGCTCTCGCCTGTAATCCCAGCACTTCGGGAGACTTGGGGGTGGGTGGAGCAGATCTCTTGAGGTCAGGAGTTTGAGACCACCCTGAATGAGATGGTGAAACCTGTCTCTACTAAAAGTACAAAAAAAAATTAGCTGGGCGTGGTGGCATGCACCTGTAGTCCCAGCTACTCAGGAGGCTGAGACAGGACAATCACTTGAATCTGGGAGGCGGAGGTTGCAGTGAACAGGGATGGTGCCACTATACTCCAGCCTGGGTGACAAGAACAAGACTTCGTCTCAAAAAAAAAAAAAAAAATTAGCTGGGTGTGGTGGCAGGTGCCTATAATCCCAGCTACTCAGGAGGCTGAGTCAGGAGAATCAGGAGAATCGCTTGAACCTGGGAGGTGGAGGTTACAGTGAGCCGAGATCGCGCCATTGCATTCCAACCTGGCCAACAGAGAAACTGTCTCAAAACAAAAACAAAAACAAAAACTCTCTGCGCTGTGCTCCTAACTTTCTACAAACTGAGTTCTAATTCTCTGCAACGTTCGTTCTTCCCTCTATTCTTACGGAAGGGAGGTTGGCATTCTCCAGGAGACAGTGGGCACATTAAGAATAGTGGAGGAAAAGATTGGAGAGAGATGGGGTTCTTCAAAGGAACAGGAGATAGCAGCAAGAACGGGGGGCTTCCTCAGCTGACTCCAACATTGGAGGTCCTGACACCCACCTTGTGCTTCTGTTTTGAAGCGCTCCAGCATTTCGTCCACGTCTAGAGGTGGTCGTTCTTTCCGTGTTATCCCTGGAGAAAAAGGGCGGCATTACAGGCCTGTTGCTGTGCTGGCAGTGGGACTCCAAGATGGCTCAAGTTGGACCCCTGAGTCTCAGTAGTGAAGCCTAGATTAGGTACTAAAAAGGACGTTGATAAGGTACTGGATGTAAAAGTGAAAGTACATTAGGCCATGATCCCAGGTTTATGTGCCTTTCTGGTGAGAATTCCTAAGTAGTTCAGAACACATGGTGTGAAAGACACACACACACACACACACACACACACACACACACAAACTACTCACGCATAAGGCCACTGGAAAGGCTTTGAGGATTAACTGCCTAGTTTTTCTTTTTTTTTGAGATGTAGTTTTGCTCTTGTTGCCCAGGCTGGAATGCAATGGTGTGATGTCGGCTCACTGCAACCTCCGCCTCCTGGGTTCAAGTGATTCTCCTGCCTCGGCCTCCGGAGTAGCTGGGATTACAGGAATGTGCCACCATACCTGGCTAATTTTGTATTTTTAGTACAGACAGGGTTTCTCTACGTTGGTCAGGCTGGTCTCGAACTCCCAACCTCAGGTGATCTGCCTGCCAGGCCTAACCCCCTAGTTTCTGATGAGGTAGATAAATTTAAAATGAACTGGGAAAGAATGTAAGAACAAGGTGGAATCAGCCGGGCATGGTGGCTCATGCCTGTAACCCAACACTTTGGGAGGCCAAGGCAGGCGGATCATGAGGTCAGGAGATCGAGACCATCCCGGCCAACATGGTGAAGCCCCGTCTCTACTAAAACAAAAAATTAGCCGGGCATGGTGGTGTGTTACCTGTAAGTCCCAGCTACTTGCGAGGCTGAGGCAAGGGAATTGCTTGAACCCAGGAGGCGGAGATTGCAGTGAGCCAAGATCGCTCCACTGCACTTCAGCCTGGCAAAAGAGCAAGCGAGACTCCGTATCAAAAAAAAAAAAAAAAAGAGAGAGAACAAGGTGGAATCCTAATAACAATATCTGCAGCTTAACCCTGGATAATGAAGAGGTGAGTCCATGGAACTCCTGAAAAGATGCTGGGGAGGGAACTGGACACGGGCATGTGAAATTCAGGACAAAGGCTGATCTGAGAAGAGCCTTTAGAGTCTTCACCACCAGGTGAGGTGGCTCATGCCTGTAATCCCAGTACTTTGTGAGGCTGAGGCAGACAGTTCATTTGAGGTCAGCAGTTTGAGACCAGCCTGGCCAACATGGTGAAACCCTGTCTCTACTAAAAATACAAAAATTAGCCAGACGTGGTGGTAGGCGCCTGTAATCCCAGCTACTTGGGAGGCTAAGGCAGGAGAATCACTTGAACCTGGGAGGCGGAGGCTGCAGTGAGATTGTACCACTGCACTCCAGCCTGGGTGACAGAGCAAGACTCTGTCTCAAAAAAGGTCTTCATGAGACCAGGCGCAGTGACTCACACCTGTAATCCCAACACTTTGGGAGGCTGAGGCACGTGGATCACGAGGTCAGGAGTTCAAGACCAGCCTGGCCAACATGGTGAAACCCCATCTCTACTAAAATTACAAAAATTAGCTGGGCTTGGTGGCAGACACCTATAATCCCAGCTACTCGGGAGGCTGAGGCAAGAGAATCACTTGAACCGGGAGGCGGAGGTCAGAGGTTGCAGTGAGCTGAGATCATGCCACTGCATTCCATCCTGGGCAACAGAGTGAGACTTTGTCCAAAAAAAAAAAGTCTTCATGGCCAGGTGTGGTGAATCATGTCTGTAATCCCAGCACTTTGGGAGGCCAAGGTGGGAGGATCACTTGAGACCAGGAGTTTGACACCATATCTGGCAACATAGTGAAACTGTCCCTACCAAAAATACAAATATTAGTCAGGTGTGGCAGTGCACACCTGTAGTCCCAGCTACTCAGGAGGCTGAGGTAAGAGGATCTCTGGAGCCTGGAAGGTTGAGGCTGCAATGAGCTATGACTGTGCCACTGCAATCAAGCCGGAGCAACACAGCAAGACCCCATCTCAAAACACAATCTTCAGGGGCCGGGCGCGGTGGCTCACGCCTGTAATCCCAGCACTTTGGGAGGCCGAGGCGGGCGGATCACAAGGTCAGGAGATCGAGACCATCCTGGCTAACACGGTGAAACCCCGTCTCTACTAAAAACACAAAAAAATTAGCCAGGCGTGGTGGTGGGCGCCTGTAGTCCCAGCTACTCGGGAGGCTGAGGCAGGAGAATGGCATGAACCCGGGAGGCGGAGCTTGCAGTGAGCCGAGATCACGCCACTGCACTCCAGCCTGGGCAACAGAGAGAGACTCTATCTCAAAAAAAAAAAAAATAATAATAATCTTCAGGATATAAGTAGCTGGTAAGGGCCAGGTGTCATGGCTCACACCTGTACCCCAGCAGTTTGGGAGGGTGAGGCAGGAGGACTGATTGAGTTTAGTAATTCGAGGCCAGCCTGGGCAACATAGCAAGACCCTGTCTCTACAAAAAGTGAAAAAAATTAGCCAGGCATGGTGGCAAGTGCCTGTGGTCCCAGCTACTCAGGAGGCTGAGGCAGGAGGATCACCAGAGCTTGGGAGGTCAAGGCTGCAGTGAACCATGATTGCACCACTCCAGCCTAAGTGACAGAGTGAAGCCCTGTTTCAAAAAAAAAAAAAAAAAAAAAAAAAAAAAAAAAAAAACAAAACCGGGTGTGGTGGTGGCTCATGCCCATAATCCCAGCATTTTGGGACGCTGAGGTGGGCAGATCACTTGAGGTCAGGAGTTCAAGACCAGCCTGGCCATCATGGTGAAACCCCATCTCTACAAACACCACAAAAAATTAGCCGGGCCTGGTGGCAGGTACCTGTAATCCCAGCTATTCTAGAGGCTGAGGCAGGAGAACTGCTTGAACCCAGGAGGTAGAGGTTGCAGTCAGCCGAGGTCGTACCACTGCACTTCAGCCTAGGTGACAGAGCAAGCCTCCATCTCAAAAAAGAAAAGTCTCTACCTTATCCAGATTCAAAGGCCAAGCTTACCCTTCCCCGCTTTGTATGTATTTATAGATTTCCAACAAACGCGATCGTGTTTCAGCTTCCCAGGTCTTACTGCTACGCACCTGCGAGACCAGCTCCGCCCTGGGAGCAGGGATGCTAAGTCCGGCATTTCTTTGCATTCTTAGTGCTCAGCACATTCTCCTTAAAACAAAGGCCCGAGTCCCCAGATCTCACATGAAGAATAAAAGTTATAAATGAGGTAACTTACCTAATGATAGAGGCTTCCTTTTATTAAAGGATTTCAAAGCTGCTTCTGAAAAAGGAGAAGGGGGGAAAATTTTGCATTTTACCATAAGCTCAAGATTTTATTGCCTTCATAAAAGAAAAGATGACACTTAGAACTGGATCACTTGTTCCTTTCTCTTATCTCCTTCCAGTTCAAAATGCTTGCATCTTTTTTTTTTGAGACAGAGTGTCACTCTGTTGCCCAGGCTGGAGTGGCACAATCTTGGCTCACTGCAACCTCTGCCTCCCAGGTTCAAGCGATTCTCCTGCCTCAGCTTCCTGAGTAGCTGGGACTATAGGCATACACCACCATGCCCAGCTAAGTTTTGTATTTTTAGTAGAGATGGGGTTTCACCATTTTGGCCAGGCTGGTCTCAGACTCCTGACCTTGTGATCCGCCCACCTCGGCCTCCCAAAGTGTTGGGATTACAGGCGTGAGCCACCGCGCTTGGCTGCTTGTATCTTTTAATAGCCAGCATTCTTAGATCTGCAGTTGGGCTCAAGGCACTCAAGCCTTAGCACAATCTTCTTTGTAGTTTTAGCCTTTTTCCGGAAAATCGGCTTAGTCTGCCCACCATAGCCACTCTGCTTCCTGTCATAACACTACTTCCCCTGGGCATACCAAGAATCCTTGCCTTGTGTCACTTTGTGGGGGTGGTGCTTGCCACACTTCTTACAGAAAGTCCGGCGGGTTTCAGGAACATTCACCATGTCTGTGTGAGCGCTATTGGCATGGAAAGAAAATTTGTATCTTTTTCAGAGCCCAGACCTTCGTAAGTTTACAACTCTCTGGGTTTCCTCCTGCCGTTTTCAAACTTGTAACCTCCGGAGGTCAGCTAAAGTTAAAAACCCTTGGCCGGGCATGGTTGCTCACACCTGTAATCCCAGCACTCTGGGAGGCTGAGGTGGGCAGATCACCTGAGGTCGGGAGTTCGAGACCAGTCTGGTCAACATGGTAAAACCCTGTCTCTACTAAAATACAAAAATTAGCGGGCATGGTGGTAGGCGCCTGTAATCCCAGCTACTCTGGAGGCTGAGGCAGGAGAATCACTTAAACCTGGGAGGAGGAGGTCACAGTGAGCCGAGATCGCGCCATTGCACTCTAGCCTGGGAGACAAGAGTGAAACTTCGACTCAAAAGCAAAACCAAAATCCAAACCAAACCAAAAAAAAAAAAAAAAAAACCCTCACCCATTGTTAAAGACAGGAAACATTATGCTAAAAAGTGATCTCTAGCTGAAATAAAACTGGCAATTTTTAAATAAAAAGATAGGAGTTCCTTAAGGTTGAGGAGTATTCCATTGTGTAATTAATACCATGTTTGTTTGTTTTTTTTTTTTGAGATGGAGTCTTGCTGTCACCCAGGCTGGAGCGCAGTGGCACGATCTTGGCTCACTGCAACCTCTGACTCTCTGGTTCAAGCAATCCTCCTGCCTCAGCCTCCCAAGTAGCTGGGACTACAGGAGTGTGCCACCACGCCCGGCTGATTTTTTTATATTTTTAGTAGAGACAGGGTTTCACCACATTGGCCTGACTGGTCTCAAACTCCTGGCCTCAAGTGATCCACCCGCCTTGGCCTCCCAAAGTGCTGTGATTACAGGCGTGAGCCACTGTGCCCGGCCTACCATGTTTCCTTTTTAAGGCTTGGGGTCCCAACAATCTCATAACCCAGGCAGTAGGCAGGGTACCCAACGGGCACATTTTTTATTCATCCACTGATGGTCACTTAGACTGACTCTATATCTTGGTTACTGTAAATAAAGCTGCACTGGCCAGGCACTGTGGCTCATGTTTCTGATCCCAGGACTGTGGGAAGCCAAGGCAGGAGGATCGGTTGAGCCCACAGAAGTTCGAGACCAGCCTGGGCAACATGGTGAAACCCTATCTCTACAAAAATATATATATATACAAGAATGAGCGAGGTGTGGTGGGAGGCCATAGTGGTAGGATTGCTCAAGTCTGGGAGGTCAAGGCTGCAGTGAGCTGTGATTGCCCCATTGTACTCCAGCCTGAGCAAGAAAACGAGACCCCGTTTCAAAAAAAAGTGTAGCTGGGCATGGCGGCTCACACCTGTAATTCCAGCACATTGGGAGGCTGAGGCGGGTTGATCACGTGGTCAGGAGTTCAAGACCAGCCTGGCCAACATAGTGAAACCCCATCTCTATTAAAATACAAAATTTAGCCAGGCACAGTGGCAGGTGCCTGTATAATCCTAGCTATTCAAGAGGCTGATGCAGGAGAAACACTTGAACCCAGGGGGCGGGAGTTGCAATAAGCTGAGATTGTGCTGCTGCACTCCATCCTGGGTGACAGAGTGAGACTTGTCTCAAACAAACAAAAAAAAAAGTTATGGGGTAGAAAGTAGAGTAGTTCTAAATGCACTTGCTGGCTGGGTGCGGTGGCTCACGCCTGTAATCCCAACACTTTGGGAGGCCGAGGCGGGCAGATCATGAGGTCACGACATCGAGACTATCCTGGCTAACATGGTGAAACCCCATCTCTATTTAGAATACAAAAAAAAAAAAAAAAAAAATCAGCCAGGCATGGTGGGACATGCTTGTAATCCCGGCTACTCGGGAGGCTGAGGCAGGAGAATCGCTTGAACCCGGGAGGCGGAGGTTGCAGTGAGCCGAGATCGTGCTGCTAAATTCCAGCCTGGGTGACAGAGTGAGATCCTCTCTCAAGAAGAGTTAAATAACCATAGTTCATGTGCATTTTATTGTATTGTTATTTTTAATTGTCTTTGCCCCCATTATTTTTGATCTAGGATTGGTTAAATCCACAGATATGTTAGGCCAACTGTACGATACCTGAAAGCGATAGAAATAGGTAGAAAATAATTTACAAGAAAAAAACAAACAACCCCATCAAAAAGTGGGCGAACGACATGAACAGACACTTCTCAAAAGAAGACATTTATGCAGCCAAAAAACACATGAAAAAATGCTCATCATCACTGGCCATCAGAGAAATGCAAATCAAAACCACTATGAGATATCATCTCACACCAGTTAGAATGGCGATCATTAAAAAGTCAGGAAACAACAGGTGCTGGAGAGGATGTGGAGAAATAGGAACACTTTCACACTGTTGGTGGGACTGTAAACTAGTTCAACCATTGTGGAAGTCGGTGTGGGGATTCCTCAGGGATCTAGAACTAGAAATACCATTTGACCCAGCCATCCCATTACTGGGTATATACCCAAATGACTATAAATCATGCTGCTATAAAGACACATGCACACGTATGTTTATTGCAGCATTATTCACAATAGCAAAGACTTGGAACCAACCCAAATGTCCAACAATGATAGACTGGATTAAGAAAATGTGGCACATATATACCATGGAATACAATGCAGCCATAAAAAATGATGAGTTCATGTCCTTTGTAGGGACATGGATGAAATTGGAAACCATCATTCTCAGTAAACTATCACAAGAACAAAAAACCAAACACCGCATATTCTCACTCATAGGTGGGAATTGAACAATGAGATCACATGGACACAGGAAGGGGAACATCACACTCTGGGGACTGTGGTGGGGTGGGGGGAGGGGGGAGGGATAGCATTGGGAGATATACCTAATGCTAGATGACGAGTTAGTGGGTGCAGCGCACCAGCATGGCACATGTATACATATGTAACTAACCTGCACAATGTGCACATGTACCCTAAAACTTAAAGTATAATAAAAAAAATAATAATAATAAAATAAAAAATAAAAAAATAAAAGGACAAAAAAAAAAAAAAAAAGAAGTAGGTAGAAAATAAGGACCAGGACAGACACCAGGGTTTATGAAGATCCAGCACCTGCATTCAGAACAAGCAGTCCCTCTCCAAGCCTCAATGCCATTTCTTTTTTTTTTTGAGACAGAATTTTGCTCTTGTTGCCCAGGCTGGGGTGCAATGGCGTGATCTCGGCTCATAGCAACCCCCGCCTCCTAGATTTAAGTGATTCTCCTGCCTCAGCCTCCCGGAGTAGCTGGGATTACAGGTGTCTGCCACCACGTCCAGCAAATTTTTGTATTTTTAGTAGAGATGCTGTTTCATCACCATGTTGGTCAGGCTGGTCTCAAACTCCTGACCCTCAGGTGGTCCAACCGCCTCAGCCTCCCAAAGGGCTGGGACGACAGGCGTGAGCCAGCGCGCCTGGCCTTCTGAATTTCTAAAGTCCTGGAGAGGACGCCTGCTTCCTCCTAGGACACAGTGTGGACCGATTTCCACTCACCTCTGACTTCATCCTTTGCTCTCTCAGACAGATCCATTCGGTGCATCTTTTCAAAGACCTGGAGGCTCGCCATCTCCACCCAGTAGCTGTCACAATGGGTGGTGAGGATTTCTACCAGTTGCTTCCCATCAGCCTTGTCTACCTCCTTGTGGGGGATCTTCTGGAGCTCGTGTGCCAGGGAGAAGGTCGTGATCAGATACTTGAACTTGCTCAACTCATCCTGGCTGAGCTGCTCCAGGAGAGCCTGCAGGTTGAAGCCCATCTGCGCCGAAGACACCATCTTGTCCCACGTGGGAGCTGTGATGACAATCAAGGGAGGAGTGGAGAGGGATGGTGATTAGCACTCCTGTCTCAAATGCCAGTTCCTGCTGTGCCACGAACAAGGACACTCACCATCTACCCTGCTTCTTCAAGAACAAACTCCCAGCCTGGGCAACATAGTGAGACCCCCATCTCCATGAAAAATAAGTTAGCAGTGGGTGGTGGTACATGCCTGTAGTCCCAGCTACTCAGGAGGCTGCAGTGGGAGGATTGCTTGAGCCTGGGAGACTGAAACTGCAGTGAGCCTTGATTGTGCCACTGCACTCCCATCTGGGCAACAGAGCAAGACCTCAACTCATTTTACTTTTATTTACTTATTTTTGAGATAGTTTCACTCTGCAGCCCAGGCTGGAGTACAGTAGTACGATCTCAGCTCACTGCAACCTCTGCCTCCCAGGTTCAAACAGTTCTCCTGCCTCAGCCTCCCGACTAGCTGGGATTATGGGCACCCACCACCACGCTCAGCTACTTTTTGTATTTTTTTTTTTTTTTTTTTTGAGACGGAGTCTCACTTTGTCACCCTGGCTGGAGTGCAGTGCTGCAATCTCGGCTCACTACAACCTCTGCCTCCCGGATTCAAGCAATTCTCCTGCCTCAGCCTCCCAAGTAGCTGGGATTACAGGCATTCACCACTGTGCCCAGCTAATTTTTTTGTATTTTTAGTAGAGATGGGGGGTTTCACCAAGTTGGCCAGGCTGGTCTCGAACTCCTGACCTCGTGATTCACCTGCCTCAGTGCCCAGCTAGTTTTTCTAATTGCAAAATAACCAGCTACTGTCAGGGTTTTCCCTGAGGGGCTGCTCAGGTTCTAAAAGTTAACCTATAAAGCGAAAACACTCTCTCATTATAGCAAAGTAGTAACACAACAATGAAAGGACAAGCATAGATCAGATAAGGAAGTGGGGAGCTACGTGGATCACCCAGGAGACAAGAAACTTCGTGAAAACTGGGCTGAATATGATAATGCAAACACACAGCCGGGCGCGGTGGCTCACGCCTGCAATCCCAGCACTTTGGGAGGCCGAGGCGGGCGGATCGTGAGGTCAGGAGATCGAGACCATCCTGGCTAACACAGTGAAACCCCGTCTCTACTAAAAATACAAAAAATTAGCCGGGCGTGGTGGCAGGTGCCTGTAGTTCCAGCTACTTGGGAGGCTGAGGCAGGAGAATCGCTTGAACCTGGGAGTGGGAGGCAGAGGTTGTGGTGAGCTGACATGGCGCCACTGCACTCCAGCCTGGGGCGACAAGAGTGAAACTGTCTCAAAAAAAAAAAAGGCTTAAAGATAACTTAGTGGTGGAGCCTGGTCTCAGGACACAGGTGTGTGGCTTTTACTTTACTGAAGCTGGCCGGGGGGCCATGGCTCACACCTGGAACCCCAAACACTTTGGGAAGCCAAGGTGGGAGGATTGCTTGGAGTTTGAGACCAGCCTGGGCAACATGGCAAAACCCTGTCTCTACAAAAAAATACAAAAAAAAAAAAAATTGTGCTGGGCATAGTGGCATGCACCTGTAGTCCCAGCTACTGAGGAGGCTGAGGTGGGAGGATCACCTGAGCCAGGGAAGTTAAGGCTGCAGTGAGCTGTGATCGCACCACTGCACTCCAGCCTGGTAAAACAAACAAAAACACAACACTGGGGGTGGTGGCTGACGCTTGCAATCCCCGCACTTTGGGAAGCTCAGGTGGGTGATCACTCCAGTCCAGAAGTTCCAGACCAGCCTGGCAACTTAAGACCCTGTCTCTATTTTAAAAACAACAGGGCCGGGTGCGGTGGCTCACGCCTGTAATCACAGCACTTTGGGAGTCCAAGGTGGGAGGATCACCTGAGGTCTGGAGCTTGAGACCAGCCTGGCCAACATAGTGAAACCCTATATCGACTAAAAATACGAAAATTAGCCAGGTTGGTGACAGGCGGCTGTAGTCCCAGCTACTTAGAAGGCTGAGGCACGAGAATTGCTTGAACCTGGGAGGTGGAAGTTGCAGTGAGCTGAGATAGCGCCACTGTACTCCAGCCTGGGAAACAGAGCTAGACTTTGTCTCAAAAAAAAAAAAAAAAAAATAGCAGTAGCAACAAAAACTTTACAGAAAGGGTATAACACCTCTTTATATGATAGCTGTGAATAGCGTGAGAATGGCAACTGGCATAGGTATTTGCATAAGACTCAGGTCCGGAAGCTGGACTAGAATGATGCTAAGAGGCTCCCTCACCTCAGTGAATAAAAAACAATACCTTCTTGTTAAGAGGACTCATTAGACACAAAACCTTAGCACTGCCCAGGACTCCACACACAGCAACCACAGCATCTGACCTGTTCCAATATATTTTTTTTTTTGGAGCTCTCTATAGCTCTATCCTAAATCCCCCAAGAGAACAGAAATAAAAGCACACACAACTATCCTCTTATGAGCCAACCTTAACTAGAGTCTCTCTAGATCTAAGCATCTGCTACTCTTTCCCCAGTCAGAACCACTGAATTTTATTTTATTTTATTTTTTGAGACAGTTTCTCTCTTGCTGCGCAGGCTGGAGAGCAATGGTATGATCTAGGCTCCCCGCAACCTCCGCTTCCCGGGTTCAAGTGATTCTCCTGCCTCAGCCTCCTGAGTAGCTAGGATTACAAGTATGCGCTACCACGCCCACCTAATTTTATATTTTTAGTAGAGATGGGGTTTCTACATGTTGGTCAGGCTGGTCTCGAACTCCCGACCTCAGGTGATCCTCCCGCCTCGGCCTCCCAAAGCGCTGCGATTACAGGCGTGAGCCACTGAGACAGGCAGAACCACTTAATTTCTAACAGAAGAAAAGATTTAGGCCGGGCGCGGTGGCACCTGCCTATAATCCCAGAATTTTGGGAGTCTGAGGCAGGAAGATCGCTTGAGCCCAGGAGTTAGAGACCAGCTTCGGCAACATATTAAGACCCTACATCTAGTGAGTCTCTGCAAACAGTGGTAATAATAATATTATTAGCCAGAACAGATGTGGTGGCACCCTCCCACGGTCCCAGCTACTTCAAAGGCTGAGGCGTGAGGACTGCTTGAACCTGAGAGGTCAAGGGTTCAGTGAGCCGAGATCCTGCCACAGCGCTCCAGCCTGGGAAACAGAGTAAGACCCTCAAAAAAGAGAAGAAAAAAAAAAAAAAAAAAAAAAAAAAGGCTGGGCGCGGTGGCTCACGCCTGTAATCCCGGCACCTTGGGAGGCCGAGGCGGACTGAGACCAGCCTGGCCAACATGGTGAAACCCCGTCTCTACTAAAAATACAAAAAAATTAGCTGGGCATAGTGGCAGGTGCCTGTAGTCTCAGCTACTCGGGAGGCTGAGGCAGGAGAATGGCCTGAACCCGGGAGGCGGAGCTTGCAGTGAGCCGAGATCGCGCCACCGCACTCCAGCCTGGGCGACAGAGCGAGACTCCGTCTCAGAAAAAAAATATATGAAATAAAAGGAGAAATTTTACCAACTGTGGAATGGAGAAATAAAGAAATGAAGTTGCAGAGCTGCCGGAGAGCTACTCACCTCCCAACACCTGGCCCTACTCGCCGGCGGAGATGAGGGCTGCAGGTTGAGAAAGCTCTAATAAGGCTTCTCTCTCGGCCGCAGCCCTGTGATTGGCCCTCGGGGCGTAATCGTTGCTGAGCACTTCCTGTATCCACCGGAATTACTGAGAGGTCTTTTGGGGGCGGGGGGTGTTGGGGGGCGGTCCTTCACCTGAGCTTCCGGATCTCCACCTGTGGTCCTCCATCTTGACTGCCTGTTAAACTTACCTATGTGGAGCCTCATTTC
This sequence comes from Homo sapiens, assembly GCF_000001405.40. NCBI lineage: Eukaryota > Metazoa > Chordata > Mammalia > Primates > Hominidae > Homo > Homo sapiens. The sequence goes on along the minus strand of NW_003571055.2, from coordinate 611,402 downwards.
AAAGCACGAACGCCTAGAGATTCTGCTTGATTGGTTACACTGGGACTGCCCAGACCCTGGAGTTCTTTCGAGAGTCCCAGATAACTGTGATTGCGGCCGAGGCTGAGAATCACCGCTTAGAAGCCTCAGCTGTGATTGGCTACCTTCTCCCATCACCCCAGGTATATTATTAATAAAAATCCAACCGTATTTCAAGTGAAATATCAATGACACGTCAACTATGAGACGCATGAAAAGCACCAAGTTCATCAGTTTCACATTCACAGTATTATTATTATTTTATTTTTAATGGAGTCTTGCTCTGTTCCCCAGGCTGGAGTGCAACGGCACGATCTCGGCTCCCCGCAGCCTCCGCCTGCCGGCTTCAAGTGATTCCCCTGCCTCAGCCTCCCGAGTAGCTGAGATTACAAGCATGCGCCACAACGCCTGGTTAATTTTTGTATTTTTTTCAATAGAGACGGGGTTTTGCCATGCTGGCCAGGCTGGTCTCAAACTCCCGACCTCAGGTGATCTGCCAGCCTCAGCCTCCTAAAGTGCTGGGATTACAGGCGTGAGCCACCTACTAAAAATACAAAAAATTAGCCGGGCGTGGTGGCGGGCGCCTGTAGTCCCAGCTACTCGGGAGGCTGAGGCAGGAGAATGGCGTGAACCCGGGAGGCGGAGCTTGCAGTGAGCAGAGATCGCGCCACTGCACTCCAGCCTGGGCGACAGAGCGAGACTCCGTCTCAGAAAAAAAATATATGAAATAAAAGGAGAAATTTTACCAACTGTGGAATGGAGAAATAAAGAAATGAAGTTGCAGAGCTGCCGGAGAGCTACTCACCTCCCAACACCTGGCCCTACTCGCCGGCGGAGATGAGGGCTGCAGGTTGAGAAAGCTCTATTAAGGCTTCTTTCTCGGCCGCAGCCCTGTGATTGGCCCTCGGGGCGTAATCGTTGCTGAGCACTTCCTGTATCCACCGGAATTACTGAGAGGTCTTTTGGGGGCGGGGGGTGTTGGGGGGCGGTCCTTCACCTGAGCTTCCCGATCTCCACCTGTGGTCCTCCATCTTGACTGCCTGTTAAACTTACCTATGTGGAGCCTCATTTCAAAGCACGAACGCCTAGAGATTCTGCTTGATTGGTTACACTGGGACTGCCCAGACCCTGGAGTTCTTTCGAGAGTCCCAGATAATTGTGATTGCGGCCGAGGCTGAGAATCACCGCTTAGAAGCCTCAGCTGTGATTGGCTACCTTCTCCCATCACCCCAGGTATATTATTAATAAAAATCCAACCGTATTTCAAGTGAAATATCAATGACACGTCAACTATGAGACGCATGAAAAGCACCAAGTTCATCAGTTTCACATTCACAGTATTATTATTATTTTATTTTTAATGGAGTCTTGCTCTGTTCCCCAGGCTGGAGTGCAACGGCACGATCTCGGCTCCCCGCAGCCTCCGCCTGCCGGCTTCAAGTGATTCCCCTGCCTCAGCCTCCCGAGTAGCTGAGATTACAAGCATGCGCCACAACGCCTGGTTAATTTTTGTATTTTTTTCAATAGAGACGGGGTTTTGCCATGCTGGCCAGGCTGGTCTCAAACTCCTGACCTCAGGTGATCTGCCAGCCTCAGCCTCCTAAAGTGCTGGGATTACAGGCGTGAGCCACCGTGCCTGGCTGGCAGTATTAATTTTGTAAACATATAGCCGGGCACAGTGGCTCACGCCTGTAATCCCAGCACTTTGGGAGGCCGAGGCAGGTGGATCACGAGGTCAGGAGATCGAGACCATCCTGGCTAACACGGTGAAACCCCGTCTCTACTAAAAATACAAAAAATTAGCCGGGCGTGGTGGCGGGCACCTGTAGTCCCAGCTACTCGGGAGGCTGAGGCAGGAGAATGGCGTGAACCCGGGAGGCGGAGCTTGCAGTGAGCCGAGATCGCGCCACTGCACTCCAGCCTGGGCGACAGAGCAAGGCTCCATCTCAAAAAAAAAAAAAAAAAAAAAAACACCATATAAATAAGACTAAAAAGTTGGGTTTTGGCCGGGCGCGGTGGCTCACGCCTGTAATTCCAGCACTTTGGGAGGCCAAGGCGGGTGGATCACGAGGTCAGGACTTCAAGACCAGCCTGGCCAAGATGATGAAACCCCGTCTCAACTAAAAATACAAAAAATTAGTCGGGCGTGGTGGCGGGTGCCTGTAATCCCAGCTACTTGGGAGGCTGAAGCAGAGAATTGCTTGAACCCAGGAGGCGGAGGTTGCAGTGAGCCGAGACCGCACCACTGCACTCCACCCTGGGCGACAGAGTGAGACTCCGTCTCAAAAAAAAAAAGAAAAAAGTTGGGTTTTATAGCTTTTTTTCATGTTTCTTTGTTTGTTTTGCTTTTTTTTTTTCTGAGACTGAGTCTGGCACTGTCGCCCGGGCTGGAGTGCAGTGGCGCAATCTTGGCTCACTGCAACCTCCGCCTCCAGAGTTCAAGCGATTCTCCTGCCTCAGCCTCCTGAATAGCTGGGATTACAGGCGCGTGCCACTGTACCCGGCTAATTTTCTTATTTTTAGTAGAGATGGGGTTTCACCATGTTGGACAGGGTGGTCTTGAACTCCCAACCTCAGGTAATCTGCTCACCTCGGCCTCCCAAAGTGCTAGGATTACAGGCATGAGCCACTGCGCCTAGCCTTTTTTTTGTATTTTTAGTAGAGATGGGGTTTCACTATGTTGGCCAGGCTGGTCTCAAACTCTTGACCTCGTGATCCGCCCGCCTCGGCCTCCCAAAGTGCTTGGGTTGCAGGCACGAACCACCGCGCCCAGCCTTTTTCATGTTTTAGAACCAACATATGTATATGTACATCTATATTTCTTTTCGTTTTTTCTTTTTGAGACAGGGTCTCACTCTGTCGCCTAGGCTGGTGTGCAGTGGCACAATCATAGCTTACTGAAGGCTACAGGCATACGCCATCACGCCTGACTAGATTTTTGTATTTTTTATAGAGATGGAGGTCTCACTATGTTGCCCAGGCTGGTCTCAACCCCATGGGCTTAAGCAATCTTCCCACCACGGCCTCCCAAAGTGCTGGGATTTCCGGTGTGAGCCACCATGCTTGACCCTGTGTTTACTTATTAAGTCCTCTAAACATTGCTACACAGTAGTGATTGCCATGATCCTACCCATTTTTCACTTTCCTTGAGAAAATGAAGGCAAGGCATATTTAGAAAACCTGTCTGAGGTCTTGAAGATCACAAACAGCTGTCAGCTTCCGGAAGCCCAGCTCTTCACTGCCGCGCTCAGTTGCCTATCCTAGAAAGAATAAGAAAGTGAGGGGGCCCAGTGTGGTGCCTCACGCCTGTAATCCCAGCACTTTGGGAGGCCGAGGCGGGCGGATCACGAGGTCAGGAGATGGAGACCATCCTGGCTAACACGGTGAAACCCCGTCTCTACTAAAAATACAAAAAATTAGCCGGGCGTGGTGGCGGGCGCCTGTAGTCCCAGCTACTCGGGAGGCTGAGGCAGGAGAATGGCGTGAACCCGGGAGGCGGAGCTTGCAGTGAGCTGAGATCGCGCCACTGCACTCCAGCCTGGGTGACAGAGCAAGACTCTGTCTCAAAAACAAACAAACAAAAAAGAAAGAAAGAAAGAAAAGAAAATGAGGGGCCGGGCGTGGTGATTCATGCCTGTAATCCCAGCACTTTGGGAGGCCGAGGCGGGTGGATCACCTGAGGTCAGGAGTTCGAGATCAGCCTGACCAACATGGTGAAATCCCATCTCTACTAAAAATACACAAAAAATTAGCCAGGCGTAGTGGCAGATGCCTGTAATTCCAGCTATTCTGGAGGCTGAGGCAGGAAAATGGCTGGAACCTGGGAGGCAGAGGTTGCAGTGAGCTGAGATCGTGCCATTGCACTCCAGCCTGGGCAACAAGAGCGAAACTCTGTCTCAAAAAAAAAAAAAAAATTGAGGGATGGAGGGAATAGGAAGGATGAATGAAAATGTGCAGGAGCAGTTTTCAGACTGCACATTTCAATAAATTCTTTTTCATTTTTTCTTTTTTTTTTTTTTGAGATGGAGTTTTGCTCTTGTCGCCCAGGCTGGAGTGCAATGGCGCGATCTCAGCTCACTGCAACCTCTGCCTGCCGGTTTCCTGTGATTCTCCTGCCTCAGACTCCTGTGTAGCTGGGATTACAGGCATGTACCACCACGCCCGGCTAATTTTGTAGTTCTAGTAGAGATGGGGTTTCACCATACCCTTTTGGCCAGGCTGTTCTTGAACTCCTGACCTCAGGTGATCCACCCGCCTCAGCCTCCCAAAGTTCTGGGATTACAGGCATCCACTTCCCCCGACCTTTTTCTACCTTCTTAATATGGACACCCTACCATAATTTGGAGGTACTTTTTTTTTTGTTTCCTTTTTGAGACAGACTCTCGCTCTGTTGCCCAGGCTGGAGTGCAGTGGTGTGGTCTCGGCTCACTGCAACCTCTGCCTCCGGGGCTCAAGCAATTCTCTTGCCTCAGCCTCCTACAGGCACCTGCCACCATGCCAGGCTAATTTTTAGTACAGATAGGTTTTCACCATGCTGGCCAGGCTCTTCTTGAACTCCTGATCTGAGATCCACCTGCCTCGGCTTCCCAAAGTGCTGGGATTACAGGTGTGAACCACCACGCCCAGCCACAGTACCTTTTTTAAAAAATTTGTATTTTCTTTTATTTATTTATTTATTTATTTAGAGATGAAGTCTCTCTGTTGTTGCCCAGGCTGGAGTGCAGTGGCATGATCTTGGCTCACTGCAACCTCTGCCTCCCGGGTTCAAGTGATTCTCCTGCCCTAGCTGGGATTATAGGCTCCCGCCACCATACCAAGCTAATTTTGTATTTTTAGTAGACACGGGGTTTCACCACCTTGGCCGGGCTGGTCTTGGACTCCTGACCTCGGGTGATCCACCTGCTTTGGCCTCCCAAAGTGCTGGAATTACAGGCGTGAGACACTGTGCCTGGCCCACTCCCCCTCTTTTTTAACTAGAGACTGGGTCTCACTTTGTACACCGGGCCGGTCTTGAACTCCTGGGCTCCATGGCCCTCCCGCCTTGGCCTCCCAAAGTACTGAGATTACAGGTGTGAGCCACTATGCCTGGCCCATTATTTTATATTTTAATATAAATATTTACATTTATAAATTTCCATCAGTGCAACAAACACATTTCAACAGCAATTTCACCACCACTCAGTTCTAGCATTTTTAAAAATGCCCTTTGTTATTTCTTCTTTGACCTTGGAATTATATAGAATATTTTTTTAAGACTCAAATGCATGGGATTAAGAAATTATCTTTTGTGCTGGGCATGGTGGCTCACGCCTGTAATCCCAGCACTTTGGGAGGCCGAGGCAAGCGGATCACGAGGTCAGGAGATCGAGACCATCCTGGCTAACACGGTGAAACCCCGTCTCTACTAAAAATTAAAAAAATTAGCTGGGCACGGTGGCGGGTGCCTGTAGTCCCAGCTACTTGGGAGGCTGAGGCAGGAGAATGGCGTGAATCCGGGAGGCGGAGCTTGCAGTGAGCCACCATCACACCACTGCACTCCAGCCTAGGTGACAGAGCAAGACTCCATCTCAAAAAATAAAAATAAAAATAAAAATAAAACTATCTTTTGTTACAATTCTTCTAACTTTTGTTCTATTGAGGAAATTGAGACTGAAATGTTAAGTAGCAACCCCAAGGTCACATAACTCATGGGTGGCTGGGGAGAAGGATGGATTTAAACAGACTTCTGGTTGAGCGCGGTGGCTTAAGGCTGTAATCCCAGCACTTTGGGAGGCTGAGATGGGTGGATCACTTGAGGTCAGGAGCTCGAGACTAGCCTGGCCAACATGGTGAAATCCCGTCTCTACTAAAAATACAAAAGTTAGCTGGGTGTGGCGGCAGGCACCTGTAATCCCAGCTACCCAGGAGGCTGAGGGAGGAGAATTGCTTGAACCCGGGAAGCAGAGGTTGCAGTGAGCTGAGATCTCGCCACTGCACTCCAGCCTGGGTGATAGAGGGAGACAACATCTCAAAAAACAAAACGAAAGAAACAAACAAACAAAAAAAACAAGAAACACCAGACTTCTGTTGGAATAAGTGAGTTTGGTTCGGGTAGATGGAACCTGCAAAGGGGTTTGGAGATCCAAAAGAGGAACTACGTGGTTAGAACAGAGTATCGGATGAACTGATAAGAAACCACAATTCAAAAACAATTCAACAAAATGCCCAGGTCTGTGAAAGCCTGTCTACACCAGGCCTTGGGTCTCTGTGTACATTGCCTGCTTCTGACAAGGCTCTGCAGCCGGGAGTCGGCTCCCAGGGTTGCATGGCTGGGAACAACAGAAGCTCAGGAGCGGACCTAAAACGGAGCAGTTGGGTAAAATGAAGCTGTCTCCATTTACTTTCTACAGACAGACATCCATGAGAGGATGAGGAGGTGTGCTTGCCTCCTGGTCAAGCACTAATTTTTTTTTCCAAGCACTAATTTTAATTTTTTTATTTTTTGTAGAAACAGGGTCTCAGAGTATTTGCTTTGGCAGCACATACACTAAAATTGGAAATGGGGGTCTTGCTATGTTGCCCAGGCTGGACTTGAGCTCCTGGGCTCAAGGGATCCTCCCACCTCAACCTCCTAAAGTGCTATCCACTCTGACCTTGTGATCCACCTGCCTCAGCCTCCCAAAGTGCTGGTGAGGGAAGAGAGAAACCGTCTCATATTGTTTTATATTGTTTTATACTCAGTACTTGTTTTAGAAAAAAAACAAGGAGGCCGGGCACGGTGGCTCACGCCTGTAATCCCAGCACTTTGGGAGGCCAAGGCGGGTGGATCACAAGGTCAGGAGTTTGAGACCAGCCTGGCCAACATGGTGAAACCCCGTCTCTATTAAAAATACAAAAATTAGCCGGGCATGGTGGCGTGCGCCTGTAATCCCAGCTACTCGGAAGGATGAGGCAGCAGAATTGCTTGAATCCAGGAGGCGGAGCTTGCAGTGAGCCGAGATTGTGCCACTGCACTCCAGCCTTAGCGACAGAGCAAGACTCTGTCTCAAAAAAAAAAAAAAAGAAAAAGAAAAAAACAAGGAAGTGAAACCAAAGGCAGGTAGCCCGGCGCCAGGCACCAGACCCAAAACCAGACCCGAAACCAGGCCTGGGCCTGCCTGGCGTAAACCTAGTAGATAAAAATCAACTCATGACTTAGAACCCGATGTTATCCATAGATTCCAGGCATTGTATAGAAGAACACTGTGAAACTCCCTGCCCTATTCTTTCTCTCTGACCAGCAGTGCACGAAACCCCTGTTATGTATCCCCTAGATTGCTCAATCATGACCCTTTCATGCGCAGTCTTTAGTGTTGTGAGCCCTTAAAAGGGACAGAAACTGTGCACTCGAGGAGCTTGGATTTTAAGACAGTAGCTTGCCGATGCTCCCAGCTGAATAAAGCCCTTCCTTCTACAACTCGGTGTCTGAGAGGTTTTTGTCTGTGGCTCGTCCTGCTACACTGGGATTACAGGCGTGAGCCACTGTGCCTGGCCACTAGTTATTATTATTATTATTATTTGAGACAGAGTCTCACTCTGTCCCTTGGGCTGGAGTGCAGTGGCCTGATCTTGACTCACTGCAACCTTTGCCTCCCGGGTTCAAGCGATTCTCCTGCCTCAGCCTCCAGAGTAGCTGGGATTACAGGCATGCACCACTATGCCCAGCTAGCTAACTTTTTGTATTTTTAGTAGAGACAGGGTTTCACCATGTTGGCCAGGCTGGTCTTGAACTCCTGACCTTGTGATTCGCCCACCTCGGCGTCCCAAAGTGCTGGGATTAGAGGCGTGAGCCACTGCACCCGGCAATACTAGTTATTGTTAATGCTATTATTGTTACTGACATGTTCATTTTTACCTAGCCACTTTATTTTCCCACCTCTTTCTCCCTACTTCTCCTAAGTGTCAATGTTAGATAAGTCTGAAATTCTCTTTCCCTGTCCCTCTCTGTCTCTCTCTCCTTCTTTGTCTTTCTTTCACCTGAGACCCATAATCCTGGAGATAGCAAGTGCCTCAGGGAGAAAATCCCAAACCAAGCGATTCTCCTGCCCTAGCCTTCCAAGTAGCTGGGATTACAGGCTCCTGCCACCATACCAAGCTAATTTTGTATTTTTAGTAAAGACACGGTCTCACCACCTTGGCCAGGCTAGTCTCGGACTCCTGACCTCAGGTGATCCACCCACCTGGGCCTCCCAAAGTGCTGGAATTACAGGCGTGAGACACCGTGCCCGGCCCCCTCCCCATCTTTTTTAAATAGAGACTGGGTCTCACTTTGTACACCGGGCCAGTCTTGAACTCTTGGGCTCCATGGCCCTCCAGTGTGGAGGAGAGAAAATGGATTCCCTCCACCCTCCTAGGTTCTTTGGATGGGCTATGAATTACATTGACACAAAACAGTTTGACAGAAGAAAAACCAGATTCAATTATGTATGCACAGGAGTCCCACAAAAATGTGAGACTGGAGGAAGGGCCAGATGATTGAAGCTCATCTAGCTGCCTGAGCTACAGAAAGGAGTATAAGAGTGTAGGGTGCAGTGGCTCACGCCTGTGATCCCAGCAGTTTGGGAGGCCAAGGTGGGTGGATCACCTGAGGTCAGGAGTTTGAGACCAGCCTGGCCAACATGGTGAAACCCCATCTCTGCTAAAAATACAAAAATTAGCTGGTGTGGTGGTGTGTGCCTGTAATCCCAGCTACTCCGGAGGCTGAGGCAGGAGAATCACTTGAACCCGGGAGGAGGAAACTGCAGTGAGCTAAGATCGCACCATTGTACTCCAGCCTGGGCTTCAAAGGGAGACTCCATCTCAAAAAAAAAAAAAAAAAGAAGAAGAAGAAGAAAGGAGTAGGGGTGTCCGTCCCAGTGGCTCACGGTCTGTAATCTCAACACTTTGGGAACCGAAATGGGTGGATCACCTGACGTCGGGAGTTTGAGACTAGCCTGGACAACAGGGTGAAACCCAGTCTCCACTAAAAATACAAAAATTAGCCAGGTGTGGTGGTGTGCCCTGTAATCCCAGCTACTTGGGAGGCTGAGACAGGAGGATTACTTGAACCCGGGAGGTGGAGGTTGCAGTGGGCCAAGATCACGCCACTGCACTGCAGCCTGGGAGATAGAGGGAGACCCTGTCTCAAAATAAAATAAATAAATAAATAAATAAATACATACATACATAAATGAAAAGGCGTAGAGACTTGGAGCTTCTGGGGGTGGTGGAGGCAAATTAAGGTATGATAAAAGGGGGAAAAGTTGCTGGGTTCACGCCTGTAATTCCAGCACTTTGGGAGGCCAAGGCAGGTGGATCACCAGAGGACAGGAGTTCGAGACAAGCCTGGCCAACATGGTGAAACCCCGTTTCTACTAAAAATGCAAAAAATTAGAAGGCGTGGTGTTGGGTGTCAGTGATCCACCTGCCTCGGCCTCCCAAAGTGCTGATATTATAGGCGTGAGCCACTGCGCCCGGCCTTTTTTTTTTTTTGAGGGAGAGTCTTGCTCTGTCTCCCAGGCTGGAGTGCAAAGGCACAATCTCAGCTCACTGCAACCTCCGCCTCCCGGGTTCAAGTGATTCTCCTGCCTCAGCCTCCCGAGTAGCTGGTATTACAGGCACCTGCCACCGCGCCCAGCTAATTTTTGTATTTTTTTTTAGTAGAGATGGGGTTTTGCCATGTTCACCAGGGTGGTCTCAAAGTCCTGACCTCAAGTGATCCGCCTGCCTTGGCCTCCCAAAATCCTGGAATGACAGGCATGAACCACCATACCCAGTCCTGTTTTTCCTACTTTCACACTCAACACAGAATACTTCACCAAAAATGTATGTTTCTCCCCACCAACAACCAGTTCTCCAGCAGAGACCAGCTGGGTGTCCTCTCCTTTGATTTAGTTCTGACACTCCCTACCTGGGGACAGCATCAGATCCCAAAGGTTCAGGGCTGAGTCCCACAAGACTGACTGACTTCCTTCCTTCCTTCCTTGTCCCACAAGACTGACTTCCTTTCCCTCCTTCCCTTCCCTCCTTCCCTCCTTCCCTCCTTCCTTCCTTTCTCTCCCTCTGTTGCCCAGGCTGGAGTGCAGTTGCGAGATCATGGCTCACTGTAGCCATGACCTCCCAGTCTCAAGTGATCCTCCTGCCTTGGCCTCCTGAGTAGCTGGGACTACAGGCATGCACGATCACAGTTGGCTATTTATTTATTTATTTATTTATTTTTGAGACACAGTCTTGCTCTGTCATCCAGGCTGGAGTGCAGTCCTGTCATCTAGGCTGGAGTGCATTTTTGCAATACAAAAATTAGCCAGGCATGGGAGCGAATGTCTATAATCCCAGCTACTTGGGAGGCTGAGGCTCGACAATCCCTTGAACCCAGGAGGTTGAGGATCACAGCTCACTGCAACCTCAGTCTTGCTGTGTCGCCCAGGCTGAAGTGCAGTGGCACGATCTTGGCTCACTGCAACCTACGACTCCGGGATTCACGTCATTCTCCTGCCTCAGCCTCCCGAGTAGCTGGGACCACAGGCGCCCACGACCTCCTGGCTAACTTTTGTATTTTTTGTAGAGATGGGGTTTCGCCATGTTAGTCAGGCTGGTCTGACCTCAAATGATTCACCCACCTCAGCTTCCCAACATGCTGGGCTTACAGCCACTGTGCTCAGTCGAAATTCTGTATATTTGATCAAGAAGAGGTTTCATCATGTTGTCCAGGCTGGTCTGGAACTCTTGAACTCAAGCAATCCACCTACCTGGGCTGCCCAAAGTTCGGGGATTCCAGGCATGTGCCACCATGCCTGGCCCAAGGCTGCTCTTCCTAAAGAAGAAAATTATTCCAATGATTTTATTTATTTATTTTTGAGACGGAGTTTCACTCTTGTTGCCCAGGCTGGAGTGCAATGGCATGATCTTGGCTCACTGCAACCTCTGCCACCCGGGTTCAAGTGATTCTCCTGCCTCAGCCTCCTGAGTAGCTGGGATTACAGGCACGCACCACCACACCCAGCTAATTTTTTTGTATTTTAGTAGAGACGGGGTTTCTCCATGTTGGTCAGGCTGGTCTCAAACTTCGGACCTCAGGTGATCCGCCAGCCTTGGCCTCCCAAAGTGCTGGGATTGCAGGCGTGAGCCACCGCGCCCGGCCACCAATGATATTTTTTAAAAGCAAGTAAGGACGAGCTGGGCATGGTGGGTTCTTGAATCTCATACCAGAAAGAATTCAGGGCGAGACTATGGAGTAAAGTGGAAGCAAGCTTATTAGGAAAGTGAAGGAGTAAAAGAATAGCTACTCCATAGACAGCAGCCCATAGGGCTGCTAGTTGCCCTTATTTTTTTTGAGATGGAGTTTTGCTCTTGTCGCCCAGGCTGGAGTGCAGTGGCGTGATCTTGGCTCACTGAAACCTCTGCCTTGAATCACTTCAGTTCAAGTGATTCTCCTGCCTCAGCCTCCTGAGTAGCTGGGATTACAGGTGCCTGCCATCACGTCTGGCTAATTTTTGTATTTTTAGTAAGAGATGGGGTTTCACCATGTTGGCCAGGCTGATCTTGACCTCCTGAGCTCAGGTGATATGCCCGCCTCGGCCTCCCAAAGTGTTGGGATTACAGGCGTAAGCCACCACGTCCGGCCTCGGTTGCCCTTTTTTTTTTTTTTTTTTTTTTTTGAGACGGAGTCTCGCTCTTTCACCAGGCCAGAGTGCAGTGGCACTATCTCGGCTCACTGCAAGCTCCGCCTCCTGGGTTCAGGCCATTCTCCTGCCTCAGCCTCCCGAGTAGCTGGGACTACAGGCGCCCGCCACCGCACCCAGCTAATTAGTTGTATTTTTTTTTAGTAGAGATGGGATTTCACCGTGTTAGCCAGGATGGTCTCAATCTCCTGACCTCATGATCCACCCGCCTCGGCCTCCCAAAGTGCTGGGATTACAGGCGTGACCACCGCGCCCGGCCGGTTGCCCATTTTTATGGTTATTTCTATGGATATGCTAAACAAGGGGTGGATTATTCATGCCTCCCCTTTTTAGACAGCATAGGGTAACTTCCTGACATTGCCATGGCATTTGTAAACTGTCATGGGGCTGCTGGGAGTGGAGCGGTGAGGACAACCAGAGGTTACTCTCGTCACTATCTTGGTTTTGATGGAGTTTGACTGGATGCTTTATTTATTTTTATTTATTTTTTATTTTTTTGAGACGGAGTCTCGCTCTGTCACCCAGGCTGGAGTGCAGTGGCGCGATCTCCGCTCACTGCAAGCTCCATCACCCGGGTTCACGCCGTTCTCCTGCCTCAGCCTCCCGAGTAGCTGGGACTACAGGCGCCCGCCACCACGCCCAGCTAATTTTTTGTATTTTTTTTTTTTAGTAGAGATGGTTTCACCGTGTTAGCCAGGATGGTCTCAATCTCCTGACCGTGTGATCCACCCGCCTCAGCCCCCGAAAGTGCTGGGATTACAGGTGTGAGCCACCGCGCCCGGCCTGGCTGGATTCTTTATTGCTAAGGGAGGAGACCACCCCTCATATTGTCTTATGCCCAATTTCCACCTCCAAAGAAAGAAAAAGTAAAAACTAAAAGGCAGAAATGAAATCCACAAGCAGACAGCCCCGCGCCCCAGGAATGAAATCCACAAGCAGACAGCCCCGCGGCCCAGGAATGAAATCCACAAGCAGACAGCCCGGCGCCACACCCTGGGCCTGGTAGTTAAAGATTGACCCCTGACCTAATCGGTTATCTATAGATTACAGACATTGTATAGAAAAGCACTGTGAAAATCCCTATCCTGTTTTGTTTGGATCTGATTACCAGTGCATGCAGCCCCCAGTCACGTACCCCCTGCTTGCTCAGTCGATCACGACCCTCTCACGCACACCCCCTTAGAGTTGTGAGCCCTTAAAAGGGACAGGAATTGCTCACTTGGGGATCTCGGCTCTTGAGACGGGAGTCTTGCCGATGCCCCTGGCCGGATAAACCCCTTTCTTCTTTAACTCGGTGTCTGAGGAGTTTTGTCTGTGGCTGGTCCTGCTACATTGCTACCTGTGTTATCAGCAAGGTCCTTATGACCTGTATCTTGTGCTGACTTATCTCATCCTGTGACTTAGAATGCTTTTTTTTTTCTTTTTACTGCAACCTCCGCCTCCCCGGCTCAAGCGATTCTCCTGCCTCAGCCTCGCAAGTAGGTGGGATTACAGGCACGAGCCACCACGCCTGACTAATTTTTGTATTTTCAGTAGAGACGGGGTTTCACCGTGTTGGCCAGGCTGGTCTCAAACTCTACTTCGGGTAATCCACCCGCCTCGGCCTCCCAAAGTGCTGGGCCACCGTGCCTGTCATTTTTGTTTTTTTTGGAGAATGCCTTAACTGTCTGGGAATGCAGCCCGGTAGGTCTCAGCCTTATTTTAGTCAGCTCCTATTCAAGATGGAGTTGCCCTGGTTACACGCCTCTGACAGTAGGTCCGTTGCCCAATGCACGCTGTGAGTCAATTTGCCGGGTCACTGTGTTGCAGAAGAGAAGGAAGTTTAATCACAGGGCTGAGGAATGAGGAGATGGGAGGAAACCTCCAATCCATCTCCCCCAGAAGTTTGGGTCTAGGGTTTTTTTTTTTTTTGAGATGGAGTTTTGCTTTGTCACCCAGGCTGGAGTGCAGTGGCAGGATCTTTGCTCACTGCAACCTCCGCCTCCCAGGTTCAAGTAATTCTCTTGCCTCAGCCTCCTGAGTAGCTGGGGTTACAGGCACCCGCTACCACGCCCGACTAATTTTTTGTGTTTTTAGTAGAAACGGGGTTTCACTATGTTGGCCAGGCTGGTCTTGAACTCTTGACCTCAGGTGATTCACCTGCCTTGGCCTCCCAAAGTGCTGGAGTTACAGGTGTGAGCCTCTGCACCCGGCCGGGGCTAGGGTTTTTAAGTGTTTTGGTGTGGGCCAGAGTGTGGCCATGCTGACTGCTGGCGGAGACAGGGGCATGAAGACGCAGTGTTCTCATGCTGATCCCATTCCTCACTGGGGTCTTCAAACTGGTTAGTGTCAGCTATTTGGCTGGAATTCAAGGTCTGAAAAACATCTGAAACCATCCTTAAACAAAAGCCTTATAATTCTAATGTCCCAGAGTTTATCTGTAGGAACCGTGCAGATACAAATTTGTCTAATGGGGCCGGGCGCGGTGGCTCACGCCTGTAATCCCAGCACTTTGGGAGGCCTAGGCGGGAGGATCACGAGGTCAGGAGATCGAGACCATCCTGGCTAACATGGTGAAACCGCGTCTCTACTAAAAATACAAAAAAAATTAGCCAGGCATGGTTGCAGGCACCTGTAGTCCCAGCTATTCGGGAGGCTGAGGCAGGAGAATTGTGTGAACCCGGGAGGCGGAGCTTGCAGTGAGCAGAGATTGCGCCACTGCCCTCCAGCCTGGGCGACAGAGCGAGACTCCGTCTCAAAAAAAAAAAAAAATTCGTCTAATGACCCTGCTGTCAGAAATCCTATCTACAGCAATGATGAGGAGGCAAAAGTGCAGTGTCTAGAGCCACGTGATACACAGCAGCCAGGATGTGGGCCAGAGTGCAGCCTGATTCACATTTTTTCATTTTTATTTTTTTTACTAAAAGTGGGTTTTCATTTTTTGTTTTGTTTTTGTTTTTGTTTTTTGTTTTTTGAGATGGAGTCTCACTCTGTTGCACCCAGGCTGGAGTGCAGTCGTGCGACCTCGGCTCACTGCAACCTCTGCCTCTGCCTCCCGGGTTCAAACAATTCTGCCTCAGCCTCTCGAGTAGCTGGGATTACAGGCGTTGAACTACCATGCCCCGCTAATTTTTGTATTTTTGTAGAGACGCAGTTTCACCATGCTGGCTGGGCTGGTCTCAAACTCCTGACCTTAAGTGATCCATCTGCCTCAGCCTCCCAAAGTGCTGGGATTACAGGCCTGAGCCACTGTGCCTGGTCTACAAAGGATATTTTTGTGGGGAAAAGAAAGAGAGATCAGATTGTAACTGTGTCTGTGTAGAAAGAAGTAGACACAGGAGACTTCATTTTGTTCTGTACTAAGACAAATTCTTCTGCCTTGAGATGCTGTTAATCTATGACCTTACCCCCAACCCTGTGCTCTCTGAAACATGTGCTGTGTCCACTCAGGGTTAAATGGATTAAGGGCTGTGCAAGATGTGCTTTGTTAAACAAATGCTTGAAGGCAGCATGCTCCTTAAGAGTCATCACCACTCCCTAATCTCAAGTACCCAGGGACACAAACACTGCGGAAGGCCGCAGGGACCTCTGCCTAGGAAAGCCAGGTATTGTCCAGGGTTTCTCCCCATGTGATAGCCTGAAATATGGTCTCATGGGAAGGGAAAGACCTGACCGTCCCTCAGCCCGACACCAGTAAAGGGTCTGTGCTGAGGCGGATTAGTAAAAGAGGAAGGAACACCTCTTTGCAGTTGAGACAAGAGGAAGGCATCTGTCTCCTGCTCGTCCCTGGGCAATGGAATGTATGGGTGTAAACCCCGATTGTATATTCCATATACTGAGATAGGGGAAAACCGCCTTAGGGCTGGAGGTGGGACATGCGGGCAGCAATACTGCTCCGTAAGGCATTGAGATGTTTATGTGTATGCATATCTAAAGCACAGCACTTAGTTCTTTACCTTGTCTATGATGCAGAGACCTTTGTTAACGTGTTTATCTGCTGACCTTCCCTCCACTATTATCCTATGACCCTGCCACATCCCCCTCTCTGAGAAACACCCCAAAATGATCAATAAATACTAAGGGAACTCAGAAGCTGGCGGGATCCTCCATATGCTGAATGCTGGTCCCCTGGGTCCCCTTATTTCTTTCTCTATACTTTGTCTGTGTCTCTTTCTTTTCCAAGTCTCTCCTTCCACCTAACGAGAAATGCCCACAGGTGTGGAGGGGCAACCCGCCCTTTCATATTTTAAAGGATACAAATGAACAGCCAAGGAAGAGATGCGTAGGGGGAGGTTTAGAGGAGTCCGAAGTGCAGGAGCTTCTGTCCCTGTGGACCTGGGGTGCACCACAGTCCTGGCACACGAATGCACCCGGGTTCACCAACCAGGAAGCTCTTCTGAACTCTTTCCTGGTTTTTTTTTTTTTTGAGACAGTCTAACTCCGTCACCCAGGCTGGAGTGCAGTGGCGCTATCTCAGCTCACTGCAGCCTCTGTCTCCTGCGTTCAAGTGATTCTCATGCCTCAGCCTCCTGAGTAGCTGGGTCTACAGGTGCACTCCACCACGCCTGGCTAATTTTTTATTTTTTGTAGAGCCAGGGTCTTGCTATTTTGTCCAGACTGGCCTAGAATTCTTGGGCTCAAGCAATCCTCCCATCTAGGCCTCCCAAAGCGTTGGGATTACGGGCATGAGCCACAGGACACCCGGCCCAAACCCTTTTCTTTTGGGGTTTATGGAGGATTCCTTAGGTGGGCAATGCTGATCACATAGCTGGCAGTTCATAATCAATTCAACCTTCAGCCCCTCTCCCCTCCCTGGAGGCCACTTGGAGCCTGGGGCTGAAAGTTCCCAATGTCTAATCACTGACGGTTTCTTTGGCAGCCAGTCCCTCGCACTTGTGGGGTTATCTAGGGGCTTTCCAAAAGTCACCTCATTTACATAAACTCAGGTGTGGTTGCAGGGCCTGGGTATGTATAACAAGAGATACCTCTTTCATGTTTATCTCTCCATAGCTGCTCTAGGACTAAAGGCCAAATGTTTTAACAAAATATACTCTCTCTCTCTTTTTGTCAGCTAGAATATAATTTATTTTTATTGTTTTTATTTTCTTTTTCTTCAGAGAGGGAGTCTCGCCATATTGCCCAGGCTGGTCTTGAACTCCTGGACTCAGGCAGTCCTCCCGCCTCAGCCTCCCAAAGTGCTGGGATTACATTCATGAACCACTGCGCCTGGCCATCTTTTTTTTTTTTTTTTAAAGATGGAGTCTCTGTCGCCCAGGCTGGAGCGCAGTGGTGCAATCTCGGCTCACGGCAACCTCCAACTCCCAGGTTCAATCAATTCTTACGCCTCAGCCTCCTGAGTAGCTGGGATTACAGGTGCACACCACCATGCCTGGCTAATTCTTTATTTTTAGTAGCCAGGGGTTTTTTGCCATGTTGCCCAGGTTGGTCTCGAACTGCTGACCTCAGATGATCCACCTGCCTCAGCCTTCCAAAGTGCAGGGATTACAGGTGTGAGCCACCATGCCAGGCCTCCATAGTGCCTATTTCTATAGATGGCATGCTGCAACTGATATATACATCTTCATTTGTGGGACCATTTGCTTCCATTAAATTAACAGTTTAAACTACCAAAATTCTGTGCTGAATGCTTTCCACAACATACACTGTTTTATTTAAAAACAATTTTAGGCCAGGTGCGGTGGCTCATGCCTGTAATCACCTGACATCAGGAGTTTGAGACCAGCCTGACCAATATGGTGAAACCCTGTCTCTACTAAAAATACAAAAAATTAGTTGGGCATGGTGGCATGTGCCTGCAGTCCCAGCTACTTGGGAAGCTGAGGCATCAGAATTGCTTGAACCTGGAAGGCAGAGGTTGCAAGAATGGAGATTGCACCACTGCACTCCAGCCTGGGCCACAGAGCAAGACTCCATCCAAAAAAAAAAATTAAATATCAGTTATCTATTTATTTTTTTGAGACTGGGTCTCACTCTGTGGCCTAGGCTGGAGTGAGATGGCCAGTCACAGCTCACTGCAGCCTCAAACTCCTGAGCTCAGGTGATCCTCCCACCTCAGCCTCCTGAATAGCTGGGATTACAGGTGCAGCCCATCATGTATGGCTAATTTTTTTGTTTTTGTTTTTGAGACAGTCTTGCTCTTGTCACCCAGGCTGGAGTGCAATGGCGTGATCGTGCCTCACTCACCCTCCACCTCCCTAGTTCAAGTGATTGTCCTGTCTCAGCCTCCCGAGTAGCTGGGATTACAGGCACCTGCCACCACACCTGGCTAATTTTTTGTATGTTTAGTAGAGACAGAGTTTCACCACGTTGGCCAGTCTGGTCTCCAACTCCTGACCTCAGGTGATCCACCCGCCTCGGCTTCCCAAATTGCTGGGACTACAGGCATGAGCTACCACGCCCAGCCTATGCATGGCTAATTATTAAATATTTTTGAAGAGATGGCATCTTGCTATGTTGCCTAGGCTGGTATCAAACTCCTGGCCCCTAGGGATCCACTGGCCTAGGCCTCTCAGCCTGCTGGGATTTATAGGCAGGAGGCACCACAGTTGGCCACAAAGTAGACTTATTGTATTTGTAACTTAGGAAGTCACGGGAGTTTTTGTCCTCTTTTTTTTTAATTTTTATTTATTTTTGTTTAATTTTTTTTCTCTACAAGAGTTTTTAAAGCTGGGAGCCAGGTACCCTGCAAAACCCAAAATGTGTATTTCCTGTTCTGTCGCCTATCACACCTGGCCCGGGTGGTCTAGGAAGGGAATTGCACATTAATCTCACCTGGGGAGATTCAGCAAGCCGTAATTCTCCAAAGCCCACTGAAGCCCAATTACAGCCAAATCCCTGAGGATGGGGCCCAGGTGATGTCAAGGTGAGCCTGAGGTCAGTGGTTGGGAGCCACCCAATGTTAATCTCAGTGGGGCGGTTCCACCCTGGGCGGGAAAGCTGTCTCTCCACCTAGCGTACCAAGGGCCAGAGACCTCCCCTTTTTATCCGTTTCCTTTGCAGGAAACACAGGCTGGAAGCAAGACCTGACCTGAGGGAGGTGAGTGCTGGTTCTTGCATCGATTTCTTTGTCTTCTCGTTTAAGGGAGAAGAAGCTATTGGTTGAGTTTCCACCATAGCCCTTCCCAAGCCTTAATGGTTGGTGCGAGGATGCTGGAAGGATCTTTGATTTTTTTTTTTTTGAGACGGAGTCTCCCTCTGTCGCCCAGGCTGGAGTGCAGTGGCGTGATCTTGGTTCGCTGCAAACTCCGCCTCCTGGGTTCACCCGCCATTCTCCTGCCTCAGCCTCCTGAGTAGCTGGGACTACAGGCACGTGCCACCATGCCCAGCTAATTTTTGTATTTTTAGTAGAGACGGGGTCTCACCATGTTGGCCAGGCTGGTCTTGAACTCCTGACTTTAGGTAATCTGTCTGCCTCGGCCTCCCAAAGTGCTGGGATTCCAGGTGTGAGCCACCACGCCTGGCCTAATGTCTTAAGGACTTCTATTCAAATATAGTTTAGAGGAGTTCAGGAGATTGAGACTAGCCTGGGCAACATGGTAAAACTCTGTCATTACAAAAAAATATAAGGCCAGGCACAGTGGTTCATGCCTGTTATCCCAACACTTTGGGAGGCCGAGGCGGGTGGATCACTTGAGGCCAGAAGTTTGAGACCAGCCTGCCCAAAATGGTGAAACCCTGTCTCTACTAAAAACACAAAAATTAGCCAGGTGTGGTGGTGCATGCCTGTAATCCCAGTTACTTGGAAGGTTGAGGCAGGAGAATAGCTTAAACCTAGGAGGGGGAGGTTGCAATGAGCTGAGATCGCGCCACTGCACTCCAGCCTGGGAGACAGAGTGCGACTCCGTCTCAAAAAACAAAGAAGGCCAGACCTTGTGCTGTGTCCAAGCTACTTGTGGGGTGAGGTGGGAGGATCACCTGAGCCAGGAGGTGGGGGCTGCAATGAGGTGTGATTGAGCCACTGCACTCCAGCCTGGATGAGATGAAGACCCTGTTTAAAAAAAAAAAAAAGTAGGCTGGGCGCGGTGGCTCACGCCTGTAATCCCAGCACTTTCAGATCACCTGAGGCCGGGAGTTTGAGACCAGCCTGACCAACATGGAGAAACCCCATCTCTACTAAAAATACAAAATTAGCTGGGCGTGGTGGCACATGCCTGTAATCCCAGCTACTCGGGAGGCTGAGGCAGGAGAATCACTTGAACCCGGGAGGCGGAGGTTGCGGTGAGCTGAGATTGCGCCACTGCACTCCAGCCTGGGCAACCAGAGTGAAATGCTGCATCAAAAAAAAAAAAAAATGTAAATGGCCAGATGCGGTGGCTCACGCCTGTGATCCCAGCACTTTGGGAGGCCGAGGCGGGTGGATCAGCTGAGGTCAGGAGTTCGAGGCCAGCCTGGCCAACATAGAGAAACCCTGTCTCGGCCGGGCGCGGTGGCTCACGCCTGTAATCCCAGCACTATGGGAGGCCGAGGCGGGCGGATCACGAGGTCAGAAGATCGAGACCATCCTGGCTAACACGGTGAAACCCCATCTCTACTAAAAATACAAAAAAAATTAGCTGGGCATAGTGGCGGGCGCCTGTAGTCCCAGCTACTTGGGAGGCTGAGGCAGGAGAATGGCGTGAACCTGGGAGGCGGAGCTTGCAGTGAGCCCAGATCGCGCCACTGCACTCCAGCCTGGGTGACAGAGCAAGACTCCATCTCAGAAAAAAACAAGAAACCCTGTCTCTACTAAAAATACAAAAACTAGCCCGGCGTGATGCGGTGCGCCTGTAATCCCAGCTTCTTGAGAGGCTGAGGCACTAGAATCACTTGAACCTGGGAGGTGGAGGTTGCAGTGAGTCGAGATTGTGCCACTGCACTCCAGCCTGGGCAACAGAGGGAGACTCCATCTCAAAAAAAAGAAAAAAAGAAAAAAATGTACTTGGGAAAAAAAATACTTGGCCAGGCCTGGTGGCTCATACCTGTAATCCCAGCACTTTGGGAGGCTGAGGTGGGCAGATCACCTGAGGTCAGGAGTTCAAGACCAGCCTGGCCAACATGGTGAAACCCCGTTTGTACTAAAAATACAAAAAAAATTAGGTGTGGTGGGGCATACCTGTAATCCCAGCTACTTGGGAGGCCGAGGCAGGAGAATCGCTTGAACCCGGGAAGAGGAGGTTGTGGTAAGCCTCGCACCATTGCACTCCAGCCTGGGCGACAGAGCAAGACTTTCTGAAAAAGAAAAAAAAAACCCTGAATTTTTCTTTTCTTTTCTTTTTTTTTTTTTTTTTGAGAGGGAGTCTCACTCGCCCAGGCTGGAGTGCAGTGGCGCGATCTTGGCTCACTGCAAGCTCCGCCTCCCAGGTTCAAGCCATTCTCCTGCCTCAGCCTCCCAAGTAGCTGGGACTACAGGCGCCCGCCACCATGCCCGGCTAATTTTTTTTTTGTATTTTTAGTAGAGACGGGGTTTCACCGTGTTAGCCAGGATGGTCTTGAGCTCCTCACCTTGTGATCTGCCCGCCTCGGCCTCCCATAGTGCTGGGATTACAGGCGTGAGCCACCGTGCCTGGCCAAAAAACCCTGAATTTTTCTAAGTACATCAAGCGTTGTCACTGCAAAAACGAAAGGCAACTATATGAAGCAGTGGATATGTTAATTAGCTGGATTGTGGTAATCATTTCACTGTATATATAACATCGCTCCATGCTGTACACTTTGACAAGTAAACGTTGTATATATTACTTTAAAAATACTTAAAAAATAGAGACAAGGTCTCCTTGTGTCGCCCAGGCTGGTCTGGAACTCCTGGGCTCTCATGCTCTTCCTGCTCCATCCTAAAATAGGATATATGTAATTATACCTCACTGAAGGGGTGGCCTGCCCCTCCACACCTGTGGGTGTTTCTTGTCAGGTGGGACGAGAGACTGAGAAAAGAAAGAGACACAGAGACAAAGTACACAGAAAGAAAAGTGGGCTCAGGAGACCCGCGCCGGCCGGGTCTCTGAGTTCCTTCAGTATTTATTGGTCATTATCTCTACCATCTCGGAGACGGGGATGTGGCAGGACAATAGGGTAACAGTGGGGAGAGGGTCAGCAGGAAAACATGTGAGCAAATGTCTGTGTCATAAACAAGGTTAGGAAATGTGCTGTGCCTTGATGTGCTCATACATAAACATATCTGGTGCATTAAAGAGCAGTATTGCTGCCAGCATGTGTCACCTCCAGCCCTAAGGCGGTTTTCCCCTATCTCGGTGGATGGAACATACCATCGGGTTTTACACCGAGACATTCCATTGCCCAGGGACGAGCAGGAGACAGATACCTTCCTCTTAACTGCAAAAAGGCCTTCCTCTTATACTAATCCTCTTCAGCACAGACCCTTTACGGGTGTCGGGCTGGGGTACGGTCTGGTCTTTCCCTTCCCACGAGGCCTTATCTCAGGCTATCACATGGGGAGAAACTTTGGACAATACCTGGCTTTTCTAGGCAGAGGTCCCTGCAGCCTTCCGCAGTGTATTGTGTCCCTGGGTGCTTGAGATTAGAGAGTGGTGATGACTTTTAACAAGCATGCTGCCTTCAAGCATCTGTTTAACAAAGCACATCCTGCATAGCCCTAAACCCACGTGTGACACAGCACATGTTTCTGGGAGCACAGGGTTGGGGCTAGGGTTACAGGTTAACAGCATCTCAAGGCAGAAGAATTTTTCTTAGTACAGAACAAAATGGAGTCTCTTATGTCTATTTCTTTCTACATAGACACAGTAACAGTCTGATCTGTCCTCCTTTTCCCCACACGTCACAGCTGGGGAAAAAGATTTGCTGTTCCCTCCAAGGGTAAAGCTGTCCACCTCTATCAGCACCCGGGCTTGGCAAGTCACTTTTTCTGTTATTTATTTTCCAGGCTGCCTCTTCCCCCCGCCCCCCCAACCCAGACGGAGTCTCGCTCTGTCGCCCAGGCTGGAGTGCGGTGGCGCGATCTCCGCTCACTGCAAGCTCCGCCTCCCGGGTTCCCGCCATTCTCCTGCCTCAGCCTCCCGAGTAGCTGGGACTACAGGCGCCCGCCACCACGCCCGGCTAATTGTTTGTATTTTTAGTAGAGACGGGGTTTCACCGTGTTAGCCAGGATGGTCTCGATCTCCTGACCTCGTGATCCGCCTGCCTCGGCCTCCCAAAGTGCTGGGATTACAGGCGTGAGCCACCGCACCCGGCCATTAGTTACTTACTTTTGAGACAGGGCCTCACTCTGTCACCCAGGCTGGCGTGCAGTGGCTGGCTCACTGCAACCTCCAAATCGTAGGCTCAAACAATCCTCCTGTGTCAGCCTCCCAAGTATCTGGGACTACGGGTATGTTCCACCAGGCCTGGCTAAGTTTTTTTTTTTTGAGATAGAGTTTCGCTCTTGTTGCCCAGGCTGGAGTACAATGGCGCTATCTCAGCTCACTGCAACCTCCGCCTCCTGGGTTCAAGCGATTCTCCTGCCTCAGCCTCCCACGTACCTGGGATTACAGGTTCCTACCACTACACTTGGCTAGCTTTTGTATTTTTAGTAGAGATGGGGTTTCACCATGTGGGCCAGGCGGGTCTCAAACTCCTGACATCAGGCGATCCACCTGCCTCAGCCTCCCAAAGTGCTGGGATTCCAGGCCTGAGCCACCATACCCGGCCAGTACAGTTATATTTATATCTGTCCTCTTGCTATTTGTTTTCAATGTGTCATTCAGTGGTGGGCTGAAATGTTAAACAAGTGGCTCTGAGGGTTGGTGGCGAGGAAGTCTTGGTTTGTAGTGTTTGCTGATTTGTTTTTTTGTTTGTTTGAGACAGAGTCTTGTTCTTGTTGCCGAGGCTCGAGTGCAATGGCGTGATCTCAGATCATGCAACCTCCACCTCCCAGGTTCAAGTGTGATTCTCCTGTCTCGGCCTCCTGAGTAGCTGGGATTACAGGCACCCGCCTGTAATTTCTGTATTTTTAGTAGAGATGGGGTTTCGCCGTGTTGGTCAGGCTGGTCTTGAGCTCCCGACCTCAGGTTATCCACCCGCCTTGGCCTCCCAAAGTGCTGGGATTACAGGCGTGAGCCACCGCGCCCTGCCGTGTTTGCTGATTTCTGTGGCATAAACACTCCCCTTGTGATTTTGTACTATCAGTGTGAAATCACAGCCCATGGACGTTGGTATAGGTACATATAGGAAGCCCCCATTAGGCAGCACGGGCTGGCCCTAGCATACCACTGACCCTTCATTCTTTGTATTCTTTTTTTTTTTTTTTTTTTTTTTTTTGAGACGGAGTCTCGCTCTGTCGCCCAGGCTGGAGTGCAATGGTGAGATCTCTGCTCACTGCAAGCTCCACTTCCCGGGTTCACACCATTCTCCTGCCTCAGCCTCCCGAGTAGCTGGGACTACAGGTGCCCGCCACCACGCCCTGCTAATTTTTTGTATTTTTTTAGTAGAGGCAGGGGTTTCACTGTGTTAGCCAGGATGGTCTCGATCTCCTGATATCGTGATCCATCCGCCTCGGCCTCCCAAAGTGCTGGGATTACAGGCGTGAGCCACCGTGCCCAGCCTTTTGTTCGTTCTTTTTACCAAGTTAGCCAGGCTGGTCTCGAACTCCTGGCCGCAGGCGTGAGCCACCGTGCTGGGCCAGATTTTCAGTCTCTTAATTCAGTCTTTGGAATATTTTACCACTCACTGTACAGCAGGAACAGTCTTGTTCTTGGCACACAGGAAACTGTGGTTTCATTTAATGATGGTAACTCGTGAACTGTTTTTCCTTTTTTCCCCCCAGTTCTTCAGCCTTAACCTAAGGTCTCATACTCGGAGCACTATGACATCGCCCCAGCTAGAGTGGACTCTGCAGACCCTTCTGGAGCAGCTGAACGAGGATGAATTAAAGAGTTTCAAATCCCTTTTATGGGCTTTTCCCCTCGAAGACGTGCTACAGAAGACCCCATGGTCTGAGGTGGAAGAGGCTGATGGCAAGAAACTGGCAGAAATTCTGGTCAACACCTCCTCAGAAAATTGGATAAGGAATGCGACTGTGAACATCTTGGAAGAGATGAATCTCACGGAATTGTGTAAGATGGCAAAGGCTGAGATGATGGGTAAGTAGAACCTGGGGTGTCCTGGTCATTTTTTTTTTTTTTTTTTTTTTTTTGAGATGGAGTCTCGTTCTGTCGCCCAGGCTGGAGTGTAAGGCTGGAGTGCAGTGGCGAGATCTGGGCTCACTGCAACCTCCGCCTCTGGGTTCAAGTGATTCTCCTATCTCAGCCTCCGGAGTAGCTGGGATTACAGGCGTGTTTCACCACACCTGGCTAATTTTTTTTTTTTTGTATTTTTAGTAGAGATGGGGTTTTGCCATGTTGGCCAGGCTGGTCTTGATCTCCTGACCTTGTGATCCGCCCACCTCAGCCTTCCAAAGTGCTGTGATTACAGGCATGAGCCACCATGCCTGGCTGACACTTTATGTACAATAATGTCTGATTTACGAAGTGTAAATTACTGTGTCAGGCTTACATCTAAGTATTTTACAGAGGACGGACAGGTGCAAGAAATAGATAATCCTGAGCTGGGAGATGCAGAAGAAGACTCGGAGTTAGCAAAGCCAGGTGGGTAAATACGGTCCTATGGTCATGAGTTTGGTGTTTGAGAGCATGCAAGGTGCATCACTTCTTCCTGGTTTTATTCATTTCTGGTAGTTTTTTTTTTTTTTGAGACGGAATCTTGCTCTGTAGCCCAGGCTGGAGTGTAGTGGCTCCGTCTCTGCTCATTGCAACCTCTGCCTCCCGGGTTCAAGCAATTCTCTGCCTCAGCCTCCTGAGTAGCCGGGATTACAGGCGGCCGCCACTACCCCCAGCTAATGTTTTGTATTTTTAGTAGAGATGGGGTTTCACTATCTTGGCCAGGCTGGTCTTGAACTCCTGACCTCAAGTGATCCACCCACCTTGGCCTCCCAAAGTGCCGGGATTACAAGCATGAGACACCGTGCCTGGCCCTCATTTCTGGTACTTGACAAAATAATTCAGAAAATCATCATCATCAACCTCAACTGTCCTATGGGCTGTCACTGCAGGTGAAAAGGAAGGATGGAGAAATTCAATGGAGAAACAGTCTTTGGTCTGGAAGAACACCTTTTGGCAAGGAGACATTGACAATTTCCATGACGACGTCACTCTGAGAAACCAACGGTTCATTCCATTCTTGAATCCCAGAACACCCAGGAAGCTAACACCTTACACGGTGGTGCTGCACGGCCCCGCAGGCGTGGGGAAAACCACGCTGGCCAAAAAGTGTATGCTGGACTGGACAGACTGCAACCTCAGCCCGACGCTCAGATACGCGTTCTACCTCAGCTGCAAGGAGCTCAGCCGCATGGGCCCCTGCAGTTTTGCAGAGCTGATCTCCAAAGACTGGCCTGAATTGCAGGATGACATTCCAAGCATCCTAGCCCAAGCACAGAGAATCCTGTTCGTGGTCGATGGCCTTGATGAGCTGAAAGTCCCACCTGGGGCGCTGATCCAGGACATCTGCGGGGACTGGGAGAAGAAGAAGCCGGTGCCCGTCCTCCTGGGGAGTTTGCTGAAGAGGAAGATGTTACCCAGGGCAGCCTTGCTGGTCACCACGCGGCCCAGGGCACTGAGGGACCTCCAGCTCCTGGCGCAGCAGCCGATCTACGTAAGGGTGGAGGGCTTCCTGGAGGAGGACAGGAGGGCCTATTTCCTGAGACACTTTGGAGACGAGGACCAAGCCATGCGTGCCTTTGAGCTAATGAGGAGCAACGCGGCCCTGTTCCAGCTGGGCTCGGCCCCCGCGGTGTGCTGGATTGTGTGCACGACTCTGAAGCTGCAGATGGAGAAGGGGGAGGACCCGGTCCCCACCTGCCTCACCCGCACGGGGCTGTTCCTGCGTTTCCTCTGCAGCCGGTTCCCGCAGGGCGCACAGCTGCGGGGCGCGCTGCGGACGCTGAGCCTCCTGGCCGCGCAGGGCCTGTGGGCGCAGATGTCCGTGTTCCACCGAGAGGACCTGGAAAGGCTCGGGGTGCAGGAGTCCGACCTCCGTCTGTTCCTGGACGGAGACATCCTCCGCCAGGACAGAGTCTCCAAAGGCTGCTACTCCTTCATCCACCTCAGCTTCCAGCAGTTTCTCACTGCCCTGTTCTACGCCCTGGAGAAGGAGGAGGGGGAGGACAGGGACGGCCACGCCTGGGACATCGGGGACGTACAGAAGCTGCTTTCCGGAGAAGAAAGACTCAAGAACCCCGACCTGATTCAAGTAGGACACTTCTTATTCGGCCTCGCTAACGAGAAGAGAGCCAAGGAGTTGGAGGCCACTTTTGGCTGCCGGATGTCACCGGACATCAAACAGGAATTGCTGCAATGCAAAGCACATCTTCATGCAAATAAGCCCTTATCCGTGACCGACCTGAAGGAGGTCTTGGGCTGCCTGTATGAGTCTCAGGAGGAGGAGCTGGCGAAGGTGGTGGTGGCCCCGTTCAAGGAAATTTCTATTCACCTGACAAATACTTCTGAAGTGATGCATTGTTCCTTCAGCCTGAAGCATTGTCAAGACTTGCAGAAACTCTCACTGCAGGTAGCAAAGGGGGTGTTCCTGGAGAATTACATGGATTTTGAACTGGACATTGAATTTGAAAGGTAAGAACTGTTTTCCCATCCCACGCTCCACTAGGAAGAGGCCAGCGTCTCCTTTGCCCTGTCGCTTACTGTCAGAATTTCCCTCTGGCTGGACTTCTTTCCAGCTTCATGTTCAACGTGGAGACACGACTTGGCAATTAGGAATTGGGGCTTTTTATTTTTGAGACGGAGTCTCGCTCTGTCCCCCAGGCTGGAGTGCAGTGGCGCGATCTTGGCTCACTGCAACCTCCGCCTCCCGGGTTCAAGTGATTCTCCTGCCTCAGCCTCCCGAGTAGCTGGGACTATGGGCGTGCACCACCTTGCCCGGTTAATTATTTTATTTTTTTGTAGAGATGGGGGTCTCAGTTTCTAGCCCAAGTTGGTCTTAAACTCCTGGGCTCAAGTGATCTTCCCACTTTGGCCTAGCAAAGTGTTGGGATTACAGGCATGAGCCACCTCACTCAGCCTTATCTATTATTTTATTTTTTTTGTAAAACTTAAGATCTATACTGGTAGCAAAGCATGTGATGCAATATTGTTTACTATAGACACTGTTTTAGGTTGGTGCAAAAGTAATTGTGGTTTTTGCCATTGAAATGTGGTTTGCAGATGCCCATCTCACCATGCAGGTACTAGTCCTAAGAGATGAACGTGTGTTCTCCTGCAGGTGCACTTACCTAACCATTCCGAACTGGGCTCGGCAGGATCTTCGCTCTCTTCGCCTCTGGACAGATTTCTGCTCTCTCTTCAGCTCAAACAGCAACCTCAAGTTTCTGGAAGTGAAACAAAGCTTCCTGAGTGACTCTTCTGTGCGGATTCTTTGTGACCACGTAACCCGTAGCACCTGTCATCTGCAGAAAGTGGAGTAAGTAGAAGCTCATCTTGCAAGGAAGACCCTGAACGATGACTAAGCTTCTTGTACTTTTGTTTTTTAAATTTGGAAATGTGCTGTTTCATCTCCATGTATTTGGGGATTTTCCAGCTGTCTTTTTTTTTTTTTTTTTTTTTGGTGAGACGGAGATTTACTCTTGTTGCCCAGGCTGGAGTGCAATGGCGCGATCTCAGCTCACTGCATCCTCCACCTCCCAGGTTCAAGCAATTCTCCTGCCTCAGCCTCCCGAGTAGCTGGGATTACAGGCATGTGCCACCTTGCCCGGCTAATTTTGTACTTTTAGCACAGACAGGTTTTCACCGTGTTGCCCAGGCTGATCTCGAGCTCCTGACCTCAGGTGATTTGCCTGCCTCGGCCTTCCAAAGTGCTGGGATTATAGGCATGAGCCGCTGCACCTGGCCCCTTTTTTATTTTTTATTTTTTCTGAGACAGAGTTTCACTCTGTCACCTAGGCGCTGGAGTGCAATGACTTAATCTTGTGTTTTTAGTAGAGGTGGAATTTTCTCCATCTTGGCCAGGCTTGTCTCGAACTCCTGACCTAAGGTGATGCGCCTGCCTCGGTCTTCGAAAGTGCTGGGATTACAGGCATGAGCCACCATGCCTGGCCCCAGCTATCTTTTTTTTGGTTTGTTTTGTTACCAAAACAAACCAAAAAGTAGGTACAAGTACAGGTTAGTTACACAGGTAACCGTGTGTCATAGGAGTTTGTTGTACAGATTATTTTGTCACCCAAGTATTAAGCCTAGTACCCCTTAGTTGTTTTTCCTGATCCTCTGCTTCTTGACTTTTTTTTTTTTTTTTGAGACAGTCTCGCTATGTTCCCCAGGCTGGAGTGCAGTGCAGCAATCTCGGCTCACTGCAAGCCCTGCCTCCCGGGTTCATGCCATTCTCCTGCCTCAGCCTCCCGAGTAGCTGGGACTACAGGCGCCCGCCACCACGCCCGGCTAGTTTTTTGTAATTTTAGTAAAGACGGGGTTTCACCGTGTTAGCCAGGATGGTCTTGATCTCCTGACCTCGTGATCCACCCGCCTCGGCCTCGGCCTCCCAAAGTGCTGGGATTACAGGCGTGAGCCACCACACCCGGCGAATTTTTTTTTCTTTTGAGATGGAGTCTTGCTCTGTTGCCCAGGCTGGAGTGCAGTGGTGCGGTCTCGGCTCACTGCAACCTCTGCCTCCTGGATTCAAGTGATTCTCCTACCTCAGCCTCCCGAATACCTGGGACTACAAGCATGCCCCTCCATGTGCAGCTAATTTTTGTATTTTTAGTAGAGACGGGGCTTCCCCATGTTGGCCAGGCTGGTCTCGAACTCCTGACCTCAGGCGATCTGCCTGCCTCGGCCCCAGCTAATTTATTTTTTGTAGAGATGGAGTTTCACCATGTTGCCCAGGTTGGTCTCAGACTCCTGACCTCAGGTTATCCTCCTGCCTCAGCCTCCCAAAGTGCTGGGGTTACAGACACGAGCCACTGCACCCGGCCAAGAACTTCTAATAATTTCTAAATGTGAAACAGCTTTTTGTTTATACATGCCTCCACACAATGTGAGTATTAATCACTCCAAGTGGAATCTCTTCTGCTTTTCCCTAGGATTAAAAACGTCACCCCTGACACCGCGTACCGGGACTTCTGTCTTGCTTTCATTGGGAAGAAGACCCTCACGCACCTGACCCTGGCAGGGCACATCGAGTGGGAACGCACGATGATGCTGATGCTGTGTGACCTGCTCAGAAATCATAAATGCAACCTGCAGTACCTGAGGTGGGTCTCACGGTCACGGCTCTCCCCAGCACCTGGAGTCCACTGCACCGTGTTGCTGGGGGATCTAGGAAAAAGGGTAACCACTCCAGATGCCGTCCCAGACAGGGAATGTATTCCTCAAACAGGCCTGTGTGGGGGAGTCGGCCTCTCCTCTTTCCCCCACCAGCTTGTCTTCTGTGTTGCATAACCAGCTATCCATGCAAAGAAACACCCCGAATTCTGTGCTGGGTTCCAGCTTTAGGGACATGCTATTCCTGACTGCACCTTGCCTAATTGTTGGGATTGAGAGCAGTGGCCCCCAGCCTTTTCTGCACCGCGGGCCGGTTTTGCACAAGACAGTTTTTTCCACAGACGGGTTTGGGGGTAGTTTTGGGATGAAACTGTTCGATCTCAGATCAGGCACAGGAGCTAATCGTTGGTGCCTGATCCTATGGAGTGCATGATCCTCGCACTTTGGGAGCCTGAGGAGAATGGATCATCAATCTCAGATCATCAGGAGTTAGGTATTCATAAGGAGCATGCAACCTTCTCTGCACTCAATGAGAATCTTTTTTTTTTTTTTTTTTCTTTGAGACAGTTTTATTCTTGTCACCCAGGCTGGAGCGCAGTGGCGCGATCTCGTTCACTGCAACCTCCGCCTCCTGGGTTCAAGCAGTTCTGCCTCAGCTTCCCGAGTAGCTGGGGTTACAGGCGTGCACCACCACGCCTGGCAAATGTTTGTATTTTTAATAGAGACAGGGTTTCACCATGTTGGCCAGGCTGGTCTCGAACTCCTGACCTCAAGTGATCCGCCTGTCTCGGCCTCCCAAAGTGCTAGGATTACAGGCATGAACCACTGCGCCTGGCCAGGATAAAATTTTTATTTTGAGTATTAAGCATCAATTTGCCCCTTCTAGTCCCAGCTACAGTGGATGCTGAGGTGGGAGGATCATTTGAGCCCAGGAGACAGGTTGTGGTGACCTGTGATCATGCCACTGCACTCCAGCCTGGGCAACAGAGCGAGATCCTGTCTCAAAAAAAAAATTTTTTTTTCCCCCCTGCAAAATCATCCACACAGGCCGTTTTGGTGAAACATTGCACAGAATTGTATTACAATCTCTTGGAGAAGTGGCTGGATGTTACCCTAATGGCCATGGGGATACTTGAAGAAGCAGAGGCAACATTAGATCTCTCCAGTAATTCAGGCCAGGGTTGGAGGCATGAGTAGAATGAGATAAACCAAAGACATAATGTCTTGGGAAGTGAAGCAGAAGAAGCTGATCTGGGCCAGGCGCGGTGGCTCACACCTGTAATCCCAGTACTTCGGTAGGCCAAGGTGGGTGGATCACCTGAGGTCAGGAGTTCAAGACCAGTGTGGCCAACATGGTGAAATCCCGTCTCTACTAAAAATACAAAAATTGGCGAATGCCTGTAATCCCAGCTACTTCGGAGGCTGAGGCAGGAGAATAGCTTGAACCCGGGAGGCGGAGGCTGCAGTGAGGTGAGATCACGCCTTTGCATTCCAGACTGGGCAACAGAGTGAAACTCTGTCTCAAAAAAAAAAAGCTGATAGGGTATACTCTGTCCTCCCAGAAGAATGACTTTTCCCACTCTTTTCACAGGTTGGGAGGTCACTGTGCCACCCCGGAGCAGTGGGCTGAATTCTTCTATGTCCTCAAAGCCAACCAGTCCCTGAAGCACCTGCGTCTCTCAGCCAATGTGCTCCTGGATGAGGGTGCCATGTTGCTGTACAAGACCATGACACGCCCAAAACACTTCCTGCAGATGTTGTCGTAAGTCTCCTCTTCCCATGGGCAGCTCTGGTTTAGTTCTGGGGCTATAGAAGAGAAAGGGTAACACCTGACTTACTGCGCCACCCACGTGGCGCCTCTTGCTGAAATAAACACCTGCTTCAGGCCCGGCACGGTGGCTCCTGCCTGTAATCTCAGCAGAGAGGTGGGCGGATCATCTGAGTTCAGGAGTTCGAGACCAACCTGGCCAACATGGTGAAACCCTGTTTCTATTAAAAATACCAAAAACAGGCCGGGTGCGGTGGCTCATGCCTGTAATCCCAGCACGTTGGGAGGCCAAGGCGGGGAGATCACGAGGTCAAGAGATCGAGACCATCCTGGCTAACATGGTGAAACCCCGTCTCTACTAAAAAATACAAAAAATTATCCAGGTGTGGTGGGCGCCTGTAGTCCCAGCTACTCAGGAGGCTGAGTCAGCAGAATGGTGTAAACCTGGGAGGCGGCGATTGGCAGTGAACCGAGATCGCGCCACTGCACTCCAGCCTGGGCGACAGAGCGAGACTCCGTCTCAAAAACAACACCTGTGTCCTGTGATGGCTCCAGGTGGACCGCTGCATCTTGGCCTTCTCGCCTTCCTGCTCTTTTGTGGCCATGATGACTCCCACAGGACAGAGGGCAGGGGATGAACAGGAAGGGCTGAAGCTGAGTACCCTAGCATGTGGACATCACTGAGCAGGTTGGAGTTGTGGAAATGTTCTCATCCTTCTACCATTTGTTTCATATTTTTGCAGGTTGGAAAACTGTCGTCTTACAGAAGCCAGTTGCAAGGACCTTGCTGCTGTCTTGGTTGTCAGCAAGAAGCTGACACACCTGTGCTTGGCCAAGAACCCCATTGGGGATACAGGGGTGAAGTTTCTGTGTGAGGGCTTGAGTTACCCTGATTGTAAACTGCAGACCTTGGTGTAAGTCCCTGCTGGGTGTGTGTGTGTGTGCACATGAATTCAAGCAGGAGAGACATGAAAGTACTTGTTAATTCATTTCAAATGTAACTTTTAAAAACCTGGTAAGAATTAAAGAACAGGCAGAGGCCAGGCGTGGTGGCTCATGCCTGTAATCCCAGCACTTTGGGAGGCCGAGGCGGGTGGATCATGAGGTCAGGAGATGGAGACCATCCTGGTTAACATGGTGAAACCCTGTCTGTACTAAAAATACCAAAAATTAGCCAGGTGTGGTGGCGGATGCCTGTAGTCCCAGCTACTTGGGAGGATGAGACAGGAGAATGGCGTGAACCTGGAAGGCGGAGGTTGCAGTGAGCCGAGATCGCACCACTGCACTCCAGCCTGGGCGACAGAACAAGACTCCTTCTCAAAAAAACAAAGAAACAAAAAAAACCAGGCAGATACAGGTAGAAACATGTTAATATTTGCATGTCAGCAGAGCCTCTTCCTGCTATGAAGGAAGATTTGAGATGAGTAGTTGGTTCTCGGATCTGATGCTTTGTGTGTGTTCTTTCAAATTCCTATGACATAGTACTGCCTGCTATTGGAGGTAGATTGAGTTATGTGGTAGGGCCAGTGGCACCTTTTTTTAAACTTTTATTTCCATAGGTTATTGGGGAACAGGTGGTGAATGGTGGGCAGATCACCTAAGGTTCGAGACCAGCCTGGCCAACATGGTGAAAACCCATCGCTACTAAAAAATACAAAAATTAACCAGGCTTGGTGGTGCGTGCCTATAGTACCAGCTACTCAGAAGGCTGAGGTAGGAGAATCGCTTGAATCTGGGAGGCAGAGGCTGCAGTGAGCTGAGATGGTGCC
This sequence comes from Homo sapiens, assembly GCF_000001405.40. Taxonomy (NCBI): domain Eukaryota; kingdom Metazoa; phylum Chordata; class Mammalia; order Primates; family Hominidae; genus Homo; species Homo sapiens. The sequence continues at coordinate 577,915 of NW_003571055.2, read as the reverse complement.
ACTGCACTCCAGCCCGGGCGACAGAGTGAGACTCCGTCTCAAGAAAAAAACAAAAAAAAACTCAACAAAAATCCTTATTTGTAAAAGACATAGGTGGCAGGTTGGAATTGACCCACGAACTATAGTTGGCTGAATCTTGTTATATGGAAAGAAGCCCAGCGTGAGCTACCTGTTCACATTAAAATTATGGTTAGAAAAATATTCAAGAGATTGCATAGGGTTGAAGACCTGTTCCTGTTCAGAAATTCTAGCTAGTGGTCATTTCTGAGATTCATTTTTTTTTTTTTGGATGAAGTCTCACTCTGTCGCCCAGACTGGAATGCAGTGGTGTAATCTTGGCTGACTGCAACTTCTGCCTCCCAGGTTCAAGCGATTCTCCTGCCTCAGCCTCCCAAGTAGCTGGGATTACAGGTGCCCTCCACCATGCCTGGCTAATTTTTGCACTTTTAGTGGAGATGAGGTTTCACCATGTTGGCCAGGCTGGTCTTGAACTCCTGGCCTTAAGTGATCTGCCTGCCTCGGCCTCCCAAAGTGCTGGCGTTCCAGGCATTAGCCACTGTGCCTGGCTTAGAATAACTATTGTTAAACAAACAGTCACCTACCTGATCGTTATACGAAGTGTACCTGCACCAAAACATCACACTATACCCCTATATACGTAGAATGTGTCAGTTAAAGACAAAACTTAAACATGAAATAAAATGACAGGGAAAGTGAAATTTCCATAATCTAACCACGCAGAAAATAAGTGACCCAGGGCTCAGATCCTGTCCTGGGTCGGTCTGAACCCAGAGCCTAAGCTGTTGTCCCAGGCAGAGCTGGAAATGGATGGAATCAGAAGGCCATTTGGATGTTTTTTTTTTTTTTTTAACAGTCTCTCTCTGTCACCAGGCTGGAGTGCAGTGGTGCGATCTTGGCTCACTGCAACCTCCGCTTCCTGGGTTCAAGTAATTCTCCTACCTCAGCCTCCTGAGTAGCTAGGATTACAGGCATGGGCCGCCACACCTGGCTAATTTTTTTTTTTTTTTGAGATGGAGTTTCGCTCTTCTTGCCCAGGCTGGAGTGCAATGGTGCAATCTCTGCTCACCACAACCTCCGTCTCCCCAGTTCAAGAGATTCTCCTGCCTCAGCCTCCTGAGTAGCTGGGATTACAGGCATGTGCCACCACACCTGGCTAATTTTGTATTTTTAGTAGAGACGGGTTTCTCCATATTGCTTAGGCTGGTCTTGAACTCCCGACCTCAGGTGATCTGTCTGCCTCAGCCTCCCAAAGTGCTGAGATTACAGGTGTGAGCCATCGTGCCCAGCTAATTTTTGTATTTAGTAAAGATGGGGTTTCACCACTTTGGCCAGGCTGGTCTTGAACTCCTGATCTTGTGATTCACCCACCTTGGTCTCCCAAAGTGCTGAGATTACAGGTTTGAGCCACCGCGCCCGGCCCGATTTTTGTATTTTTTAGTAGAGATGGGGTTTCACCATGTTGGCCAGGCTGGTCTTGAACTCCTGACCTCAAATGATCTGCCCGTCTTGGCCTCCCACTGCTGTGATTATAGGCGTGAGCCACTGTGCCCGGCCCATTTGCATGCTTTTATGTGCAAGCCCACCTGGAAGTATATAGCTCCAGTTCATGGGTCAATTCCTACCTGCCACCTATGTTTTATATAAATACTTTTTGTTGTTGTTGTTTTTTTCTTGAGACGGAGTCTCGCTCTGTCGCCCGGGCTGGAGTGCAGTGGCGCGATCTCAGCTCACTGCAGCCTCTGCCTCCCGGATTCAAGCGATTCTCCTGCCTCAGTCTTCTGAGGAGCTGGCACTACAGGCGTGCACCACCAAGTCTGGTTATATAGGTGGCGGGCACCTATAATCCCAGCTACTTGGGAGGCTGAGGCAGAAGAATCGCTTGAACCTGGGAGGCAGAGGTTGCAGTGAGCCAAGAGTGCAGCACTGCATTCCAGTATATAAGTGGAAGGTATATAGTGTTGGAAATAACTGCTTCACAGGGCGTTAGCCAGAGGGATAACAGGCTTCTCTTCCTTTGATTATCCTGTAGGTTACAGCAATGCAGCATAACCAAGCTTGGCTGTAGATACCTCTCAGAGGCGCTCCAAGAAGCCTGCAGCCTCACAAACCTGGACTTGAGTATCAACCAGATAGCTCGTGGATTGTGGATTCTCTGTCAGGCGTTAGAGAATCCAAACTGTAACCTAAAACACCTACGGTAGGCGATTTTCTTTTTCTTCTTTCTTTCTTTTTTTGAGACAGGGTCTTGCTCTGTCCCCCAGCCTGGAGTGCAGTGGGGTGATTACGGCTCACTGTGGCTTCGGTCTTCCAGGCTTGATCAGTCCTCCCACCTCAGCCTCCTGAGTAGCTGGCTCTACAGGCATGTATTACCATGGCCAGGTAACTGTTTTCTGTAGAGATGAGGTCTTGTCATCTTTCCCAGGCTGGTTTTGAATTCTGGTGCTCAAGGAATCCTCCCACCTCGGCCTCCCAATGTGCTAGGATTACAGGCATGAGCCATCATGCCTGGCCTCATTTTTAAAGTGTTTGGAAATCTGGAAATCCTTAATTTCTATGTTTTCTTTTTTTTTTTTTTTTTGAGACGGAGCCTCGTTCTATTTGCACAGGCTGGAGTGCAGTGGCGCGATCTCGGCTCACTGCAACCTCTTCCTCCCGGGTTCTTGCTATTCTCCTGCCTCAGCCTCCTGAGTAGCTGGGACTACAGACGCCCGCCACCGTGCCCGGCTAATTTTTTTTGTATTTTTAGTAGAGATGGGGTTTCACAGTGTTAGCCAGGATGGTCTCGATCTCCTGACCTCATGATCTGCCCGCCTTGGCCTTCCAAAGTGCTGGGATTACAGGCGTGAGCCACCATGCCCGGCCAATTTCTATGTTTTCAATATCTCAGACTGTATCACTTCGGATCCAGTTTTAAGATCAAACCCCTCCAGAAACTGAATATATGTGGGTGGGCACTTCTAAAGTCAGGTAGAGGGCCTGGAGAAGTGAAATATAGATAACAATGGCCCCCAGTGACCTGGACTTCAGCAGCATGCTGCTTCTGCTGGGATCCAGTAATCAGGAAGCAGTGAGCCTGCCCCACCTCATAAACCCAGGGAACCATAGGTGGGATACCACCCCCAGAAAATGCAAAGTCTCCACAAATGGAATGGCGAGCTCTTCATCACTTCTCTCCCCCAAGTTTGTCAGTTGCATCTCTTGGATGCAACCTATTTTCCAACTAGAATCTGCAATCCTAATGCAAAGAGAATCTGCACGTCATTACTACTTAGCTTTGCTGTAAAGAAAAAAAACACTAGAACACAGGGTACTTTTTTTCTTTTTTCAGACAGAGTCTCGCTTTGTCACCCAGGCTGGAGTGCAGTGGTGCGATCTTGGCTCACTGCAACCTCAGCCTCCAAGGTTCAAGCGATTCTCCTGATTGAGCTGAGTAGTTGGGATTACAGGCGTGCACCACCATACCCAGCTAATTTTTGTATTTTTAGTAGAGACCAGGTTTCACCATGTTAGCCAGACTGGTCTCAAACTCCTGACCTCAAGTGATCCACCTGCCTCAACCTCCCAAAGTGCTGGGATTACAGGCATGAGCCACCATTCCTGGCCTCCTGAAGTTTCTTAACCCATCCCCCTGAGGAATATTTCAAGCCTCAAGCCAGACCGTGATACCTTTATTTCCAAAGACTCAAAAGCTCAATGCAAATGGGTGGATTACCTGGTGTCTTGTTCCTGTAATCTCAGCTATGACTGTAATCCTAGATTCTCGGGAGGCTGGGGCAGGAGAATCGCTTGAACCCAGGAGGCGGAGGTTGCAGTGAGCCGAGATCACGCCATTGCACTCCAGCCTTGGCAACAAGAGTGAAACTCTGCCTTAAAAAAAAACAAAACCAAAGGCTTCTACAGTGGCCTACAGGGCCTTATGGGGGATCCTCGTGTAAGTTATGAGCCATAAATCATTCTACTTTCTCACTAGCTCAGTATTTTATTTACAAGATTCCCTCCCCCAGTTAGCATGCTGGTTCATGATCTACCATCCTTCAGTTTCTTTCCTCATATCACTTTCCAAAAGAGGACTTAAATGACCAGCATAAGTCTAGCCAATCAATGCCTCTCTGTTTGACTTACCTCTACCCTGTTTATTTTAATACCATCATCCATTGTCTTCAATAGAACATATCGAGATGTCTGCTGTCACTAAAAACTCTGAGGACAAGGATTTCTTCCGCTCACTCCCCTCTGCATTTCCTCACTACTGGAGCCCCAGCAAATATGCTGCTTGTTTTTTTGTTTTGTTTTGTTTGAGACCAAGTCTCACTCTTTCACCCAAGCTGGAATGCAGTGGTGATATGTTGGCTAACTACAACCTCTGCCTCCTGGTTCAGGCGATTCTCCTGCCTCTCGAGTAGCTGGAATTATAGGTGGCTCCACCATACCTGGCTAATTTTTGTATTTTCATTTTATGTTATATATTTGTGAGATGGAGTCTCATTCTATTGCCCAGGCTGGAGTGCAGTGGTGCGATCTTGGCTCACTGTAACCTCCGCCTCCCAGGCTGAAGCGATTCTTGTGCCTCAGCCTCCCAAGTAGCTGGCATTAAAGGCACACAACACCATGCATGGCTAATTTTTTGTAGAGATGGGGTTTTGCCATGTTGGCCTGGCTGGTCTCGAACTCCTGACCTCAGGTGATCCACCCTCCTCGGCCTCCCAAGGTGCTGGGGCTACAGGTGTCTGTCCCCACGCCCTGCCTAATCTTTGTATTTTTAGTAGAGATGGGGTTTGACCGTGTTGGCAAGGCTGGTCTCGAACACCTGGCCTCAAGTGATCCACCCGCCTTGGCCTCCCGAAGTGTTGGGATTACACGCGTGAGCCACTACCTGCTCAGTGAATGCGTGGGTTTCCATGTTCTTCCTCAACAGCCTCTGGAGCTGCTCCCTCATGCCTTTCTATTGTCAGCATCTTGGATCTGCTCTCCTCAGCAATCAGAAGCTTGAAACTCTGGACCTGGGCCAGAATCATTTGTGGAAGAGTGGCATAATTAAGCTCTTTGGGGTTCTAAGACAAAGAACTGGATCCTTGAAGATACTCAGGTATGGGTTTTTTGTTTTGTTTTGTTTTTTTGTTTTTGTTTTTTTGAGATGGAGTCGTGCTCTGTCATTCAGGCTGGAGTGCAGTGGCGCAATCTTGGCTCACCGCAACCTCTGCCTCCCAGGTTCAAGCAATTCTCATGCCTCAGCCTCATGAGTAGCTGGGCCTAGAGGCATGCCAACATGTCCAGCTAATTTTTTTCTTTTTCTTTTTTTTTTTTGAGATGGAGTTTTGTTCTTGTAGCCCAGGCTGGAGTGCAGTGGTGCGATCTTGGCTCACTGCAACCCCCACCTCCTGGGTTCAAGCGATTCTCCCACCTTGGCCTCCCAAGTAGCTGGAATTACAGATGCCTGCCACCACGCCTGGCTAATTTTTTAGTAGAGAGGGGTTTCACCATGTTGGCCAGGCTAGTCTTGAACTCCTGACCTCAGGTGAGCCACCTGCCTCGGCCTCCCAAAGTGGTGGGATTACAGAGGTGAGCCATTGCACCCGGCCTTTTTGGTTTTTGCTTTTTGGGATGGAGTCTCACTGTTGCCCAGGCTGGAGTGCAGTGGCGCGATCTTGACTCACTGCAGCCTCCTTCTCACAGGTTGAAGCGATTTTCCTGCCTCAACCTCCTGAGTAGCTGGGATTACAGGTACACACCACCACAGCTGGCTAATTTTTTTTTTTTTTTTTTTTAAGACAGAGTCTCTCTCTGTCCCCCAGGCTGGAGTGCAGTGGCGCTATCTCGGCTCAGTGCAACCTCTGCCTCCTGGGTTCAAGTGATTCTCCTGCCTCAGCCTCCTGAGTAGCTAGGATTACAGTCGCTCGCCACCACACCCAGCTAATTTTTGTATTTTTAGTAGAGATGGGGTTTTGCCATGTTGGCCAGGCTGGTCTTGAGCTCCTGACCTCAGGTGATCTTCTCGCCTTGGCCTCGCAAAGTGCTGGGATTACAGGCATGAGCCACTGCACCTGGCCAATTTTTGTAGTTTTTAGTAGAGATGGGGTTTCACCATGTTGGTCAGGTTGGTCTCAAACTGCCAACCTCAGGTGATCCACCTGCCTCAGCCTCTCAAAGTGCCGGGATTACAGGTGTGAGCCACTGTGCTCGGCCCTGGGATGGCTGTTTCACATGGTGAATTTCCCATGCAGAGAAGAGTTTTTTTGGGAGTGTGTGTACTCTTTGTAGGGATCAACTTAAGGCATCTTTCTATAGCACACTCCTAGCTTAGGAGATAATTTAAAAATTAGATACTTTTCTAAAATGCTCTGTGAATTGAATATTGTCCAACTTTCCCCCAAAACACTTAGTCCTAGGCATACTGAGAGTTTAAATCATCCTGGAGTACAGACTGGAAGCTTGTGTGTATGTGTGTGCATGAGCACACACACACACACACACACACACACACACACCCCTAATCATTATATCCAAAAATAGGTAGTTCCCAGAGCTGTCCTGGGTCTTAGCTTTTCAGAAGATCGTCCTACAGATGCTCCCTTAGTTGTGACCCGTGTATATCTTTTCAATGACTTATTTGTATTTTTTATTTTTTTTTTGAGACGGAGTCTTTTTTTTGAGACGGAGTCTGTCTTTTTTTTTGAATCTGTCTTTTTTTTGAGACAGAGACTCCAGTCTCTGTCGCCCAGGCTGGAGTGAAGCGGTGCGATCTCGGCTCACTGCAAGCTCCACCTCCCGGGTTCACGCCATTCTCCTGCCTCAGCCTCCCGAGCAGCTGGGACTACAGGCGCCCGCCACCACGCCTGGCTAATTTTTTGTATTTTTAGTAGAGATGGGGTTTCACTATGTTGGCCAGGCTGGTCTCGAATTCCTGACCTCAGGTGATCTGCCCACCTCGGCCTCCCAAAGTGCTGGGATTACAGGCGTGAGCCACCGCGCCCGGCCTCAGTGACTTATTTTAACGTAATCTACCTTTAGTTTCTTCTTGCCTTTGTCTTTTCTTTTCTGAGACAACGTTTTGCTCTGCTGCACTGTGTGGCCGTGTTGCCGAGGTTCTCAAACTCCTGGCTTCAAACGATCCTCCTGTCTTGGCCTCACAAAGTACCCGGATTGCAGGCGTGAGCCACTGTGCACAGCCCACTTGTCTTATTCAAGAGTTATTTTAGTTGTAGAGATGATACGCATGTAAACTGCTTCATGATGCCCAGTGTTGCATTATTGGAACGCTAAGCATGTGGGAGTTATTTATATCCTGCTCAAGGTACGATTTTTCACACGTCTGCAGTTCAAATAATTGTAACCTCTGGCATAAATGGGTTAAGGTTTTAGGGGTATATCATGAAACTTGAGCTAAATAGTGTCATGCTTCTCTTGTTGGTGGGACCGAGGTCTGTAATGCCACCAAGGACTATTGGTGACAAATCTCTAGCCCCCTGTGGTCTCTTATGTCATATGTTTGGGGCGTATTTCTTTTCTCATTCCTCAGTTCCTCCTTTGGGAGGCCAAGGTGGGAGGATTGTTTGAGGCCAGGAGTTTGAGACCAGCCTGGGCAACATAGCAAGCCAGTGTCTCCACAATCACCACCCCTCATGTTCACATACACAGGCTTGCATGCTGCAGCCACGTTAGAGCCAAGTTTGCTATCATTAACCCTGGGGTTCACTCTGGCATTCTCTTAGTTCTACTGAAGGTTTGATTTGCCACTATTTTTTATTTATTTATTTGGAGGCAGAGTCTCGCTCTGTCACCCGGGCTGCAGTACAGTGGTGCGGTATTGGCTCACTGCAACATCTGCCTCCCAGGTTCAAAGCGATTCTCCTGTCTCAGCCTCCTGAGTAGCTGGTATTACAGTTGTCTGCCACCATGCCCAGCTAATTTTTGTATTTTTAGTAGAGACGGGGTTTCACTATGTTGGCCAGGCTGGTCTCGAATTCCTGACCTCAGGTGATCTGCCCGCCTCGGCCTCCCAAAGTGCTGGAATTATAGGCGTGAGTCACCGTGCACCAGCCTGATTATCTATTTTTTAAATTTATTTTTTAAAGGCATGTTTTACTCTGTTACCAGGCTGGAGTGCAGTAGGGCAATCTCTAGCTCGTTGCAACCTCCGCCTCCTGGGCTCAAGTGATCCTCTTGCCTCCGCCTCCCGAGTAGCTGGGACTATAGGCGTGCACCACCATTCCTGGCTAACTTTTTCTATTTTTGGTAGAGACAGGGTTTCACCGTGTTGCCCAGGCTGGCCTTGAACTGCGGAGCTCAAGCAATCTGCCTGCCTTGGCCTCCCAAAGTGCTGGGACTACAGGTGCGAGACACCGTGCCTGGCCATAATCTTTTTTTTCTTAGACTTATAAGGATCCCCATTGTGTGGGTCTAAATTTCTTTTTAGAAAACCTTTCTGACTGGGTGCTGTGGCTCACATCTGTAATCCCATGGCTTTGGGAGGCCGAGGTGGATGGATCACTTGAGGCCAGAAGTTCGAGACCAGCCTGGCTAACATGTCAAAACCCCATCTCTACTGTAAATACAAAACTTAGCCAAGCGTGGTGGTGCACACCTGTAATCACAGTTACTCAGGAGCCTGAGGCATGAGAATTGCTTGAACTTGGGAGCTGGAGGTTGCAGAGAGCCAAGATGGCACCACTGTACCCCAGCCTGGGCAACAGAGCAAGACCCTGTCCCCCAGAAAATCCCAAAAACGTTTCCTGCTTTGAGTGTTTGAAAACAGATATTCAGGCATCCTGGGTAGTTGAGAATGAATTTCTGGGAACATTTGTGTTCTCTGATCCCTCCAGGTTGAAGACCTATGAAACTAATTTGGAAATCAAGAAGCTGTTGGAGGAAGTGAAAGAAAAGAATCCCAAGCTGACTATTGATTGCAATGCTTCCGGGGCAACGGCACCTCCGTGCTGTGACTTTTTTTGCTGAGCAGCCTGGGATCGCTCTACGAATTACACAGGAAGCGGGATTCGGGTCTCTAAGATGTCTTATGAATGCAGGTCAGAGGGTCACATGTTAACACTAGAGTCTGTCGAGAGGTAGGATTTGACACTGGTTTTCTCACTATTTTTGGGAGATTCTGCACGAGTCACGCACCCCCTTCACATGACGCTATGTACTTTCTCACAGGGATAATAAAGTTAGAGCACTCTCGTTGCAGCTGCGTTTATTGACATGCTCAGGAGCAAACCTGCAATAAACATGGTACTCTGTGCTTCGTCTAGGAGGAAGTATTGCTAAGAAGTTCAGGGATGATTCGGTTGATTCTTCTATTTCTTTTCTTCCCTAACTCAGGCACCACGTGGTCTACTAGCTGCCAGGTGCATCTATGTGATCAGTGTGTCTTTGTGACTTATGTGATCATAACTTATGTGATCAACCCACGCATTGACAAACGGGCCAGATAGTTCATATGCTTGGCACTGTGGGCCCCGCGGTCTCTCATCAGCTCTCAGCTGTGTCTTTGGACATGGAAGCAGCGCAGGGCCTGGCTGGCACCTGCGGAGGCTTCCCAGAAACAGCTCGTGGGCCATAGGCAGCCAGCCCTGTTCTAATCTATCCTGTTACTCACAAAGCAGAAGCTTACAGTCACTGTTGCCTTTAATTCAGAAGATGGCCCTGCCTCACGCTGGTTCTGCTCGGCTCCCACGGGCCGCCTCCTACTCTCTGTGTGTGTGTGTATGTGTCTCTCTCTCTCTCTGTCTCTGTGTGTCTCTCTTTGTTTCTCTGTGTCTGTCTTTTTGTCTCTCTGTCTCTGTGTCTGTTTCTGTGTGTGTGTCTCTGTGTCTGTCTGTGTTTCTCTGTGTGTCTCTCTGTCGCTGGGCGTTTCTATCTCTGTCTTTGTATGTGTCTCTCTGTTCTTTCGTTTTTTTTTTTTTTTTTTTTTTGAGACGGAGTTTCACTCTTGTTGCCCATGCTGGAGTGCAATGGCGTGATCTCAGCTCACTGCAACCGCGCCTCCCAGGTTCAAGTGATTCTCCTGCCTCAGCCTTCCGAGTAGCCGGAATTACAGCCCTGTGCCACCATGCCTGGCTAATTTTTTGTATTCTTACTAGAGACGGGGTTTCACAATGTTGGCCAGGCTGTTCTCGGACTCCTGACCTCAGGTGATCTACCCGCCTCAGCCTCCCAGAGTGGTGGGATTACAGGCGTGAGCCACCGAGCCCAGCCTGTCTGTCTGTTTCTGTGTGAGTCTGTGTGGCTGTCTCTGGGAGTCTCTGTGTATGTCTCTGTCTCTCTCGCCTCCCCGTTTCTCTCGGCTTCCCATTGCCATGGCAAACACAGCTTTTCCACACCCTGTATTTGGTCATTCATAGAAAATGCATAGAAGTCACTCCGCAATTTTCCTTAAGAATGAAAAGTTGTCACCATGATGTTAGCACTGGCTTCCAGGCGCTGCCAAAAGGGACTGACCCCTCTCCTCACTTGGCTCTCCACGCTTGCGGTAGGTGATGAGACTATTTTAATAAGAGCAGCCAGGCGCTGTGGCTCACACCTGTAATCCCAGCACTTTGGGAGGCCGAGGCGGGCGGATCACCTGAGGTCAGGAGTTCGAGACCAGCCTCAACATGGAGAAACCCCGTCTCTACTAAAAATACAAAATTAGCCGGGTGGGGTGGTGTATGCCTGTAATCCCAGCTACTCGGGAGGCTGAGGCAGGAGAATCGCTTGAACCCGGGAGGCGGAGTTTGTGGTGAGCTGAGATTGTGCCACTGCACTCCAGCCTGGGCAATAAGAGCAAAACTCTTGTCTCGAAAAAAAAAAATAAGAGCATTGATATGGGGAAAGTTGTCATGGTCCCAGGCACAAAAACACGGGCATATGGCTAATGCTTTAGGTTGAAAGCTTGTATGACAAAGTTTTCTTTTCTTTTTTTTTTTTTTTTTTTTTGAGATGGAGTCTTGCCTCTGTCGCCCAGGCTGGAGTGCAGTGGTGCGATCTTGGCTCACTACAACCTCTGCCTCCTGGGTTCAAGTGAGTCTTCTGTCCCAGCCTCCGGAGTAGCTGAGACTAGAGGTGTGCGTCACCATGCCTGGCTAATTTTTGTATTTTTAGTAAAGACGAGGTTTCACCATGTTAGCCAGGCTGGTCTTGAACTCCTGACCTCAGGTGATCTGCCCGCCTTGGCCTCCCAAAGTGCTGGGATGACAGGCGTGAGCCACTGTGCCTGGCCTGACAAAGTTCTTTTTACTAACCCAAACCTGGAGGTTGAGTGGCTTCAGCACTGAATGATCCCATGAAGGCCCTCATTTATCTTGCTGTTGAGCATTGCTGTCTTTCGTGAGCCCTTGTCAAGATAAGTCTTCTCAAATGCTCGAGATCACTGTGGTGTTTAAGGCTACAGTCAGCTGGTAGTAATGCAGGCTGTGGGTGGTAACAGTGTTTAGCGGGATACAGCTCACACCGATGGGAAGGGTGGTAGAGACAGCGTGAATAAAGGAAGTGGTCAGGTGATGAGAGGTAGGGCTGAGTCAACATTTAGGGTTCTACATGCACATGAAGTTCCCGTGTAGAATTTGCTAAAAATAAAGACACAAAGATAGTAGGTAGAGGCTGGGAGTGAAAACATCTGGGTCGGACTCTGCTGCATATTTAATTGAAGTTTTTTTCCCCTAAATATTTTATCTACTTAAAAATTTTGATTTTGTTTAAGATAGTAGTCTTTTTTTTGGTGGGGTGGTGGGGCGGACAGAGTCTCACTTGGTTGCCTAGGCTGGAGTGCAGTGGCGTGATTTCACCATGTTGGCCAGGCTAGTCTCAAACTCCTGACCTCAGGTGAGCCACCCGCCTCGGCCTCCCAAAGTGCTGGCATGACAGGCGTGAGCCACCGTGCCCAGCCAAGATGGTGGTGGTGCTGTGTTGCCCACAGCCGGGTTGGAGTGCAATGGTGCGATCTTAGCTCACTGCAGCCTTAAACTCAAGGAATCCTCCCACCTGAGCCTCCTGAGCTGGGATTACAGGTGCATGCCAAACATGCTTGGCTAATTTTAAAATATTTTATAGAGATGGAGTCTTGCTGTATTGACCAGGCTTGTCTTGAACTGCTGGCCTCCAGTTATCCCCTTGCCTTCGCTTCCCAAAGTGCTGGGATTACACGCGTGAGCTGCCACACTGGGCTCTTACCCACTTACCAGTAATAAACACAGAACTCCTAAAGTGCTGTGATTACGGCGCCTGACCAGCCTTAATTACCTCTGAAAAGCCCTGTGTCCAAATAGAGTCACATCTGGGGTAGGGCTTGTACATGACGTTTGGTGGGACCAATTCAGTCCGTAGCAAGGACTGTCCTGTGTATCACGTGATGTATAGCAGCACCCCTGGACTTGGATGAGCCTGAGCCTGCCCCCACTGCAACTCGTGACAACCAAAAAACCTCTCGGGATGTGGCCAGATACCCCCATGGGGACAAAATCACCCCCAGTTAAGAATGGCTGGCTCAGCCATTCACAATTGCAAAGATGTGGAACCAACCGAAGTGCCCATTGAATAATGAGTGGATTGTGGGCGGCAAGGCACCCAGGCACCGAGGCAAGAGACAGAGGACACGAGCTGTTCCAGTATAATAAAATATAAAACAAGAATTGTTATACCAGATATAGATCTTAGATATGATTATATATGAGTATCATTAATCATTAGCTGGTAGCAATTACTTTTTATTCCAATATTATAATAATCCTCACTCTATAATCATAGCCTAGGAAAAACCAGGCCATACAGAGATAGGAGCTGAGGGGACATAGTGAGGTGTGACCAGAAGACAAGAGTGCGAGCCTTCTGTTATGCCCGGACAGGGCCACCAGAGGGCTCCTTGGTCTAGCGGTGACGCCAGCGTCTGGGAAGACACCCGTCACCAAGCGGATCATGGTCCAGCGGTAGCAAAAGGTGTCAATTAACAACACCCGCTACTTAGCAGACCGGGAAAGGGGCAGCGGGTGGGGGGGGGGGTCTCCCTTTCCCCGGGGGAGTTTAGAGAAGACTCTGCTCCTCCACCTCTTGTGGAGGGCCTGACATCAGTCAGGCTCGCCCGCAGTTATCCGGAGGCCTAACCGTCTCCCTGTGATGCTGTGCTTCGGTGGTCACGCTCCTAGTCCGCCTTCATGTTCCATCCTGTACACCTGGCTCTGCCTTCTAGATAGCAGTAGTAAATTAGGGAAAGTACTAATAGTCCCTGATATGCAGAAATAATGGCATAAGCTGTCTTTCTCTCTGTCTCCTCTCTCTCTCTGCCTCGGCTGCCAGGCAGGGAAGGGCCCCCTGTCCAGTGGACACGTGACCCACGTGACCTTACCTATCATTGGAGGTGACTCACACTCTTTACCCTGCCCCTTCTGCCTTGTATCCAATAAATAACAGCGCAGCCAGACATTCGGGGCCACTACCGGTCTCCGCGCATTGGTGGTAGTGGTCCCCCGGGCGCAGCTGCCTTTTCTCTTGTCTCTTTGTCTTGTGTCTTGATTTCTACACTCTCTCGTCGCCGCACACAGGGAGAGACCCACCGACCCTGTGGGGCTGGTCCCTACAGTGGATAAAGAAAACGTGGTGTCTATGTACCATGGAATACTATTCAGCCATTAGAAGGAATGAAATAATGTCATTTCCAGCAATTTGGATGGAGCTGGAGGCCATTATTCTAACAGGAGTAGAATCCATATGTTCTCACTTTTTTTTTTTTTTTTTAAGACAGTTTTGCTCTTGTTGCCCAGGCTAGAGTGCAATGGTGTGATCTTGGCTCACCGCAACCTCCGCCTCCTGGGTTCAAGCGATTCTCCAACCTCAGCCTCCCTAGTAGCTGGGATTATAGGCACGTGCCACCACACCCAGCTATGTATTTTTCTATTTTTAGTAGAGATGGGGTTTCACCATGTTGGCCAGACTGGTCTTGAACTCCTGGCCTCAGGCGATACACCTGCCTCAGCACCCCCAAAGTGATGGGATTACAGGCGTGAGCCACCGCCACCGTGCCTGGCTCTGTATGTTCTCAGTGGGAGCTAAGCTGTTGGTACACAAAGGCAGAGTGATGTAATGGGCTTCAGAGTCTCAGAAGGGGGAGGGCAGAAGGGAGGCCACAGATAAAAAACTACACATTAGGCCAGTGTGGTCGCTCACGCCTGTAATCTCATCACTTTGGGAGACCCAGGCGGGCCGATCACTTGAGGCCAGGAGTTCGAGACCATCCTGACCAAGATGGTGAAACCCTGTCTTTACTTACTAAAAGTACAAAAAATTAGCCAGGCATGGTAGTGGGTGTCTGTAATGCCAGCACTTTGGGAGGCCAAGGTGGGAGAATCGCTTGAACCCGGGAGGCGGAGGTTGTTGCAGTGAGCTGAGGCCACGACACTGCACTCCAGCCTGGGTAACAGAGCGAGACTTGGTCTCTAAATAAATAAAATAAAGGGCTCAGACTCTATCTCAAAAAATAAATGAATAAGGCCGGGTGCGGTGGCTTACACCTGTAATCCCAGCACTTTGAGAGGCCGAGGCGGGAGGATCACGAGGTCAGATCGAGACCATCCTGGCTAACATGGTGAAACCCCGTCTCTACTAAAAATACAAAAAATTAGCCGGGCTAGGTGGCGGGCGCCTGTAGTCCCAGGAGAATGGTGTGATCCCGGGAGGCGGAGCTTGCAGTGAGCAGAGATCGCGCCACTGCAGTCCAGCCTGGGCGACAGAGCAAGACTCTGTCTCAAGAAAAATAAATGAATAAAAACAATAAGAAAGAAAAATAGCCACGTCTTACGTAGGCTGAGACTGGAGAGTTTCCGTGGACTCGTAACCCTGCCTTTGTCCCTGCACTGAAGGGTGTAAGGTGGTTGCTTTCTGCATGAGCCAGTGTTTCTCAGCCTTGGTGCTGCTGCCATCTGGGGCTGCCCTGGGCATTGTAGGAAGCTGAGCAGCACCCCTGGACCCTACCTACCAGATGCCAGTAGAACCCCTCCCCAAGTCATGACAATTAAAAATTACCATGGGCATTGCCAAATGTCCCCTGGAGTGGAGAGCAAAATCACCCAGCAGAGAACTGCTAGGCTAGAGAGGTGCAGGATCCTAGGCTGGGTGCGGGGGCCTGTAATCCTCGCACTTTGGGAGGCCAAGGTGGGCGGATCACATGAGGTCAGGAGTTCAAGACCAACCTGGCTAACATGGTAAAACCCCCATCTCCACTAAAAATACAAAAATTAGCCAGGCGTGGCGGCACATGCCTGTAGTCCCAGCTCCTTGGGGGGCTGAGGCAGGAGAATCGCTAGACCCCAGCAGGCAGAGGTTGCAGTGAGCCAAGATGGCACCACTGCATTCCATCCTGGGCGACAGAGCAAGACTGTAGTTTTTTTGTTTTTGTTTTTGTTTTTTTTTGAGGAGTCACAGTCTGTCACTCAGGCTGGAGTGCAGTGGCGCAATCTCGACTCACTGCAACCTCTGCCTCCCGGGTTTGAACGATTCTCCTGCCTCAGCCTCCCGAGTAGCTGGGATTGGCTCTGGTGGTGGAGGTGCCTGCAAACCTGTTGGTACTGTAACCGTCAGAAAACGAGTAGCAAGAAGTGTCCGAGAAAGCCAGAGAAGTGAGTCCTTCGAGAAGGAAGTGGTCAACGTGTCAAATACAACTGTGGGGGAGCAATAATGAGAAGGGCTGAAAAGGGTCACTGCATGTTCCAGGAAGGAAGCTCATTAGTGTTGGTCACACAGACAGCTTCAGAGGAAGTGTGGGGAGAGAAGCCAGTTTCTAGCGGGTGGGGAGCACAGGTGAGAAGTCAGAACAAAGGCCACCAGTGTGGGTTATGTCTTAGGGAGCGTGGGTCTTCTGGCTGGGCGCGGTGGCTCAGTAATCCCAGCGACTCTGGAGGCTGAGGCAGGAGAATCGCTTGAACCCGGAAAGCGGAGGTTGCAGTGATCCGAGATTGCAGCACTGCACTCCAGCCTGGGTGTGCAGAGCGAGACTCAAAAAAAAAAAAAAAAAAAAAAAAAATAGAACAGTTGATCTCCTAGAAGTGAGAGTAGGTGGAGGTTATCAGGGGCTGGGGGTGGTAGGAGAGGAAGATGTTGGTCAAAAAGCACAAGTAGCTGGGTGTGGTGGCTCACGTCTGTAATCCCAGCACTTTGGGAGGCCAAGGCGGGTGGATCACCTGAGACCAGGAGTTTGAGACCAACATGGAGAAACCCCGTCTCTACTAAAAATACAAAAATTAGCCGGGCGTGGTGGCACGCACTTGTAGTCCCAGCTACTCGGGAGGCTGAGGCAGGAGAATCGCTTGAACCCGGGAGGCGGAGGTTGCAGAGTCAAGATCGCGCCACTGCACTCCAGCCTGGGTGACAGAGCAGGACTTCGTCTCAAAAAAAAAAAAAAAAAAAAAAAAAAAAAAAAAAAAAAAAGCACAATATTCAGTTATAAGATGAGTTAGTTCTGGGGGTCTGATATATGGGATGGCGATTATGGTTAACACAAGCAGCTTTTAAATGTCTTTACCCCTGCTCCCCGTTACCAGCCAAAGCTGTGAAGTTCCAGGCCCTTGGTGTTTCGAACAAAGAATTGGGTGTGATACACACATATAGCAAAGCGGCATAAGTTTATTAAGCAGAGGATTACACTCTTGGAGAGGGGAGAGCAGGCGGACCTCTGCGAAATGAGATCGGCATCAGCTCGCTGTACTTTGGGTCTTTTTTTTTTTTTTTCTTATTAGGAATATACAACCATTTATTCACTGTTCACCAGTATTTACAATAAAGTGAACAAAATACAGTTCAATAACATTCAGATTACCACAAAGTTGTGTTTCCTGGCTTTTACTGAACCAGTAAAGCAGATACTGAAAAGACTGAGCCTATGTGGTTTTTTTTTTTTTTTTTTTGAGATGGAGTCTCGCTCTGTCGCCCAGGCTGGAGTGCAGTGGCACGATTTTGGCTCACCGCAACCTCCGCCTCCCAGGTTCAAGCGATTCTCCTGCCTCAGCCTTCTGAGTAGCTAGGATTACAGGTGCCTACATGTAAGGAATGAGTTGGGGTAAAGAAAAAATACGCGAGTCAGCAGTTTATTTATTTTGAGAGGGAGTCTCGCTCTGTTACCAGGCTGGAGTGCAGTGGTGCAATCTCGGCTTACCACAACCTCTGCCTCCCGGGTTCAAGTGATTCTGCTGCCTCAGCCTCCCGAGTAGCTGAGATTACGGGTGCAAGCCACTGCGCCTGGCTAATATTTTGTATTTTTTAGTAGAGATGGGGTTTTACCGTGTTGGCCAGGCTGCTATTTAATGGAAAAATCAGATTTAGAGAATAAATTTGACCGGCATGAGGCACCAGAATAATGGGAGGGCGTGAGGACCCATGCGATGAGTATATAAATGGGTTGATAAGTAGAAGTTCTCAGGGAGGAAAGCGATGGTGGTGTCCAGACAGCATTTCAAGACCCCTAGTGAGAAGTCTCAAGTTGCAGGCTGTGCCACAGCCCCGTATATACATTCACTCATTTGATATATATTTCCCGAGAACCCCGTTATAGTTGCGGGAGCTGTGAATGCAGCCACTAAATCTGACATAGATCAATTCACACGAGTTCACGGTAGAGGCAGGAAAATGGACATGCATGCCGAATCAGGGTTCAAGTGCTGTTACAGGGAATTAACAGGTGCTTTGGGATGAGGAAAGTGTTGTCTTGGCTGGGCGCAGTGGCTCACGCCTGTAATCCTAGCACTTTGAGAGGCCAAGGCGGGGGGATCACCTGAACTCAGGAGTTTGAGACCACCCAGGGCAACATGATGAAACCCTACCTCTACTAAAGATGCAAAAAAAATTAACCGGGTGTGGTGGCGCGCGCCTCTAGTCCCAGCTACTTGGGAGGCTGAGGAAGGAGAATCGCTTGAGCCCCAGAGGCGAAGGTTGCAGTGAGCTGAGATTGTGCCACTGCACGCCAGCTTGGGCTACAGAGTGAGACTGTCTCAAAAAAAAAAAAAAGTGCTATCTTTGTGAAGTCGGAGTTGTGGAAACTCTTGGAGGAAATGATATCTCTGCAGAGCCCTGAAGAACAAGGCAAGGTGTGGATAAAGAAGCAAAGATGGTGGCCGGGTACGGTGACTCACACCTGTAATTCCAGCACTTTGGGAGGCCGAGGCTGGTGGATCACCTGAGGTCAGGAGTTCAAGACCAGTCTGGCCAACATTGTGAAACCCCATTTCTACTAAAAATACAAAAATTAGCCGGGCGTGGTGGTGCATGCCTATAATCCCAGCTATTCAGGAGGCTGAGGCAGGAGAATCATTTGAACCCTGGAGGTGGAGGTGGCAGTGAGCCAAGATTGCACCACTGCATTCCAGCCTGGGTGACAAAAGTGAAACTCGGGGGAAGGGATAGCATTAGGAGATATACCTAATGTTAAATGACGAGTTAGTGGGTGCAGCACACCAACATGGCACATGTATACATATGTAACTAACCTGCACGTTGTGCACATGTACCCTAAAACTTACATTAAAAAAAAAAAAAGTGAAATTCTGTCCCAACAAAACAAACAAAAAAAAAGAAAAAAAAAAAAAAGGAAGAGAAGATGGAATAATTCTGTGGTTAGAAGGAATTGGGGTATGGTTGGGATGCAGCCAGGAGTCACTTATTTTTTTTTTTTCTTTTTTTTTTTGAGACAGAATCTTGCTCTGTCACGTAGGCTGGAGTGCAGTGGTGCGATCTTGGCTCCCTGCAGCCTCCGCCTCCCGGGTTCAAGCTATTCTCCTGCCTCAGCCTCCTGAGTAGCTGGGATTACAAGCACACGCCACCATACCTGGCTAATTTTTATATTTTTAGTAGAGATGTGGTTTCACCATGTTGGCCAGGCTGCTCTCGAACTCCTGACCTCAGGTGATCCTCCCACCTTGGCCTCCCAAAGTGCTGGGATTACAGGCATGAGCCACCGTGCCTGGCCGAGTTTTTGTATTTTTAGTAGAGATGGGGTTTCATCATGTTGGCCAGGCTGGTCTCGAACTCCTGACCTCAGGTGATCTGCCCGCCTCAGCCTCCCAAAGTGTTGGGATTACAGGTGTGAGCCACCGTGCCTGGCAGGATTCACTTATAAAGCTGCTTCTCTACAACTGGTTGTTGCCACAATGCCTCCTGAACCATTTGATACAGACCTATTCTATATTGGTTATTAACTATTTTGAATGGCTTCCTGCAGAGAAAGGAAAGAAAAAAAGACCAAAGTAGGAAAAAAATATTTCCATGGCCATCCTGTTAAAGAAGGAGAGATCTTTTCAGAAAAGACCAGAGTGGTTAAAAGTATGGTTTGCAGTAAGTGGTACAAAAATAGTTAGAGCCTAGAAGAGACCATAGGATTTGTCTACAGAAGAAATTCAGTGGCTGGGCGCAGCGGCTTATGCCTGTAATCCCAGCCCTTTGGGAGGCCAAGGCGGGGAGATCACTTGAGGTCAGGAGTTCGAGACCAGCCAACAGGGAGAAACCCCGTCTCCACTAAAAATACAAAATTAGCTGGGGTGGTGGCACATGCCTGTAATCCCAGCTACTCAGGAGGCTGAGGCAGGAGAATCACTTGAACCCGAGGGATGGAGAGCTAGAGGTTGCAGTGAGCCAAGATCGCGCCATTGCACTCCAGCCTGGGCAACAAGAGAAAACTCTGTCTCAAAAAAAAAAAAAAAGAAATTTAGCATGTAGTTCTCCCACCCTCTGCATCGTCCGGGATGCTCTGACAAATGGAATGCCAGTGTCCCTCTTTCCCTGCAGTGACTCCCTCCTCCGTGGGTCCAACACAGAGCTCACGCCGCCCAGGCTCAACACCAGCTTTCAGATCCACCCATGGCCACTGTGTCTCATGGTCATTCTTCAAAGAGTCTGTGTGTTCAGCCTTCTCCTGCCTTCCCAAGTGGAAGCTCTGCTGGCTCGCTCTCTAGTCCTCTTCCTGCTGAGCCAGTCTTCAACCAGGAACCACACTAGAGCCACCAGGACTAGAAAGGCCAGGCCCATCCGAAGGAGATTCTGGGCAGTGTGATCCCAGAGGGCATGGTCTGTAGGCAGGAGAACAGGGTGATCGCTGACAGGGATGTAAGGACACCCTCTTTTTTTTTTTTTTTTTTTTTTTTTTTTTTTTTTTTTTGAGACAGAGCCTCAGTCTTGTCGCCCAGGCTGGAGTGCAATGGCACGATCTCGGCTCACTGCAACCTCCACTTCCTGGGTTCAAGCTATTCTCCTGTCTCAGCCTCCCAAGTAGCTGGGACTACAGGCACACGCCACCACGCCTGGCTAATTTTTTTGTATTTTTAGTAGAGATGGGATTTCGCCATGTTGGCCAGACTGGTCTTGAACTCCCGACCTCAGATGATCTGCCCGCCTCGGCCTCCCAAAGGGCTGAGATTACAGGTGTGAGCTACTGCGCCTGGCCAAGGACACCCTCTTGTTCCCATTTAGATTCCCTTCCTAGGTCTACTCTATGCCCAGCCCCTTCCTTCAGAGCCTATGGCCCCAGCTGTCTACTTACCTTTCTGGAGTCCCGTCTCTGTGGTTAAAAGGTAGGTGCCCCAAGTGTCTGCTGATGATAAGGGAAGTGAAGAAAAGAGGATGGTTTTGACCTCCTCCACCCCAGCACTCCTTCCCTTGGGTCTACCCCATGACGTTCTGCAGCTTTACAAGGTCCCACCTCACCCTGCGGGTCCCAGGAGCTTCATCCAGCAGGTAAAGTGGAAGGGTCCACAGATGGACGAACCTGACGAGGAATTCCATTCTAGCACTTGTGAGCATGTGTCTTTGCACCAGTCATGTCTTCTATTTTTTTTTTTTTTGAGATAGAGTCTCACTGTGTTCCAGCCTCTGGAGTAGCTGGGACTACAGGCACACACCACATACCCAGGTAATTTTTTTCATATTTTTAGTAGAAACGGGGTTTTGCCATGTTGGCCAGGCTGGTCTTGAACTCCCAACCTCAGATGACCTGCCTGCTTCGGCCTCCCAAAGGGCTGGGATGACAGGCCTCTGAGGCTGGAGTACAGTGGTGTGATCTCAGCTCACTGCAACCTCCGCCTCCCGAGTTCAAGCAATCCTCTTGCTTCAGCCCCGAGTAGCTGTAATTACTGGCGTGCGCCACCACACCCAACTCATGTTTGTATTTTTAGTAGAGATGGGGTTTCACTGTGTTGGCCAGGCTGGTCTTGAACTCCTGACCTCAAGTGATCCAGCCGCCCCTGCCTTCCAAAGTGCTGGGATTACATGCGGGAGCCACCCGGCCCAGCCCGTCTTCTATTTAAGCCTCATTTTCCTCATTAAGTCATCATTACCTCTTTCTCCTCACACATACACACATAGTGAAATTCAAAGTCTCACTATTTTTTTTTCTTTTTCTTTTTCTTTTTTTTTTTTTTTGAGACGGAGTCTCACTCTGTCGCTCAGGCTGGAGTGCAGTGGCGCGATCTCAGCTCACTGCAAGCTCCGTCTCCCGGGTTCACGCCATTCTCCTGCCTCAGCCTCTTGTGTAGCTGGGACTACAGGCGCCCGCCACCACGCCCGGATAATTTTTGTATTTTTTTTTAGTAGAGACAGGGTTTCACCGTGTTAGCCAGGATGGTCTTGATCTCCTGACCTCATGACCCACCTGCCTCGGTTTCCCAAAGTGCTGGGATTACAGGCGTGAGCCACCGCGCCGGGCCTCACTCCTGTAATCCTAGCCGTGCGCCCCAGGCCCATCCCACCGTCATCTTCCAAACATCATTTTCAACCCTCCTGGCCTCATAGTTATTATTGTATTACCCCAGTTATCTTCCTGCCCCAGGGCACAGGCAGATGCCATTTCATTCTCTCCAGAGCCTCCTTTCTCCTGACAGCCACATGATTAACTCAAGTCTGAACGCATTTGCTCAGATGCCTTCTTTCTCTGTGAGGTCCATCTGGACAAACCTATTTAATATTGCTAGCTGCCATTTCAATCACTGTAAGTCTGTTCTACTTTGTCTTTTCCTTCCATAGCATCATTCCCTCCTGTGTGCTATCCTGACGTTGACCGATGGTGTGTCTCCTCCTGCTAGAATCTAAGTGCTGCAGAGTCAAGATATCTGCCTGGCTGACTGTTACAGTGTAGTTCACTGTGTATACTATGCACTTGATGAATATATATATATAATAGTTTTGTTTTTGTTTTTCTGTGAGATGGAGTCTCGCTGTGTCGTGCAGTGGAGTGGAATGCAGTGGCGCGATCTCAGCTCACTGCAACCTCTGCATCCCAGGTTCAACAATTCTCCTGCCTCAGCCTCCTGAGTAGCTGGGATTACAGGCGAGCACCACCAGGCCCGGCTAATTTTTGTATTTTTAGTAGAGATGGGGTTTCACCATGTTGGTCAGGCTGGTCTCGAATTCCTGACCTTGTGATCCAACCACCTTGGCCTCCCGAAGTGTTGGGATTACAGGTGTGAGCCATGATGCCCAGCCTAAGTTTTGTATTTTTAGTAGAGACAGGGTTTCGCCATGTTGGCCAGGCTGGTCTCAAACTCCTGACCTCAAATGATGCACCATCTCGGCCTCCCAAAGTGCTGGGATTACAGGCGTGAGCCACCACGCCTGGCCTCGATGAATATTTTGAATGAATGCCACGTTTTTAGTGTCACTGGGAGGCTCTGATCGCTCGTCTGAGCTTAGAAGGACCAGTTACTCACCAGGAAAGGTGGGGTCTTCAGGTGCAAGGCTGGTGTTCTCAATGTCGCCTGGAAAAGGAGATAAAGAAAAAAAAGTAAGGGTTTTTGGTTTCCTCCGGTCTTGCCATTCTTTTTTTTTTTTTTTTTTTTTTTGAGATGGAGTCTTGCTCTGTCGCCCAGGTTGCAGTGCGGTGGTATGATCTCGGTTCACTACAACCCCCGCCTCCCGGGTTCAAGCGATTCTCCTGCCTCAGCCTCCTGAGTAGCTGGGACTACAGGTGTCCGCCACTGCGTCTGGCTAATTTCTGTATTTTTAGTAGAGACGGGGTTTCACCGTCTTGGCCAGGCTGGTCTCGAACTCCTGACCTTGTGATCCACCCGCCTTACCATTCCTTTCTCTGCTCCCTCCTCCTTCCTGCTTCTGGTGTTCTTCCTCACATGACCAACCAGGCACCCAGGAAGTGGACGTCCCTTGGACACCCTCCCCATCACTCTCTGGGGATCCCTCAGGGCTCCAGGTAGGACATGGCGGCGAAGGGTGTGGGGAATTGAGCATTTCCTCACCTGTGACCAGGAGCTTCACTGGCTCACTGGGGAAAGACCAGGCATGGTTGTTATAGGAGCCAAAACATCGGTATGTCCCTCGGTGGGCTGTGGTCACAGGGCCCAGGGGGAACTCCGCCTGGACCTTCCCGTATCCGCGCTGTACGTGGCTGGATCTTCCCTCCTTGAGCAGTAAGAACATGCTTGTTGCAGTGTCTAGACGGCAGTAGAAGGTCACCTTCTCTCCCGAGATCACTTCGGGTCCAGGATGAACCGAGAGGGTGGGTGTGTCATACATTTCTATGAGAGAAGGTGGGGCCACCACACCAGAAACTCAGTGATGAGCAGCCAGCTATTTTTTTTTTTCTTTCTTTAGAGATGGAGTCTCTCTCTGTCGCCCAGGCTGGAGTGCAGTGACACGATCTTGGCTCACTGCAACCTCTGCCTCCCGGGTTCAAGCGTTTCTCCTGCCTCACCCTCCCAAGTAGCTGGGACTACAGGGGCCTGCCACCATGCCTGGCAGCCAGCTTTTTTTTTTTTTTTAATTATTATTTTGGTCAAATACACACAATAGAAGATTTACCGTCTAAAACCATTTTTAAAAATGATACAGGGTCTTGCTCTGTTTCCCAGGCTGGAGCGCCGTGGCACTATCTTTGCTTACTGAAGACTCGACCTCCTGGGTCAGGAGTTTGAGACCAGCCTGGTCAACATGGTGAAACCCCGTCTCTACTAAAAATGCAAAAATTAGCCGGGTGTGGTGGCACATGCCTGTAATCTCAACTACTTGGGAGGCTGAGGCAGGAGAATTGAGGCTGAGGCAGAGGTTGCAGTGAGCTGAGATTGTACCACTGCACTGCAGCGAGACTGTCTCAAAAAAAAAAAAAAAAAGCCCCGGCCAGCCGCCCCGTCCGGGAGGTTGGGGGGCAGCCCCCGCCCGGCCACTGCCCCGTCTGGGAGGTGGGGGGGCGCCTCTGCCCGGCCGCCCCGTCTGGGAAGTGAGGAGCCCCTCTGCCCGGCCGCCACCCCGTCTGGGAGGTGTACCCAACAGCTCATTGAGAATGGGCCATGATGACGATGGCGGTTTTGTCGAATAGAAAAAGGGGAAATGTGGGGAAAAGAAAGAGAGATCAGATTGTTACTGTGTCTGTGTAGAAAGAAGTAGACATAGGAGACTCCATTTTGTTCTGTACTAAGACAAATTCTTCTGCCTTGGGATGCTGTTAATCTATGACCTTACCCCCAACCCCGTGCTCTCTGAAACATGTGCTATGTCCACTCAGGGTTAAATGGATTAAGGGCGGTGCAAGATGTGCTTTGTTAAACAGATGCTTGAAGGCAGCATGCTCCTTAAGAGTCATCACCACTCCCTAATCTCAAGTACCCAGGGACACAAACACTGCGGAAGGCCGCAGGGACCTCTGCCTAGGAAAGCCAGAGACCTTTGTTCACATGTTTATCTGCTGACCTTCTCTCCACTATTGTCCTATGACCCTGCCAAATCCCCCTCTCCGAGAAACACCCAAGAATGATCAATAAATACTAAAAAAATTAAAAAAAAAAGAATAAATGAGTAGCTGTGTTCCCCTGCCAGAACCTCCAAACAAGGTCCAAAGACCCTGAGCAAATGAAAAGGCACAGACAAAAAATATATATATTTCAACACAAGTATATGACACAGAATATAGAAATAACTTTTCCTAATCAATCAAAATATAAGCAACCCAATTTAAAAATAGGCAAAAGATTTAAATAGACATTTCACAAAAGAAGATATTTGAATGGACATGAAATACTGTTGTGAGCTGCATAATGACATTTTGGCCAACAATGTACCACATATATGATGGTGGTCCCATAAGATTATAATGAAACTGAAAAATTCCTATTGCCTGATGACATCATAGCCTTCCTAGCACAAAGTATTGCTCATGTGTTTTTGGTGTTGCTGGTATAAACAAACCTAATTGTATAGCACATACAATTATGTATGTATATGTAACTATGTATAATACTTGATAATAATAATAAACAACCATATTGTTAAAAAAAAAAAAAGCTAATTTTTTTTTTTTTTTAGAAAACCACCACCTGGCTGGGTGTGATGGCTCACACCTGTAATCCCAGCACTTTGGGAGGGTGAGGCGGGCGGATCATCTGAGGTCAGGAGTTCGACACCACCCTGGCCAACATGGTGAAACCCCATCTCTACTAAAAATACAAAATGTGGCGTAGTGGTGGGTGCCTGTGATCCCAGCTACTTGGGAAGCTGAGGCTGGAGAATCACTTGAACCCAGGAGGTGGAGGTTGCAGTGACTGGAGATTGCACCACTGCACTCCAGCCTGGGTGACAAGAGCGAAACTCCGTCTCAAAACAGATAAAAAAAAAAAAAACCCACCACCTGTGATGGGTGAGGGAAGCAAAGTGTAAGCCACTGCGCCTAGCCCACAGGCATTGTTTTTGAGGACATTCCTCAGTCATACCCCTGCATACAAATATCTATCTCAGAATCTGTGTCATGGAGAAACTGACTGAGGACACATCTGCTCCTAGGACGTAGAGACACGGTCTGCAGACAACCCCTTGTAGGCAAGGATTGTGATGGGGATCACCCCTCCTTCCAGCCTCCTACCGAGACAAGCAGTGTCTGAGTGGGGCTTGGAAGAGTTCATAGATGATGCTGCATCCCGGATGCAGACTGAGATCACTCTCCAGTTAGAGAACCGGACAGTTACCTGTTACCACCAGATCCAGCAAGTTGCTGGGCTCTGACCAGAGCTCCCCAACCCGATAGATGCAGCTGTATTGCCCTGCCATGCGGGAGTTCATGTCCGGGATGTAGAATTTGACTTTGTTAATCCGCTCAGGGGGTTTTGGTCTGTCCACGGCAAAAAGGCTTCCTTCAAAGTGCAGCTGGTATTCAACAGCCCCATAATTTCCCTGGCAACAGATGGTCACTTGCTTTTCCTTTGGAACCATGAAATGGGGCTCGGCCCAGATGAACGGTTTTGGGAGAGTCTCTGGAAGGGAATCAGAGGCTGGAGTTCCAGCGGAGCCCCCTCCCCCCAACCTTAGGCTCCACCCAGCTGCTGGCCCCAAGCTCTCCTGGGAAGCCAGCACCCTGTCCCCTCTCCCCAGCCGTGCTTGGGTGGAAGGAGCTTGGCCTGAACCCGGAAGAGTGACCCTGGGCTTTGAAGGAAGGACTCACGCTGCTGGGCGCTGATCCTCTGACTCAGACACAGCCCTGGAAGACGGGAGTAATGAGACCTGTTGCCTCCCAGGCACACCGTGATCCCATTCCCCTTCCACGCCAGAACTCACCGACGCAGAGCAGGGCAGGGAGTGTGGAAGACATCGCTCAGATTCTGCCGGCCTAGTGCTGAGCAGTGGGGACTGAGCCGGGCGGGCCAGGGAGATAGATACACAGGAAGTGGTGGGTGAGCACCAGCGCCCATCACCAGAGCGCTTTCACGTTGACTGCTTTCATCAGAACGTTCACAACTCCCCTCCGCCTCTGACCATGAGCTTACAGAAAGGCCGTGGTCCCTCTGACACATCTGTGGTCTAGCCAGCAACTCTGACAATTGTCTGCTCAGCCCAAAATGCATTTCTGGGTCAACTTCTCAATTCTGCAATGTGGAGGTCGTACCCAGAGCTGACTGTGGGAAGTTGTGCCCAATCATGCCCAGAGGAAACCCCCTGAGAATCGTATAAAAACATAGGGAGTTTCACAGTGAGATACTGGAACAGGAATTAAAAGAAATTACAGAATGTGTAAACAAAAACTCAGTTGTATTTAAGAAAACCCAGTTCCCCCCGAGGAAGAGAAAGAGGTGGAGTCCTTTAAACATGAACTGCCTGTTTTTCTGTCTGTGGCTAGTGAGCCTTATCTCTCCCTTTCCCAGGCATTGTGAAGACCCTGTTTCTCTTGCCGTGCGGCTGCAAGGTCACTAGACAGGATAACCTCAAGTCGTAAAACATATTTTTCTTGAAAAGTAAGGAATAATGTGATACATGTCTCAATTGAATAACTGCCTTTGTTTCTTGCTTCTGTAATATGCTTCCCCCTGCACAGATCTCCCCCAACCCCACAAAATGCTTAAAAGGTAACCGGACTCTCTGTTCGAGCCTCAGTCTTTTTGGATGTTAATCTGACTGGGGCCGGTGCACCTAAATAATAATAATAATAATAAATCCTCCTCAACCCCTCGGTCTCTCTGATTCCTAAATTATCCCTCAACAATACCATCTCACACCAGTCAGAATGGCCATTACTGAAAAGCCAGAAATTAACAGATGCTGGTGAGATTGTGGAGCAAAGGGGACACTTATACACTGTTGGTGGGTGTAAATTAGTTCAGCCACTGTGGAAAGCAGTTTGGTTTGGAGATATTTCAGAGAACTACAAACAGAGTTACCATTCAGCCCAGCAATCCCATCGCTGGGTATATAGCCAAAGGAAAATAAATCATTCTACCAAAAAGACACATGCACTTGTATGTTCATTGCAGCAGGATTCACAATAGTGAAGACATGGAATCCACCCAGGTCCCATCAGAGGTGGACTGGATAAAGACAATGTGATATGTATACACCACAGAACGCTATACAGCCTTGAAAAATCACAAGATTATGTCCTTTGCAGCAACATGGATGCAGCTAGAGGCCATTATCCTAAGCGAGTTAACACAGAAACAGAAAACCAAATACTGGCCAGACACGGTGGCTCACGCCTGTCATCCCAGCACTTTGGGAGGCTGAGGCAGGTGGATCACCTTAGGTCGGGAGTTCGAGACCAGCCTGACCAACATGCAGAAACCCTGTCTCTACTAAAAATTCAAAATTAGCCGGGTGTGGTGGCACATGCCTGTAGTCCCAACTACTCGGGAGGCTGAGGCAGGAGAATTGCTTGAACCTGGAAGGTGAAGGTTGCAGTGAGCCGAGATGGTGCCATTGTACTCCAGCCTGGGCAACAAGAGTGAAACTCCATCTCAAAAAAAAAAAAAAAAAAGAAAAGAAAACCAAATACCACATGTTCTCACTTATAAGTGAGAGCGCTAAACATTGGGTAAGGAGGGGAGCAAGGCTTGAAAATCTACCTATTTGGTGACTAGATCATTAATGCAAGCCTCAGCATCATGCAATATACTCATAAAAAACCTGCACATGTATCTGCTGAATCTAAAAAGATAAAAATAGGGGTTTTGACGTTGGCTTCTCTGTGTACAGTATACATATGCTTGGATAAGTTAATTGGTTTCATCAGAATGGAATGATAACACTATCTTCTTCAAAGATAGTGTTATAATGTTTCAATAAAATAAAAGTGAAAAGAAAAGCTTTTCATTTAAAGAACTTAATAAGAAAAGAAACATTTCTTTTCTTTTTCTTTTTCTTTCTTTTTTTTTTTTTTTTTGAGACAGAGTCTTGCTCTGTTGCCCAGGCTGTGGTGCAGTGGTGTGATCTCAGCTCACTGCAACCTCTGCCTTGTGGGTTCAAGCAATTCTCCTGCCTCAGCCACCTGAGTAGCTGGGACTACAGACACCCAACACCACGCCCAGCTCATTTTTGTACTTTTAGTAGAGACCGGTTTTTACCACGTTGGCCAGGATGGTCTCCAACTCCTCACCTCAAGTGAATCTTCCTGCCTCGGCCTCTCAA
Source organism: Homo sapiens (assembly GCF_000001405.40). Lineage (NCBI taxonomy): Eukaryota > Metazoa > Chordata > Mammalia > Primates > Hominidae > Homo > Homo sapiens. Next base: position 549,064 of record NW_003571055.2, on the reverse strand, counting down.
AGTGCTGGGATTACAGGTGTGAGCCACCACACCCAGCCAAGAAACATTTCTTTTAAGTAAGTAACTAACTCTCCACTTAATAAAAAAAAATTCTATGCAGAAGTTGTTAAGATCTACAGTAAGAAAAAAGAAATTCATGCATTTTATATATACACACATATATACATATATACCTTTTATATATATACACATATATACATTTATACATATATGTATACATATATACATATATGTGTATATATACTGCATAGTACCGTACATGTATATATACACATGCATATATACACATACATGTATATGCGTATATATACACATATATGTATATATACACACATGCATACATGCATATATATGTATACACACACATGTATGCGTGTATACATACATATATGTATATACATACATGTATGCGTGTATACATACATATATGTATATACATACATGTATGCGTGTATACATACATGTATGCGTGTATACATACATATACATATATGTATATACATACATGTATATATACATGTATGTATATATGCATATATGTATATACATACATGTATATATACATGTATGTATACATATACGTATATGTGTATATATGTATATACATATATATATACATGTAAGGTACTATGTAGTTTTCAGCATCCACTGGGGCCTTGGAATATATCCTGGTGGATACATGTGACTACTGTACAAGACTAGTTGTATCTTCTTGAGGCAAACAAATGTGCTAATTCTTTTTTTTTTCTCTTTAAGACGGAATCTCACTCTGTCCCTCAAGCTGGGGTGCAGTGGTGCAATCTCAGCTCACTGCAACCTTCACCTCCTGGGTTCAAGCAATTCTCCTGTTCTAGCCTCCCAAGTAGCTGGGATTACAGGCGTGTGCCACCACACTCGACTAATTTTTGTATTTTTAGTAGAGACAGGGTTTCCCCATGTTGGCCAGGCTAGTCTCGAACTCTTGACCTCAAGTGATCAGCCCACTTTAGCCTCCCAAAGTGCTGGGATTACAGGCGTGAGCCACCACACCCAGCCCGCCTCCTTCTTATTTACTGAAGATTCAGTACTCGGTGCTGGCGTTTCCCCTTACACAGCTGTCATAACTCTGGGTGTTTTCTTTATCCTTCCCCCTACGGAGCGCTTGGATGCCCTCTATGGAGGAGACTTATGTAGGCTGGATCCTCAGACCTCAGCCACCCTCTCAGCCATAACATAGTTACCTTCACCAAAGAAATATAAGAATATTGTCTTTTATTATTTTGAGCTTTTAATTTTGACATAATTCCAGACTTGCAAAAATAGTTTAAAGAATTTCTGGCCAGGTGCAGTGGCTCACACCTGTAATCCCAGCACTTTGGGAGGCCGAGGTGGGTGGATTGCTTGAGACGAGCCTGGGGGAAAAAAAAATGCAAAAATTAGCCAGGTGTGGTGCTGTGCGCCTATAGTCCCAGCTACTTGGGAGGCTGAGGTGAGAGGGTCATCTGAGCCCAGGGAGGTAGAAGCTGCAGTGAGCCATGATCGTGCCACTGCACTCTAGCCTGGGTGACAGAGTGTTACCCTGTCTATAAAAAAAAAAAAAATCTGTAATTTCTTCATCCAGATTTCCCCAAAGTTAGCATTTTACCACATTTGCTTCATCATTCAGCCTCTCTCCCTCTCCCTCTCTCCCCGAAGAAAGTGTGTCTAATTTGCATATGATGCCCTAAACCTCTAATCACTTCAGGTTATATTTCCCAAAACCAAGGACATTCTGTTATTAATGTTCAAGGTCAAGAAATAGCACTGATATGACACTATTGTCTGATCTATCCACTTTATTCAAATTTCACCACTTGTTTTACCAGTGACATATATTTGGTTTAGGATTTAATCCAAGATTACACAATTTATTTAATTGTCATGTCTCTCTTATTTGGAGATGGAATCTTGCTCTGTAGCCCAGGCTGGAGTGCAATGGTGTGATCTCAGCTCACTGCAACCTCCGCCTCCTGGGTTCAAGCAATTCTCCTGCCTCAGCTTCCTGAGTAGCTGGGATTAGAGGCACCCACAACCACGCCCAGCTAATTTTTGTATTTCTAGTAGAGATGGGGTTTCGTCAAGTTGGCCAGGCTGGTTTTGAACTCCTGAACTCAACTGATCCACCTGCCTCAGCCTCCCAAAGTGCTGGGATTAGAGGCATGAGCCACCACGCCCAGCCTCCTTTAAAAAATAAAACTATAGACTTTATTCTGATTTCACCAGTTTTTCCACTAGCATCCTTTCTTCGCTCCAGGAGCTCCAGTGATCCGCCTGCCTCAGCCTCCCACCTGCCTCGGCCTCCCAAGGTATTGGGATTACAGGTGTGAGCCATCTGGATCTATTTAATTCAGCCTTAAGCCCACACCAGCATTCCTGGGACTGTCCCCCCTCTACAGACTCTAAGCCATGTTTGAGATGATGAATTTCAAGTCGTGATTCAATCACTTAAGTGGTAAGTGACACAGAGGATATTACTAATCTTTTTTTTTTTTTTTTTTTTTTTTTGAGATGGACTCTCGCTCTGTCACCCATGCTGGAGTGCAGTGGCGCAATCTCGGCTCGCTGCAAGCTCTGCCTCCGGGGTTTATGCCATTCTCTTGCCTCAGCCTCCTGAGTGGCGCAATCTCGACTCACTGCAAGCTCTGCCTCCCGAGTTTATGCCATTCTCCTGCCTCAGCCTCCTGAGTAGCTAGGACTACAGGTGCCCACCACCACGTCCGGGTAATCTTTTTTTTTTTTTTTTTTTTTTCAAAGTAGAGATGGGGTTTCACCATGTTAGCCAGGATGGTCTCCATCTCCTGACCTCGTGATCCGCCCTTCTCGGCCTCCCAAAGTGCTGGGATTACAGGCGTGAGCCACCGCACCCGGCCTTTTTTTGGTATTTAAAAATATAACTTTATTGAGATATAATTTACATGCCATACAATTACCCATTAAAAGTGCATAATTCAATGGTTTAAATTTTGTGGTATTCACGGAGTTGGTGCAACCGTCAACACAGTCTAATTTTAGAATGTTGTCATCACTGCCCTTCAGAACCCCATGCCGACCAGCTGCCCATCACCACGATCCCCTCACTCTCCCGGCCCTAGGCAACCACTCATCTTCTGTCTCTAAACACCAGAAGGTACTTTTCAAAAATTGTGGCAAAATACACATAACATACATTTTAATATTTAAGAAGTTTTCTAAGGCCAGGTGCAGTGGGTCATGCCTGTAATCCCAGCACTTTGGGAGGCCGAGGTGTGCGGATCACCAGGTCAGGTGATCCAGACTGTCAGGCCTCTGAGCCCAAGCTAAGCCATCATATCCCCCTGTGGCCTGTATGTACACATCCAGATGGCCGGTTCCTGCCTTAACTGATGACATTCCACCACGAAAGAAATGAAAATGGCCTGTTCTTGCCTTAAGTGATGACATTATCTTATGAAATTCCTTCTCCTGGCTCATCCCGGCTCAAAAGCTCCCCTACTGAGCACCTTGTGAACCCCACTCCTGCCCGCCAGAGAACAACCCCCTTTTGACTGTAATTTTCCTTTACCTACCCAAATCCTATAAAACGGCCGCACTCCTATCTCCCTTTGCTGACTCTCTTTCTGGACTCAGCCCGCCTGCACCCAGGTGAAATAAACAGCCTTGTTGCTCACACAAATCCTGTTTGGTGGTCTCTTCACACGGACGTGAGTGAAATTTGGTGCCATAACTCGAATCAGGGGATCTTCCTTAGGAGATCAATCCCCTGTCCTCCTGCTCTTTGCTCCATGAGAAAGATCCACCTACGACCTCTCGTCCTCAGACCAACCAGCCCAAGGAACATCTCACCAATTTTAAATCCAGTAAGCAGCCTCTTTTTACTCTCTTCTCCAACCTCTCTCACTATCCCTCAACCACTTTCTCCTTTCCACTCTTCAATCTCTCCCTTCTCTTAATTTCAGTTCCTTTCCTTTTCTGGTAGAGACAGGAGACGCGCTTTATTCGTGGACCCAAAACTCCAGCACCGGTCATGGACTCGGGAAGGCAGCCTTCCCTTGGTGTTTAATCACGCGGGGACACCTCTCTGATTATTCACCCACGTTTCAGAGGTGTCTGACCACATGGGGATGCCTGCCTTGGTCCTTCACCCTTAGTGGCAAGTACTGCTTTTCTGGGGGGGCAAGAACCCCCAACTCCTTCTCTGTGTCTCTACCCCTTCTCTGCTTTTCTGGGGGGGCAAGAACCCCCCAACCCCTTCTCCTTCACCCTTAGTGGCAAGTACCGCTTTTCTAGGGGGCAAGAATCCCCCGATCCCTTATTTCTGTGCCCTGACGTCTTATCTCTGCACCCCGATCCCTTATTTCCACACCCCGACCTCTTGTCTCTGCACCCCAATCCCTTACTTCTGTGCCCTGACCCCTTTCCCGCTTTTCTGGAAGGTAAGAACCCCTGAACCCCTTCCCTCCATGTCTCTACTCTCTCTTTTCTCTGTGCTTGCCTCCTTCAGTATGGGCAACCTTCCACCCTCCATTCCTCCTTCTTCTCCCTTAGCCTGTGTTCTTAAAAACCTAAAACCTCTTCAACTCACACCTGACCTAAAACCTAAATGCCTTATTTTCTTCTGCAATGCTGCTTGACCCCAATACAAACTTGACAGTGGTTCCAAATAGCCAGAAAACGGCACTTTCAATTTTTCCATCCTACAAGATCTAAATAATTCTTGTTGTAAAATGGGCAAACGGTCTGAGGTGCCTGACATCCAGGCATTCTTTTACACATCGGTCCCTCCCTAGTCTCTATGCCCAGTGCAACTCGTCCCAAATCTTCCTTCTTTCCCTCCCGCCTGTCCCGTCAGTCCCAACCCCAAGCATCGCTGAGTCTTTCTAATCTTCCTTTTCTACAGACCCATCTGACATCTCCCCTCCTCGCCAGGCCGAGCTAGGTCCCAATTCTTCCTCAGCCTCCGCTCCTCCACCCTATAATCCTTTTATCACCTCCCCTCCTCACACCCGGTCCAGCTTACAGTTCCATTCCATGACTAGCCCTCCCCCAACTGCCCAGCAATTTCCTCTTAAAAAGGTGGCTGAAGCTAAAGGCATAGTCAAGGTTAATGCTCCTTTTTCTTTATCTGACCTCTCCCAAATCAGATAGTGTTTAGGCTCTTTTTCATCAAATTTAAAAACACAGCCCAGTTCATGGCTCATTTGGCAGCAACCCTGAGACGCTTTACAGCCCTAGACCCTAAGTCAAAAGGCCGTCTTATTCTCAATATACATTTTATTACCAAATCTGCTCCCAACATTAAATAAAGCTCCAAAAATTAAATTCTGTCCCTCAAACCCCACAACAAGACTTAATTAACCTCGCCTTCAAGGTGTACAGTAATAGAGTAGAGGCAGCCAAATAGCAACATATTTCTGAGTTGCAATTCCTTGCCTCCACTCCAGTATCCAGATGAGACAAACCCCAGCCACATCTCCAGCACACGAGAACTCCAAACGCCTGAACCGCAGCTGCCAGGGGTTCCTCCAGAACCTCTTCCCCCAGGAGCTTGCTACAAGTACTGGAAATCTGGCCACTGGGCCAAGGAATGTCCACAGCCTGGGATTCCTCCTAAGCCGCATCCCATCTGTGCGGGACCCCACTGAAAATCGGACTGTTCAACTCACCTGGCAGCCACTCCCAGAGCAGCTAGAACTCTGGCCCAAGGCTCTCTGACTCCTTCCCAGATCTTCTCGGCTTAGCAGCTGAAGACTGACACTGCCCGATCCCGATCGCCTCGGAAGCCTACAGGACCATCACAGACAGTCTAGGTAACTCTCACAGTGGAAGGTAAGCCCGTCCCCTTCTTAATCAATATGGAGGCTACCCACTCCACATTACCTTCTTTTCAAGGGCCTGTTTCCCTTGCCTCCATAACTGTTGTAGGTATTGACAGCTAGGCTTCTAAACCTCTTAAAACTCCCCAACTCTGGTGCCAACTTAGACAATACTCTTTCAAGCACTCCTTTTTAGTTATCCCCACCTGCCCAGTTCCCTTATTAGGCTGAGACACTTTAACTAAATTATCTGCTTCCCTGACTATTCCTGGACTACAGCTATATCTCATTGCTGCCCTTCTTCCCAATCCAAAGCCTCCTTTGTGTCCTCCTCTTGTATCCCCCCACCTTAACCCACAAGTATAGGATACCTCTACTCCCTCCTTGGTGACCAATCATGCACCCCTTACCATCTCATTAAAACCTAATCAACCTTACCCCGCTCAACGCCAATATCCCATCCCACAGCATGCTTTAAAAGGATTAAAGCCTGCTACAGCATGGCCTTTTAAAGCCTATAAACTCCCCTTACAATTCTCCCATTTTACCTGTCCTAAAACCAGACAAGGCTTACACATTAGTTCAGGATCTGCACCTTATCAACCAAATTGTTTTGCCTATCCACCCCGTAGTGCCAAACCCATATACTCTCCTATCCTCAATACCTGCCTCTACAACCCATTATTCTGTTCTGGATCTCAAACATGCTTTCTTTACTGTTCCTTTGCACCCTTCATCCCAGCCTCTCTTCGCTTTCACTTGGACTGACCCTGACACCGATCAAGCTCAGCAAATTACCTAGGCTGTACTGCTGCAAGGCTTCACAGACAGCCCCCATTACTTCAGTCAAGCCCAAATTTCTTCCTCCTCTGTTACCTATCTCGGCATAATTCTCATAAAAACACACGTGCTCTCCCTGCCAATCGTGTCCTAGTGATCTCTCAAACCCCAGCACCTTCTACAAAACAACAACTCCTTTCCTTCCTAGGCATGGTTAGCGTGGTCAGAACTCTTACACAAGAGCCAGGACCGCACCCTGTAGCCTTTCTGTCCAAACAACTTGATCTTACTGTTTTAGCCTAGCCCTCACGTCTGTGAGCAGCGGCTGCCGCTGCTTTAATAGTTTTAGAGGCCCTCAAAATCACAAACTATGCTCAACTCACTCTCTACAGTTCTCATAACTTCCAAAAATCTATTTTCTTCCTCACACCTGACGCATATACTTTCTGCTCCCCGGCTCCTTCAGCTGTACTCACTCTTTGTTGAGTCTCCCACAATTACCATTGTTACTGGCCCATACTTCAATCCGGCCTCCCACATTATTCCGGATACCACACCTGACCCCCATGACTGTATCTCTCTGATCCACCTGACATTCACCCCATTTCCCCACATTTCCTTCTTTCCTATTCCTCACCCTAATCACATTTAGTTTATTGATGGCAGTTCCACCAGGCCTAATCGCCACTCACCAGCAAAGGCAGGCTATGCTATAGTATCTTCCACATCTATCATTGAGGCTACCGCTCTGCCCCCTCCACTACCTCTCAGCAAGCCGAATTAGTTGCCTTAACTCAAGCCCTCACTGATGCAAAAGGACTATGCATCAATATTTATACTGACTCTAAATATGCCTTTCATATTCTGCCCCACCATGCGGTCATATGGGCTGAAAGAGGTTTCCTCACTACACAAGGGTCCTCCATCTTTAATGCCTCCTTAATAAAAACTCTGCTCAAGGCCACTTTACTCCCAGAGGAAGCTGGAGTCATTCACTGCAAAGGCCATCAAAAGTCATCAGATCCCATTGCTCTAGACAATGCCTATGCTGACAAGGTGGCTAGACAAGCAGCTAGCTTTCCAACTTCTGTCTCTCACATCTATGCTTATGCTGATAAGGTAGCTAGACAAGCAGCTAGCATGCCAATTTCTGTCCCCCACAGCCAGTTTTTCTCCTTCTCATCAGTCACTCCCACCTACTCCCCCACTGAAACTTCCACCCATCAATCTCTTCCCACACAAGGCAAATGGTTCTTAGACCAAGGAAAATACCTCCTTCCAGCCTCACAGGCCCATTCTATTCGGTCGATATTTCATAGCCTCTTCCATGTAGGTTACAAGCTGCTAGCCCATCTCTTAGAACCTCTCATTTCCTTTCCATCCTGGAAATCTATCCTCAAGGAAACCACTTCTCAGTGTTCCATCTGCTATTCTACTACCCCTCAGGGATTGCTCAGGTCCCCTCCCTTCCCTACACATCAGGCTCGGGGATTTGCCCCCGCCTAGGACTGGCAAATTGACTTCACTCACATGCCCTGAGTCAGGAAACTAAAATACCTCTTGGTCTGGGTAGACACTTTCACTGGATGGGTAGAGGCCTTTCCCACAGGGTCTGAGAAGGCCACCGAGGTCATTTCTTCCCTCCTGTCAGACATAATTCCACAGTTTGGCCTTCCCACCTCTATACAGTCTGATAGCAGACCGGCCTTTATTAGTCAAATCAGCCAAGCAGTTTTTCAGGCTCTTGGTATTCAGTGAAACCTTTATATCCCTTACAGTCCTCAGTCTTCAGGAAAGGTAGAACGGACTAATGGTCTATTAAAAACACACCTCACCAAGCTCAGCCACCAACTTAAAAAAGACTGGACAATACTTTTACCACTTTCTTTTCTCAGAATTCAGGCCTGTCCTCAGAATGCTACAAGGTACAGCACATTTGAGCTCCTGTATAGACACTCCTTTTTATTAAGCCCCAGTCTCATTCCAGACACCAGACCAACTTAGATTGTGCCCCAAAAAACTTGTCATCCCTACTATCTTCTGTCTAGTCATACTCCTATTCACCATTCTCAACTACTCACACATGCCCTGCTCTTGTTTACACTGCTGGTTTACACTGTTTTTCCAAGCCATCACAGCTGATATCTCCTGGTGCTATCCCCAAACCACCACTCTTAACTCTTGAAGTAAATAAATAATCTTTGCTGGCAAGGCTATGCTGAACCTCCTTAGGCACTCTCTAATTAGATGTCCTAGGTCCTCCCAATTCTTAGACCTTTAATACCTGTTTTTCTCCTTTCCTTATTCCATTTAGTTTTTCAATTCATACAAAACTGCATCCAGGCCATCACCAGTAATTCTAAATGAAAAATGTTTCTTCTAACAATCCCACAATATCACCCCTTACCACAAAATCTTCCTTCAGCTTAATCGCTCCCACTCTAGGTTCCCACGCCGCCCCTAATCCCGCTCGAAGCAGCCCTGAGAAACATCGCCCATTATCTCTCCATACCACCCCCCAAAATTTTCGCCATCCCAACACTTTACCACTATTTCGTTTTATTTTTCTTATTAATATAAGAAGACAGGAATGTCAGGCCTCTGAGCCCAAGCTAAGCCATCATATCCCCTGTGACCTGCACGTACACATCCAGATGGCCAGTTCCTGCCTTAACTGATGACATTGTCTTGTGAAATTCCTTCTTCTGGTTCATCCTGACTCAAAAGCTCCCCTACTGAGCACCTTGTGACCCCCCACTCCTGCCCACCAAAGAACAACCCCCCTTTGACTGTAATTTTCCTTTACCTACCCAAATCCTATAAAACGGCCCCACCCCTATCCCCCTTCGCTGACTCTCTTGTCGGACTCAGCCTGCCTGCACCCAGGTGAAATAAACAGCCTTGCTGCTCACACAGAGCCTGTTTGGTGGTCTCTTCACACGGACGCGCATGAAACAGACCAGCCTAGCCAACATGGTGAAACCCCGTCTCCACGAAAATACAAGAAATTAGCCGGGCGTGGCGGTGCGCACCTGTAGTTCCAGCTACTCGGGAGGCTGAGGCAGGGGAATCACTTGAACCTGGGAGGCGGAGATTGCAGTGAGCCCAGATCACACCAGCGTAGCGACAGAGTGAAACTCTGTCTCAAAAAAAAAAAAAAAAGAAAAAGAAGTTTTCTAAGGCCAGGCGCAGTGGCTCATGCCTGTAATCCAAGCACTTTTGGGAGGCTGAGGCGGGCAGATCACCTGAGGCCGGGAGTTCGAGACCGGCCTGACCAACATGGTGAAACCCTGTCTCTACTAAAAATACAAAAATGAGCTGGGCGTGGCGGCGGGTGCCTGTAATCCCAGCTTCTTGGGTGCGGGGGGGATCTGTTCTGCAGATCCCAGCTGTACGACAGATGAGACACGTCCTCAGACACCAATATTCAGTGAAAGAGCAGGCCAGGGGGCTGCCGGCACTAGGAGCCAAAGAGAGTGCAGCCCCTCTAAGCTGGCAACGCTTGCATTTATTTAGCACAGATTTAATTAACAAAGGCTTTGAGTCAACACACCTGTGGGTAATTAACCTGGTCACCGCCCCCCGCCACCTCCCTGGAGAGGGCCATCTTGCCCGAGAATGATCAAAGGTTGATTTTAGGACCATATGACTAAGCAAGCTATTTAGATAAAATACTCCGCATTCCTTTCTATCTGCGCCCTAAGCTGTTTGGCTCCTGAAAAGAGAATCTGGCTGCTTTCAGCCAAACTATCTGAAGCTATGCCAACCTCCCTGGCCTTCCAAGAAGGTTTGCTGCTTCCTATTCCTATAATTTCTTCTGCTACTCTGACTGATCTCCCACACTTGGGAGGTTGAGGCAGGAGAATCCCTTGAACCAGGGAGGCAGAGGTTGCAGTGAGCCGAGATCACACTACTGCACTCCAACTTGGGTGACAAGAGCGAGACTCCATCTCAGAAAAAAAAGTTAAAAAAAAATTGTAGGCCAGGCGTGGTGGCTCACGCCTGTGATCCCAGCACTTTGGGAGGCCAAGGCGGGTGGATCACCTGAGGTCCAGAGTTCGAGACCAGCCTGACCAACATGGAGAAACCCCGTCTCTTCTAAAAATATAAAATTAGCCAGGCGTGGTGGCGCATGCCTGTAATCCCAGCTGCTCTGGAGGCTGAGGCAGGAGAATGGCTTGAGCCCAGGAGGCGGAGGTTGCGGTGAGCCGAGACCGCGCCATTGCACTCCAGCCTGGGCAACAAGAGTGAGACTCTGTCTCAAAAAAAAAAAAAAAAAAAATTGTAGTAAAAACATAACATACAATTTACCATCTTAGCCATTGTAAGTGTACAGTATAGCAGTGTTAAATGTATTCACGGTGTTTTGAAACAGATCTCCAGAATATTTTCATCTTGTAAAACTGAAACTCTATGCCTAAAAGAGGAATCGTTCAACACATAGAAGTTTTATTTCAACCATTTTTGTTGTTGTTGTTGAGATGGAGTCTTGCTCTGTCACCAAGGCTGGAGTGCGGTGGTACGATCTTGGCTCACTGCAACCTCCGCCTCCTGGGTTCAAGCCATTCTCCTGCCTCAGCCTCCTCAGTAGCTGGTAATGCAGGTGCGTGCCACCACACCTGGCTAATTTTTGTATTTTTAGTAGAGACGGGGTTTTGCCATGTTGGCCAGGCTGGTCTCGAACTCCTGGCCTCGTGATCTGCCTGCCTTAGCCTCCCAAAGTGCTGGGATTTCAGGTGTGAGCCACTGCGCTCAGCCTGGGAAATGTATACTTCAGAGATTGTTGGATTTTCAGGGCCTTCTGTGGCTTGACGTCATCTGGAAAAGTGTGGTCATTGGGAAGATATTACTTTGATTGGTTGTCACTCATGCTTGGGTGTTTACTGAAATGAGTCTGATTGGATGACTTTTAGAAGCAAGGAGCTGCCTGACTGATGGTAACATAACAATATAAAACGTATGGAGTGGCCGGGCTTTGTGGCTCACTCCTGTAATCCCAGCACTTTGAGAGGCTGAGGCAGGCAGATCACCCTGAGGTCAGAAGTTTGTGACCAGCTTGGCCAACATGGCGAAACCCGTCTGTACTAAAAATACAAAAATTATCTGCGTGTGGTGGCAGGTGCCTATAATCCCAGCTACTGGGGAGGCTGAGGCAGGAGAATTGCTGAACCCGGGAAAGAGAGGTTGCAGGGAGCCGAGGTCACGTCACTGCTCCCCAGCCTGGGTGACAGAGCAAGACCCCGTCTCAAAAAAAAAAAAAAAAAAAAAAGAGCATCTTCACAGAGATGAGTTGTCATTGATGATGGGTTAAAAATCAGTTTTGGTGGCTACTTGTTACTGTGGTTACAGGACAATAAAATACTTTTCTGAAGAGCTCAGGAACTTTATTATTCTGAAAACGCTTTTTCCAAACAAGGTCCTTCTGTCAGCAAAACGACTTATATGAGTTTAATCTTATCCATCTCTGGGAATCTAGCCCCATTGTGTCTCTGTAATCCAAGTCCTGGACCTGACGTAAAGTCCCTCAACCCCCTTCATCCAAAATTGTGGCACTTTCCCTTTATTTATTTATTTATTATTTATTTGTTTGTTTACTTTTGAGACGGAGTCTCGCTCTGTGGCCCAGGCTGGAGTGTAGTGGCGTGATCTCAGCTCATTGCAAGCCCCGCCTCCCAGGTTCACGCCATTCTCCTGCCTCAGCCCCTGGAGTAGCTGGGACTACAGGCACCTGCCACCACACCTGGTGAAAAAAATCAGAACAAACTGAAGATATGGGCCAGAACTTGTATAAAGTGTGAAAAGCAGTCAATAAAGAAAGTTAGAAATACTTTGCATTTTTTTTTTAATCACAGGACCTGAGTTAAGCCAAGAATACAGTAGAAATTTTATCAAGTAGAGATAAGCTCTCAGTAAAGGATAAAAGTGGGCCTAAGTCCCTTCAGTTTCACTGGAAGTAGGACCCTTACATTTTATAATTATATTTTCATACATAAGCTACTGGACAATGAAGTAAATAGCAATCAGTGAAAGAGCCACATATGACCAACTTAGATTTCCTTGAGTAAAGTCTGTCAAGGGTAAAGCTGTGAAAGTTTATAAGAAAAAAGAATGGGGAATTATTTGGAAGACCATTTGAGTTTTGTACACAAGAATTTAATGTTTGCACACTTGATAATATATGTGAATATCATCAAAACTAAGTGAAAAAATAAATTAATGAGGTGAAACACATGCCTGTATTCCTTGTATGAAAATCCGGTAGAAATAGGGTTTGTGAAATAAATAGGGTAATCCTCCTGTAGGATTATGACTTTCACTCTTATCAATTTGTAGATGAACACAGCAGGAGGCTGAGGTAGGAGGATTGCTTGAGACCAGGAGTTCAAGACCAGCTTAGGCAACATAGGGAGAGCCTCACTTCAACAAAAAAAAATAAAGGAGGGGGGTTATTGAATATATTTGGCATGCTTACCAACCATTTATATTTGGGGAAGACACATTTAAAAATATAAAAAGAAGGCTGGGCGCAGTGGCTCACATCTGTAATCCCAGCACTTTGGGAGGCCGAGGCGGGCAGATCACGAGGTCAGAAGTTTGAGACCAGCTTGGCCAATGTGATGAAACCCCGTCTCTACTAAAAATACTGTAAAAGTAGCTGGGCGTGATGGTGGGAGCCTGTAATCCCAGCTACTTGGGAGGCCGAGGCAGGAGAATCACTTGAACCCAGGAGGCAGAGGTTGCAGTGAGCCGAGATCGTGCCACTGCACTCCAGCCTGGGCAACAGAGTGAGACTCTGTCTCAAATAAAAATAAAAATAAAAATAAATAAAATAAATAAAAAAAGAGAAGAACAATGAAGGAAGAAATTAAACAGGATATAAAAAATCAGAAGACAGATAAGATGGAAAACCATAACTTATGTGCAGAAAGGTGGGTGCAAATCGATCAGTCCTGCATAAGAAAACACCATTTGATTGGTTTGAACATGCATCTGGCCAGGCGTGGTGGCTCATGCCTATAATCTCAGCACTTTGGGAGGCCAAGGTGGGTGGATCACCTGAGGTCAGGAGTTCGAGACCAGCCTGGCCAACACAGTGAAACCCCATCTCTACTAAAAATACAAAAATTAGCTGGGTGCAGTGGTATGTGCCTGTAATTCCAGCTACTTGGGAGGCTGAGGCACAAGAATCACTTGAACCCAAGAGGTTCAATGAGCCGAGATTGCTCCACTGCACTCCAGCCTGGGTGACAGAGCCAGACTCTGTCTCAAAAAAAAAAAAAAGTAGATTCAAGCTTCTTAGTGAGCTTTTCTCTCTTGTGTCCTTCAAGTAGCTTTGTCGGACTCCACAGTCCTGGCTCCTCTCTGCCTTCACCTCCAGGTGTTTACTTGCAGACACTTGGTGTTCGTGCAAAGGTCAATCCTGGCTGACACATCTGTTGGCTCCAGCTCGGTTCAGCCACATCTGCCGAGGCTTCCTTGTTCAGTGCCGTATGGCTGTGCCAATTTTCAACCAGTATGGCCAAGAGAGCCACGAGGACCAGTCCTGCCACGGCCATGCGGATCAAGTTCTGCGTCGTGTAATCTTGGTGGATGGAGTCTGGAGACACAATTCAAGGAGATGAATGGTTGGTGGTTGTGTTCCATTCCATCCCAACCCCAGAGCCCTGAAACGGGAGCTCATTTTCCTTTTCGCTTGCCAAAATGGGACTCCCTCAAGCATCCCCTCAATGAGCTCATGCTTCGCCAGCACCACACTGATCAGTCAGCAAGACTGTGTTCACGGGCAAGGAACTGTGCTTCCCAGGGAAGTGCTATAAACTGGGAAGGAGGTGATTATGGGCAGGTTGTGTGTGTTTTTTTTTTTTTTTTTTTTTGAGATGGAGTCTCACTCTGTTGCCCAGGCTGGAGTGCAGTGGCGTGATCTCGGCTCACTGCAACCTCCGCCTCCCTGGTCAAGTGATTCTCCTGCCTCAGCCTCCCAAGTAGCTGGGATTACAGGCGCCCACCACCACCACGCCTGGTTAATTTTTGTATTTTTAGTGGAGATGGGGTTTCACTATGTTGGCCAGGCTGGTCTCAAACTCCCGACCTCAGGTGATCCACCTGCCTCAGCCTCCCAATGTGCTCAGATTACAGGCGTGAGCCATCGTGCCCAGCCGTGTTTTTTTTTTTTTTCTTGAGGTGGAGTCTCGTTCTGTCACCCAGGCTGGAGTGCAATGGCGTGATCTTGGCTCACTGCAACAGCTGCCTCCTGGGTTCAAGTGATTCTCCTGCCTCAGCCTCCTGAGTAGCTGGGACGACAGGCTCACGCCACCACGCCCGGCCAGGCAGGTTGTGTTTTCTTTTCATTCTCTCCTCACTTGGTGAATTCACTAAATACCTAATCACATCTCTACAACACCAGAACAAGGTGGAATCCTAATAAGAATGTGTGCAGCCTGGCCAGGCGCGGTGGCTCACGCCTGTAATCCCAGCACTTTGGGAGGCCGAGGCAGGTGGATCACCTGAGGTCGGGAGTTCGAGACCAGCCTGGCCAACATGGTGAAACCCTGTCTGTGTGGTCCCAGCTACTCAGGAGGCTGAGGCAGGAGAATTGCTTGAACCTGGGAGGCGAAGGTTGCAGTGAGTCGAGATCGTGCCACTGCACTCCAGCCTTGGCGAAAGAGCAAGACTCTATCCCGGAAAATAAAATGAAATAAATAAAATGAAACAAACTGAGTTAGCCCTTCTGTTCTCCACAGACTAAGTTTTCAATGAACCCTGTCTGGAGAACTCTAGCGAGGAAGTGAAAGCGGAAAGTGTGGTGGGGAAGCCTTTCTCTCTCCACTGTCCTGGAGTGAGAGCCTTTGCCTCTCTTCACTTCACTCTCAGTGCACGTCTTCATATTCCTGCCCGGTGGCAAGGCCCTGGACAGCCAACCCAGACACAGGGCTGGACTGGGCGGTACCTACCTGTGACCACAAGCTCCAAGGCATTACTGGGGAAGGACCACAGGTAGGGGCTCCTGTTGTACCAACCGTAGCACCTGTAGATCCCTGAGACATTGAGGTCCACAGGACCCAAAGAGAAGTTGGCCGGGTGTTCCCCACTTTGGTGCTGTGGCAGAGAAAGTTCTCCCTCCTTGGCCAGTGAAAATCTATCAAATGGGATGTGTGCTGAGCTGCACGTGAGGGAAATATTCTCTCCTGGCATCAACACCAGACCCCGATCTGCAGAGAGGAAGGGTTTGCCATACAAGCCTAAGAGAGAAAAGAGTGAGCTATTAGAAAGACCTTTTCTCCTTTATTCTTTTCTTCTTATTATTATTGTTATTATTATATATTTTTTTGAGATGGAGTTTCGCTCTTATTGCCCAAGCTGGAGTGCAGTGGCGTGATCTCAGCTCACTGCAACCTCCGTCTCCCGGGTTCAAGCAATTCTCCTGCCTCAGCCTCCCGAGAAACTGGGATTACAGGTGCGTACCACCACGCCCAGCTAATTTTTGTATTTTTAGTAGAGACGGGGTCTCTCCATGTTGGTCAGGCTGGTCTCGAACTCCTGACCTCAGGTGATTTGCCCACCTTGGCCTCCCAAAGTGCTGGGATTACAGGCATGAGCAACTGTGCCCAGCCTATTATTGTTTTTTGAGATGGAGTCTCGCTCTGTCACTGAGGCTGCAGTGCAGTGGCACGATCTCAGCTCACTGCAACCTCCACCTCCGAGGTTCAAGTGAGTCTCCTGCCTCAGCCTCCCGAGTAGCTGGGATTACAGGCACCCGCCACCACGCCCAGCTAATTTTTGTATTTTTAGTAAAGATGAGGTTTCCCCATGTTGGTCAGGCTGGTCTTGAATCCCTGACCTCAGGTGATCCACCTGCCTCAGCCTCCCAAAGTGCTGGGATTACAGGCGTGAACCACAGTGCCCAGCCTCTTTTTTCTTTTTTAGAATTTATTTATTTTAGAGAGGGTCTCACTCTGCCGCCCAGGCTGAGGGCAGTGGCATAATCACGGCTCACTGCAGCCTCGACCTCCCAGGCTCAGGTGATCCTACCATCTCAGCCTCTCAAGTAACTGAGACTACAGGTGGGTGCCACCATGCCCAGCTAATTTTTTGATTTTTTGTACAGATGGGGTCTTACTATGTTGCCCAGGCTGGTCTCCTGGGCTTAAGTGATCTGCCCATCTCGGCTTCTCAAAGTGCTGGGATTACAGGCGTGAGCCACGGCGCCCAGCCTCCCAAAGTGCTGGGATTACAGGCACGAGCCACGGTGTCTGGCCACAGTTACTACTTCAGCCAGGCTTTCAACAACAGCCAGCTCAACATCCACAGTCATGTTCCCATGGACAGTTTAAACCTTTGCTATGAGGAGATGAAATGGCACTTTGCTTCTGTGGTCTTGCCTGCAATGACCCATAACTCAGTCTAGTCATGAGCAAAACATCGGACAATTTCCAGTAGTGGGAGTACCCTTGAAAATAATGGACCACTACCCTCAAAACTGACAAGGTCATGGAAAACCAGCAACATCTGAGAAGCTGTGACAGCCAAGACAAACCTAAAGATACATGACACCTGCCGGGCACGGTGGCTCACGCCTGGAATCCCAGCACTTTGGGAGGCCAGGTGCGGTGGCTCATGCCTGTAATCCCAGCATTTTCGGGGGCCGGGCGTGGTGGCTCACGCCAGTAATCCCAGCACTTTGGGAGGCCAGGCGGGCGGATCACGAGGTCAGAAGATTGAGACCATCCTGGCTAACACAGTGAAACCCTATCTCTACTAAAAATACAAAAAATTAGCCAGGCGTGGTGGCGGGCGCCTGTAGTCCCAGCTACTCGGGAGGCTGAGGCAGGAGAATGGCGTGAACCCGGGAGGTTGGAGCTTGCAGTGAGCCGAGATTGTGCCACTGCACTCCAGCCTGGGCAACACAGTGGGACTCCATCTCAAAAAAAAAAAAAAAAAAAAAAAAGATACATGACACCTGAATGCAATGTGAAATCTTTGTGTGTGTGTGTGTGTGAGATGGAGTCTCGCCCTGTCGCCCAGCCTGGAGTGCAGTGGTGTGATCTTGGCTCACTGCAACCTCTGCCTCCTGGGTTCAAGCGATTCTCCTGCCTCAGCCTCCCAAGTAGCTGGGATTACAGGCGTGTGCCACCAGGCCTGGCCAATTTTTTCCATTTTTAGTAGAGACGAGGTTTCACTGTGTTGGCCAGGCTGGTCTCGAACTCCTGACCTCAGGTGATCCACCCACCTCAGCCACCCAAAGTGTTGGGATTACAGGCGTGAGCCACCGCGCCCAGCGATTGTTGCATTTTCAGTAGAGACGGGGAATTCACCATGTTGGCCAGGCTGGTCTCGAACTCCTGACCTTGGGTGATCCACCCGCCTCGGCTTCCCTAAGTGTTGGGATTACAGGCGTGAGCCACCACTCCCAGCCGCAATGTGAAATCTTGAATGGGATCCTGGAACAGAGAAAGACTATCAGGTAAAAACTAAGAAAATGTAAATAAACTGTAGACTGTAGCTGGGAATGTGTCGATATTTGTTCATTAATGGTAAGAAATGTGCCATACTAATGTAAGATGTTAACTCTGGGGGAAGTGGGGTGCCAGATGGCTGAGAACTCTCTGAAGCAATCATCAATTTTTTTTTGTTTGTAAATCTAAAACTTCTTGAAAAATACTCTATTAAAAATAAGAAAAAAATCACACCAGGGCTGTGGACCCTGGATGTTTCCTTACCTGTCACTACCAGCTCCAGGGTGTTACTGTACCGGAACCTGTAGTGCCCTATCCTATATTGGCACTGATAGCGCCCTGCCTTGTTTGCGTCCATGTGGTCAATGACGAACTCAGGATCAGTCTCATTCCAAAACTTCAGTCTTCTGCCTATCTCTCGGTACGTGGAGTTTTTTATGATCATCAGCTGGGTCAGGTAAGCTTCACGAATGGCCTGGCACTGGATTTTCACAGATCCATCCAAGGGAATCACAGGACTCGATTTGGCAGATATGAAAGGCATGGGAAAGTCCCCTGGAAGAAAAGAAAGCCCAGACTGAGGTGGCTTGCCATGGGGAAGCCATTCCTTTCCTTCTCTGTGGGAGAAGTAAAAATACATTAGGGTGTGAAGAACCTACCATTCTTTATTTAAAAAAAAATTTAGGCCGGGTGCGGTAGCTCACGCCTGTATTCCCAGCACTTTGGGAGGCCGAGGCGGGTGGATCACAAGGTGACGATATCAAGACCATCCTGGCTAACACGGTGAAACCCCGTGTCTACTGAAAATACAAAAAATTAGCAGGACGTGGTGGCGGGCGCGTGTAGTCCCAGCTACTCGGGAGATTGGGGCAGGAGAATGGCGTGAACCTGGGAGGCAGAGCTTGCAGTGAGCCGAGATCACACCACTGCACTCCAGCCTGGGCAAAAGAGTGAGACTTCGTCTCAACAACAACAACAAAAAAATTAAAAAAAGAGAAAAATTTAAATAATTTGTGATGCTGAGGTTTGGAGTACGATTGATCCTGTCACCCAGGTACTGAGCATAGTACCCAATAGGCAGTTTTTCAACCCCCTTTCTTCCCCCCCATCTAGTAGTCTCCAGTGTCTATGGTTGCCATCTTTATTTTTTATTGTTATTATTTTTCGAGACAGAGTCTTGTTTTGTCGCCCAGGCTGCAGTGCAGTGGTGCAATCTCAGCTCCTCCGCCTCCCGGGTTCAAGCAATTCTGCTGCCTCAGCCTTCCGAGTAGCTGGGATTACAGGTGCCCACCACCATGCCTGGATAATTTTTGTATTTTTAGTAGAAACGGGGTTTCACCATGTTGGCCAGGCTGGTCTTGAACTCCTGACTTCAAGTGATCCACCTGCCTCGGCCTCCCAAAGTGCTGGGATTACAAGCGTGAGCCACCGCACCTGGCTGCAACTGGGGTTTTTGCAGAGGCAACACTGAAGCCAGGGGGACCTCCGCAGGCATTGACCCCAGAGCAGTCGGGTGCCGTTACCACAGCCCCCGCAGAGGCCACGGGCATGGTGCGTGGGAGCAGTGAGATGGCTCCACCTGCCGTTACTCCACAAGGCTCAAGGCCAGTTTCCAGCACAGTGGCCCAGCTTCTGCCTGAACTCTGCCCGGGGTCATGGCTGCATGCTTCCCTGGAAAGCACCCAGATGGTGAAGTGGGTGACTCCACCCACCCCTGCCACTTGCAGCCAGACGGGCCAGGCTTGCTGGGTCTTCCAGCGCTGCAGACCCCCTTCTGCCTGAACTCTGTGGGGTGTGCAGCTCTGTGTTTTTCTTTTCTTTTCTTTTTTTGTTGAGATGAAGTCTCACTCTGTTGCCCAGGCTGGAGTGCAGTGGTGTGATCTTGGCTCACTGCAAGCTCCGCCTCCCGGGTTCACACCATTCTTCTGCCTCAGCCTCCCGAGTAGCTGGGACTACAGGCGCCCGCCACCACGCCTGGCTAATTTTTTTTTGTATTTTTAGTAGAGACGGGGTTTCACCATGTTATCCAGGATGGTCTCAGTCTCCTGACTTCGCAATCTGCCCATCTCGGCCTCCTAAAGTACTGGGATTACACGTGTGAGCCACCATGCCCAGTAGCTCTGTGTTCCCCTGGGAAGCACTGAGATGGCAGATCATGTGGCTCCAATCA
Organism: Homo sapiens; assembly: GCF_000001405.40. NCBI lineage: Eukaryota > Metazoa > Chordata > Mammalia > Primates > Hominidae > Homo > Homo sapiens. Next base: position 528,851 of record NW_003571055.2, on the reverse strand, counting down.
CCCTTGCTGAGAAGGACTCACCACGTTAGGTGGCGACCAAGCCGTGAGGAGCCCTCATTCTCAGAACGTTCAGAGGGGTGAAACACCTGATTTCATCAGCCTGCAGAGGTGCGGGGTGGTCCTCCCTCCATAGGGCTGGCCGGGGAAGGATACAGCCTGTCTGCCCACCATGCCCTGCCTGAGGGAGCCCCGTGGGCAGAACAATCCTAACAAAGGAAACAGTGGGTGCAGAGCCAGTGACTGTAGGAGGCTCCTCCAAGGCCCAAGAATGGACCAGGCGAGGGAGTCACCCCTCCTCACAACCACAGAGCACTACTGCCGACTTTGTCAAAATACAAGAGTTAGGGGGCCAAGGCAGGCAGATTGCTTGAGCCCAGGAGTTTGAGACCAGCCTGGTAAACATGGTGAAACCCCATCTCTACAAAAAAAAAAAAAAAATTACAAAAATTTTCTCTTTATGGTGCTGCGTGCTTGTAGTCCCAGCTACTCAGGAGGCTGAGGCAGGAGGATCACTTAGCCTGATAGGTAGAGGCTGCAGTGAGCCGAGATTGTGCCACTGTGCTCCAGCCTGGGCGACAGAACAAGACCCTGTGTCAAAAAACGAAACAAAAAACGAAACAAAACTACAAAAGAGCCTTGTGGCTAAGATCCTGTATGCTGGCCAACCCTTTTAAGTGCCACCTACTGGATCACACTTCAAAATACAACACTGAAAAATTTTGCCAGTATACAATGAAGGGAAAAATTCAGCCACAAATAAAGATCCTGTGCAGAGTCCTGGCATCTGAAAACACCCAGAAATGAAGCCAAGCGACTGTACTCAACCGACATCACAGTTAAAGGAACACCAGCCCTCACACAAGAGAAAGAATCAACACCAAGGCCGGGCGCGGTGGCTCACACCTGTAATCCCAGCACTTTGGGAGGCTGAAGTGGGCAGATCACCGGAGGTCAAGAGTTTGAGACCAGCCTGACCAACGTGACAAAACCCGGGCTCTACTAAACATACAAAAATTAGCCGGGCGTGGTGGCACACACCTGTAATCCCAGCTACTCAGGAGGCTGAGACAGGAGAATCGCTTGAACCCGGGAGGTGAAGGTTGCAGCAGTGAGCTGAGATCGTGCCACTGCACTCCAGCCTGGGCGACAGAGTAAGACTCTGCCACAAAAAAGAAAAAAAAAAGAAAAAAAAAAAAGAATCAACACAAGAACTCTGGCAACTCGATAGTTCCCCAGAAATCTGGTTCTTAGCTACATTGAGATGAATGAAACGAGGGTTATAGAATTCAGAATCTGGATGGCCAGGACGCTCTTCGAAATTGAGGAGAAATTTGAAACACAATCCAAGGGGTCCATGGTGGGGACACACTGGCTTTTTGAGTTCCCAGAATTCTTTTTCATGTGTGGGGGCCCGGTCATTATGCCACAGCCATCAGACAGAGAGGAGTCCAGTCTCTCTTCCCCGTGAGCTCCCACCCCCACTTTACCAGGCAGAGCCCCCAGCTCGGGAGTGCAGAGCAGCTGCCCCGCCCTCAGCACACTCACTGGTGGTGGCTCGTGTTTCCCTGGGGAGTGGCTCCCAGAGGCAACTGACAGCCCCTCTGCCACTGCCATGGCAAGGGTTCTGCCTCTGCTGCCCGTGATCTGGGGAAGAAGCAAGGAGCCTGGGGCCTTCATTCATGCTTCTATTTATTTATTTATTTATTTGAGACGGAGTCTCGCTCTGTCGCCCACGCTGCAGTGCAGTGGCCCGATCTCGGCTCACTGCAAGCTGCGCCTCCCGGGTTCACGCCATTCTCCTGCCTCAGCCTCATCCTCCTCCCGAGTAGCTGGGACTACAGGCGCCCGCCACCACGCCCGGCTCATTTTTTGTGTTTTCAGTAGAGACGGGGTTTCACCAGATTAGCCAGGATGGTCTCGATCTCCCGACCTCGTGATCCGCCCGCCTCGGCCTCCCAAAGTGCTGGGATTCCGGGCGTGAGTCCACCGCGCCCGGCCTTCATTCATGCTTCCAGCACACCGCAGTCGCCATACGGAGAGGAGCTCAGTCTCCTCTCCCTGTGAGCCCTCAACCCCCTGCTCTTCACCAAGCCCCAGCTTGATTCCGCGGCACAACAGCCCCACCCTCTGGCGGAGCGTTCCCAGCAGCTGTGAGTCTGCGTTTCTCTGTGGCGGAGCTCCCAGAGGCAACGGAAGGTCACTCTGCCGCTGCCACTGCGGTGGTACTGGCCTTGCTGCCCTCAGACTGGGGAAGGAGCAAAGACTCTGAGTGCTTCAACCACACCTCCAGCAAACTGCCCTAAGGAGAAGAGGCCAGTCTGTCACCCCTGTGACCCACCTGTCCCCCCTGCTCATCACTAGGCAGGGCCCCTAGCTTGGACCCACAGTGCAGTCGCCCCACTCTTGGCTCATCGCACTGATAGTGGCTCCACATCTCTCTGGGGTGGAGTTCCAAGGGACAAGTGAAAGGCCGTCTGCCACAACCGCTGCTAAGGTCCCTTCCCCTGCTGCCCCCAAGCCACGGAGGGAACATAAAGTCTGAGCTCACCCCAGAGCTGTGATGTGCAGCCTGGGAGTGCCGAGCCCAGATCTGCAGCCAGCACTTGGGTGGGAGAGGAGCCCGCACTTTCAGAGCGTGAGAGGGAGCACAGCGGCAATCATGAGGAATGACCTACTGGCCGTTGTGCTGAAGCATCATTTACCGGATTGCAGCCCAAACTTCAACACCAAAAATGCTCGCTAATATACCTCCCTGTGAAACCAAGGACAAGAATTTAGCTATAAATAAAGACCCTGTGCGAAGCCCCAGCCCTCTGAAACCATCCAGAAAAGAAGTCTACTGACTGTGCTCAAATTACATCACGGTTAAAAGAAAAAAGAAAAAAATTCAAATTGCAGCACACTCAAAGGAACATTAGCCCACATGGATGAGAAAGAACTGAGCAAGAACTCCATCAACTCAAAAAGCAACAGTGTCTTCCTTCCTCCAAATTACCACACAAGCTTCCCAGCAAGGGCTCTTTACCTGGCTGAAATGACAGAAATAGAATTCAGAATATGGATAGAAATTAAGGTCATCAAGATTCAGGAGAAAGTTGAAACCCAATGCAAGGAACCTAAAGATTACAATAAAATGACAGAGGGGCTAATCTATGAGATGGTCATTTTGAAAGAACCAAACGGATCTGATGGAGCTGAAAAACACACTACGAGATTTCATAATGCGATCACAAGTATTAATGGCAAAATAAAGCAAAATAAGGAAAGAATCTCAGAGCATGAATACTGGCTCTCTGAACTAATTCAGTCAGACAAAAATGAAGAAAAAGAATAAAAAATAATGAACAAAACCTCTAAGAAATATGGGATCATGAAAAGAGACCAAATAGCCCATTGGCATCCCCGAAAGAGATGGGGAGAAAGCAAGGAACATGGAAAACATATTTCAGTGTATTGTTCATGAAAACTTCCCCAACGTCACTAGAGAGGCCAAGAATCAAATGCAGGAAACAGAGAACCCCTGCAAAATACTACACAAGAAGAGCATCCCCAAGACACAAAATCATCAGATTCTTCAAGGTAGAAATGAAAGAAAGAAATGTCGGCCGGGCGCGGTGGCTCACGCCTGTAATCCCAGCACTTTGGGAGACCAAGGCGGGCGGATCACGAGGTCAGGAGATTGAGACCATCCTGGCTAACATGGTGAAACCCCATCTCTACTAAAAAAATATAAAAAATTAGCTGGGCGTGGTGGTGGGCACCTGTAGTCCCAGCTACTGGGGAGGCTGAGGCAGGAGAATGGCGTGAATCCGGGAGGCGGAGCTTGCAGTGAGCCGAGATCACGCCATTGCACTCCAGCCTGGCAGCCTGGGCAACAGAGCAAGACTCAGTCTCAAAAAAAAAAAAAAAATGTGAAAAGGCAGCAAAAAAGAAGGGGCAGGTCACCTACAAAGGGAATGCCATCGAGCTAACAGCAGACCTTTCAGCAGAAACTCTACAATCCAGAAGAGATTGGGGGCCTATATTTAATGTTCTTATGAAAAGAATTTCCAACCAAGAATCTCATTCCCAGCCAAACTAAGTTTCATAAGTGAAGGAGAAATAAGATCCTTTACAGACAAGCAAATGCTGAGGGAATTTATTACCATCAGGCCTGCCTTACAAGAGGTCCTAAGAGGAACGCTAAATATGGAAAGAAAAGACCATCACCAGCCAAAAGAAAACACACTTACGTACATAAACCAGTGACACTATAAAACAACCACACAAACAAGTCTGCATAATAACCAAACCAGCTAACAACATGATGACAGGAAAAAATCTGCACATGTAAATGCTAACTTTGAATGTAAATGGACTAATTGTCCTAATTAAAATGCAGAGAGTGGCAAGTTGGATAAAGAAGCAAGAGGCCAGGTGCAGTGGCTCACGCCTGTAACCCCGGCACTTTGGGAGGCTGAGGTGGGTGGATCATTTGAGGTCAGGAGTTCGACATTAGCCTGGCCAATGTGATGAAATCCCATCTCTAATAAAAAAAAAAAATAGCTGGGCGTGGTGGTACACACCTGTAATCCCAGCTATTTGGGAGGCTGAGGCAGGAGAATCATTTGAACCTGGGAGGCAGAAGTTGCAGTGAGTCAAGATCATACCACTGCACTCCAGCCTGGGTGACAGAGTGAGACTCCATCTCAAAAAAAAAAAAAAAAAAAAGCAAGACTCAACATTATGCTGCCTATAAGAAACCCATCTCATATGCAATGACATCCATAGGCTCAAAGTAAAGAAATGGAGAAAAATCTACCAAGCAAATGGAAAGCCAAAAAAAAAAAAAATGCAGGAGCTGCTATTAAAATTTCAGACAAAACAGACTTTATACCAACAAAGATCAAAAAAGGCAAAGAAGGGCATTAAATCATGGTAAAGGGTTCAATTCAACATGAAGACCATAGCAGGACAGTGGCCACGGAAGTCGGAATCTGCTAAGGAGTGTGTAATAGCCCAACTGCTGAATCAAAAAGAAAAAGAAAAAAAAAATTAAAAAAAGAGCATGAAGACCTAACTATCCTAAATATATATGCACCTAACATGGAAGCACCCGGATTCATAAAGCGTGTTCTGAGAGACCAACGAAGAGACTTAGACAACCACACAATAATAGGGGGAGACTTTAACATCCCGCCGACAGTATTAGATCATTGAGGCAAACAGAGATATTCAGGACCTGAACTCAGCAGTGGATCAAATGGACCTGACAGACATCTACAGAACTCTCCACCCCCAAAACAACAGAATCTACATTGTTTTCATTGCCTCATGGCACATACTCTAAAGTCAATCATACAATCAGACATACAGCAATCCTTAGCAGGCTGGGCGCGGTGGCTCACACCTGTAATCCCAGCACTTTGGGAAGCCAAGGCTGGCGGATCATGAGGTCAGGAGATCGAGACCATCCTGGCTAACGCAGTGAAACCCCGTCTTTACTAAAAATACAAAAAAAATTAGCCGGGCGGGGTGGCGGGCACCTGTAGTCTCAGCTACTCAGGAGGCTGAGGCAGGAGAATGGTGTGAACCCGGGAGGCGGAGCTTGCAGTGAGCCTAGATTGCGCCACTGCACTCCAGCCTGGGCGACAGAGCAAGACTCCATTTCAAAAAAAAAAAAAACAATCCTTAGCAAATCCAGAAAAGCGAAATCAGAGCACAGTGGAATAAAAATAGGAATAAATACTAAGAAAACCACTCAAAACTGTACAATGCATGGAAATTAAGCAGTCTGTTCTGGAATTTTTGGGTAAATATAGCAGAATCTCTGGGACACAGCTAAGGCAGTGTTAAGGGGGAAGTTTATAGCACTAAACTCCCACTTCAAAAAGCTAGAAAAAGTTCAAATTAACAACCTAACATCATAACAAGAGGAACTAAGAGAACCAAGAGGAAATCAACCCCAAAGCTCATAGGAAACAAGAAATAACCAAAATCAGAGCTGAGCTGAAGGAGATTGAGACACGAAAAAGCATTCAGAAGATCAGCAAATCGAGGAGTAGAATTTTTGAAAAAATTAGTAAGACAGATGACTAGTTAGACTAATAAAGAAGAAAAGAGAGATGATCCGGATAAACACAATTAGAAACAACAAAGGGTATATTACCACTCACCCCACAGAAATACAATCATCAGAGAATATTATGAACACCTCTATGCACACAAACTAGAAAATCCAGAATAAATGGAGAAATTCCTGGACACATACACCCTCCTGAGATCAAACCAAGAATAAATTGAATACATGAACAGACCAATAATGAGCTCCAAAATTGAATCAGTAATAAAAATCCTACAGACCAGAAAAAGCCCAGTACCAGACAGACTCACAGCTGAATCCCATCTGATATATAAAGAAGAGCTGGTACTATACCTACTGAAACGTTCCAAAAATATTCAGGAGGAGGAATGCCTCCCCAGCTCATTCTATGAGACCAGCATCATCTTGATGCAAAAACATGGCAGAGACACAACAAAACCAGAAAACTTCAGGACAATATCCTTGTTGAACATAAATGCAAAAATCCTCAACAAAATACTAGCAAACTATCCAGCAGCACATCAGAAAGCTAATCCACCACCATCAGGTAGGCTTTATTTCTGGGATGCAAGGTTGATTCGATATAGGAGTCTCGCTCTGTTGCCCAGGCTGGAGTGTAGTGGCGTGAACTTGGCTCACTGCAAGCTCCGCCTCCTGGATTCACGCCATTCTCCTGCCTGAGCCTCCCGAGCAGCTGGGACTACAGGTGCCCACCACCACGCCTGGCTAATTTTTTTGTGTTTTTTAGTATAGACGAGGTTTCACCGTGTTAGCCAGGATGGTGTCGATCTCCTGACCTCATGATCCACAAGCCTTGGCTTCCCAAAGTGCTGGGATTACAGGCATGAGCCACAGTGCCCGGCCAATATACACAAATCTTAAATATGATTCATCACATAAATAGAACAACCCTCCCCACACACATAATCCTCTCAATAGAGCTTTTGATAAAATTCAACATCCCTTTATGCTAAAAAACCTCGACAAACTAGGCATTGAAGAAACATATTTCAAAATAATAAGAATGATGTATGACAAACTCACAGTCAACATCATATTGAATGGGCAAAAGCTGGAAGTATTCCCCTTGAAAACTGGCAAAAGACATGGATGCCGTCTCTCACTACTTCTGTTCAACATAGTACTGGAGGTCCTAGCTAGAGCAATCAGGCAAGAGAGAAATAAAAGGCATCCAAATAGGAAGAAAGGAAGTCAAACTATCCCTGTTTGCAGGTGATATGATTCTATACCTAGAAAACCACAGTCTCTGCCCAAACACTTCTTAATCTGATAAACAACTTTAGCAAAGTTCCAGGATACAAAATCAATATATAAAAATCAGTAGCATTCCTATACACCAAAAACATCTAAGCTGAGAGCCAAATCAAGAATAGAATCCATTCACAATTACTGCAAAAAGAATAAAATACCTGGGAATACAGCTAACCAGGGAGGTGAAAGATCTCTGCAAGGAGAACTACAAAACACTGGTCAAAGAAATCATAGATGACACAAACAAATGGAAAAACATTCCATGCTCATGGATAGGAAGAATGAGTATTGTTCAACACACAAATAATTCAGGCTTTAGAAGGAGCTGGAAGAGAGAAGACATGGATGGACGTGGGGCTCACACCCATTAGGAGGCTAAGGCAGTAGTAGTTGGGGTGGCAGAATATTCAGTAGTACACTAAGACTGCCTCATGCTTAGTACTGCAGTAGTACTACAGAATGCTAGAGTGTTCAGTAGGGTTAGACTATGGCAGCATCCTTTTAAATGAAGTGACGGGAGGAAGTGGGTTGCTAAAACAAAATAGAATCAGCATAAGGAAGGATATTGGGCAGATGACTCCTGACTTCCTCATTCTTGCAGTTTGAGCATTCAGTAAATTACAGATCCTTCATGGACAGTCTAACACAGGCAAGGACTAACTATAAATCCAGGCCTGAGCATTAATGAGTCTGAAGGGTTTGGAGATAACAAAGTGAGATAGAAATTATGCAAGAGAAGCACAGCAGAAACAACTAGAATGGGGACTAAAATAAGAATGGTGCTTCAGGCTATTCCTCAATTTCTTTATCCTAGAGCTCCCAAGAGGGTCTAAAGGGGCTGGGAGAGATTTACAGGACACTTACCTTCCTGTGCCTGAATCCTCTGGCCCAGACAGAGCACTGGAAGAGAGAGATTTATGAAAAATCAAGCTTCCATTTCCAACCTTTACGACAAATCACCCTCTGTAATGACAGACCAGAAAAAGACCAGTACCAGATGGATTCACAGCTCAATCCCACCAGATATATAAAGAAGAGCTGGCATTTTTTTTTTTTTTTGACACAGAGTCTCGCTGTGTCGCCCAAGCTGGAGTGCAGTGGCATGATCTTGGCTCACTGCAAGCTCTGCCTCCCAGGTTCATGCCATTCTCCTGCCTCAGCCGCACGAGTAGCTGGGACTACAGGCGCCCGCCACCACGCCTGGCTAATTTTTTTGTATTTTTAGTAGAGACAGGGTTTCACCATGTTGGCCAGGATGGTTTTGATCTCCTGACCTTGTGATCCGCCTGCCTTGGCCTCCCAAAGTGCTGGGATTGCAGGTGTGAGCCACTGCGCCCGGCCAAGAAGAGCTAGTATTATTCCTACTGAAACTATTGAAAAAAATCCTGGAGGAGGGACTCCTCCCCAACTCATTCTATGAGGCCAACATTATCCTGATAACAAAATGTGGCAGAGATACAACAAAAACAGAAAACTTCTGGATAATATCTTTGTTGAACATAAATGCAAAAATCTTCAACAAAATACTAGTAACCATATTTCTATATGGGGTTCTATCATATGTTTTCCTTCCACAACAATCACAGTTTTGAGGTTCATTCTTTATTTTTACCTTTCAGATTCCAGCCTCTAAGTCTCTCCTTGATAAGAACCTTGGGACCATCATGAATCCCAGATAACACACTATAGGTTTAATACAAATATTAAACCTTGAGCCCCACAAGCTAGCTTGGGCTTGGGTAGAGACAAAGTTATAGATACATTGACAAAGACGGCCTTTCCACTAAGGAGATCAGAATCTCCTTGGCAGCCACTAAAATCTCCTAGTCACACTGTTAAGAGACACCCTGATTATTTTGGGATTTCTCTATCTTCCCCTCTAACCCACTTTTACTCTGAAACTCACCAAGACACAGGAGGGTGGTCTGTTTGGGGTCCATCGTGCTGACACGGCCTCAGCCCCGTTGCTCTCCTTTCAATGCACATTAGCAGGATGACAGATATTCTTACGACAATAAGCTCCGCAGGAAGTATGAGGACAGAGCCCCTCGTCAGGGAATTTCCACATCTATTGCCTCACAGCAAAGTGGAACAGTTCGTTGCCGAATAACTTAGTTCCAGGTTGCTCTTGGGTGGAGCCCAAGAGAAGACATATATATGTATATTTTTTTAAATAGAGATGGGGTCTTTCTATGTTGGCCAGGGTAGTCTCTAACTTCTGGCATCAAGAAATCCTCCTGCCTAAGACCTGTATTTCTATTTATGTTTCAGATGAGAAATGAATGAGAAGTGAATTTTCATTAAGCCAGTGTCTAATGGTGTTCAAATTCATCTTTGAACCAGATGCTACATCCAAATAGACGGGCTTGGGACAGAATATAAGGTGGTGGATACCATACAGGCAGACATTGCCTTCACTGGGCCATTAGTCAAAAGCTCTGTGGCTTTGTCTGTTCTGAACCTATGTTTCATCTCTGAGATTCATGGTCTGAGTATATTTACTTGGACTTGACCAGGCATGCAGTATACCCTTATCCTGGAGATGATCTCAATGCCAGAGTGTGGAGGCATTTTCTCTGGCACTATTTGTCATCTCTAAAGAAAGAATCTACTATTTTATTATACTTTTTTGTTTATTTGTATAAATTTAAGGAGCGCAAGTGAAATTTTATTACGTGGATATTTTGTGTAGTGGTGAAGTCTGGGCTTTTAATATAATTATCCTCAAATAATGTACATTGTTGCTCATTGAGTATTTTTTTAACTTTTATTTTAGGTTCAAGGGTACATGGGAAGGTTTGTTATACAGGTAAACTTGTGTCATGGGGGTTTGTTGTACAGATTATTTCATCACCTAGGTAATAAGCTTGGTACCTAATAGTTACTTTTCCTGCTCCTTTCCCGCCTCCCACCCTCCACCCTAAAGGAGACCCCATTGTCTGTTTTTCCCTTTTTTGTGTTCATGAGTTCTATTATTTAGCTTCCACTTATAAGTGAGAACCTGCTGTATTTGGTGTTCTGTTCTTGTATAGTTTGCTAAGGATAATGGCCTCCAGCTCCATCCATGTTTCCACAAAACATATGAACTCATTCTTTTTTTATGGCTTCAAATTAATTTTATTTTTATCTTATTATTTATGTTATTTTGATTGTAGACTCCTGGCTATCACGAATTCTTCAGGTATGGAGAGTGAAATATTCCTAATTAAACCTTCTACTATTTTATTTTATTTTATTTATTCTTTTTTTTTTTTTGAGACGGAGTCTTGCTCTGTCGCCCAGGCTGGAGTGCAGTGGCGTGATCTCAGCTCACTGCAAGCTCCACTTCCCGGGTTCATGCTATTCTCCTGCCTCAGCCTCCCGAGTAGCTGGGACTACAGGCACCCGCCACCACGCCCGGCTAATTTTTTTTGTATTTTCAGTAGAAACGGGGTTTCACCGTGTTAGCCAGGATGGTCTCGATCTCCTGACCTCGTGATCCACCCACTTCGGTCCCCCAAAGTGCTGGGATTACAGGCATGAGCCACCGCGCCCCACTTTATTTTCATTTTAATACATCATAACTTAGCCCTTCCAACGCCGAAGTATTTTGAAGTCCTGAGCTTGTCCCATATTTCAGAAAGCCGATCAGCTTCCATGTTGACTGTTTCATTTGTGCAAATTTAAGTGACCTTTTGTTTTGCCACATTTTGTTAATTTCCACATACATATTTACGTTCGGGAAATTTGGAAATACTACGTTCTGGAAATTTGGTGTTGATGATTGCATGAAATTGACTGCATTCTAATTTTCTTTTTTTGTTGTTTTGTTACTTATGCCTTATTTATTCATTCCTTTGTTCTCACTTGAATGGGACTTTGGGTGAAAGACAAATAATGGCTGTACTCTTAGTTGAGTATTTAAAATGCAGAGATTGTAAAGGCAGGATGACCTAATTAAAAATACTATTGTTGGCTGGGTGCAGTAGCTCATGCCTGTAATCCCAGCACTTTGGGAGGCCAAGGCAGGTGAATCACTTGAGTTCAGGAATTTAAGACCAGCCTGGTCAATGTGGTGAAACCCAGTCTCTACTAAAAATATAAAAAATTACTTGGGTGTGGTGGCGGGTGCCTGTAATTCCAGCTACTCGGAAGGCTGAGGCAGGAGAGCCACTTGAACCCAGGAGGCAGAGGTTGCAGTGAGCCAAGATCACTGCACTCCAGCCTGGGCAACACAGAGCGAGACTGTGTCTCAAAAAAACAAAAGCTATTGTTATGGTTTACAAATGACGTGGCTTTCTATTGGGAGAGAGATACTTACTAATTGTTGAATTTCAGGAACTTCAGTGGCCAATATTTACTAATGGGCTGGAACAGATTTTGTCAACTTACCACAACATTTGGTGTGGTTTTGTTCTTTTGTTTCCTCCTTTTGTGGAACAGGAATGGTAACGTAGCCATGGGGTGCTGAGATATTTGGTTAAACATTATTCTGTGTGTGTCTGTGGGGGTGTTGCTGAATGAGATTATCAATGGAATTAGTGTAATTTATAAAGCAGATTGCTCTCCCTAATGTGAGTCGGCCTCATTCAATCAGGTGGGACCTGAATAGAACAAAACATTGAACTGGTAATGTAAGATGAAGTTCCTTTTGCTTGGACATCAGTCTTTTCTGGCTCTTGAACTCTCACTAAAACATTGACTCTTTAGATGTTAAGCCTGCCAGCTTTTTTTGTTTGTTTGTTTTTTTGAGATAGAGTCTCACTCTGTCACCCAGGCTGGAGTGCTGTGGCATGATCTCGGCTCACTGCAACCTTCACCTCTTGGGTTCAAGCAATTCTCGTACCTCAGCCTCTGAGTAGCTGGGATTACAAGCGAATGCCACTATGCCCGGCTAATTTTTGTATTTTTAGTAAAGATGGGGTTTCACCATGTTGGCCGGGCTGGTCTTGAACTCTGACCTCAGGTGATCTGCCTGCCTTGGTCTCCCAAAGTGTTGGGATTACAGGCGTGAGCCATCATGCCCGGCATGAGCCTGCTAGCTTTTGGACTGTTACGTATACCACTAACTCTACTGGTTCTCAGACTTTTGCACGTAGACTGGAACTACACGTGGACTCCCCTGGGTCTCCAGCTTGCAGATGGCAGATCATGGGACCTGTCAGTCTACATAGTTGCATAAGCCAATATATAAATACCCTATCTGTGTATCAATCATTATATATCTGTCATTATCCAACTATATGTCTATCATTATTTGTGATATCATTATATATCTATCATTATTTGTCTATCAATCATTATCTATATATCTATCATTATTAGTGTTGATTATTTTTTTTTCTGGAGAACCCTGACTACTATAGCTTCCATGTTCCTGTCTCAACTGTCACCAGTCCCCTTAGCACAGGGCCTATCATAGCCATTCTACGGCCCAAGGAATTACAAGCCACATAACTACAGGAGTCACAGTGACCCAAGGATTTAGACGGAGACACGGAAGAATTGAGGCATCTATTGGTCTCTGCATATTTTGGGATTTGGGATTTCCCAGCAGGGAAATTTGCCTTGAATCTGTCTAACTGGTCACTAAGAGTTGATTGGTAGGTTCCATTCTCCGTGCACAGCATAAACCCTAATAAGCCCAAACTGACTGGCAGTGGAGACTCTCAACCCTCAATGGGACCAAACTGTGACTGGCAGTGGAGACTCTCAACCCTCAATGGGACCAAACTGTGACTGGCAGTGGGGACCTTCAACCCTCAGTGGGACCGAACTGTGACTGGCAGTGGGGACCTTCAACTCTCAGTGGGACTTTACAGCACTCAGCTGCACCTGTGTGGAGAATTTGTCTCAAACACCTAAGAAGGAAGGAGGCCTTTGTTTCGAGGAAGAAGAAGGGGAGCTGCTTCTCTATCCACTGACCTCAGAGGTACCGGAGAGTGTCCAGTGAGGGCCTTAACTCTCTGCAGTATTTTTTTTTTTTTTGAGATGGAGTCTCACCCTGTCGCCCAGGCTGGAGTGCAATGGCAGGATCTCGGCTCACTGCAACCTCTGCCTCCCCAGTTCAAACGATTCTCCTGTCTCAGCCTCCTGAGTATCTCAGATTTACAGGCACCTGCCACCATGCCCAGCTATTTTTTGTATTTTTAGTAGAGACAGAGTTTCACCATGTTGGCCAGGCTGATCTCGAACTCCTGACCTCGTGATCTGCCCACCTCCGCCTCCCAAAGTGCTGGGATTATAGGCGTGAGCCACTGCACCCAGCCACTCTCTGCAGTTTTAAAGGCCATTTCCATGAATTAGAGTATACTTAGGCACTGAGGTAAGCATGGCACAGCTTTCTGAAAATAAAGTTGAAACTTAGAGGTTTCTTTTAGCTTTATTGAGATATGATTGACAAATGGAAATTGTATATATTTAAGGTGTATTACACTTGATGTTTTGATGTATGTATACATGGTGACATGATCATCATAGTCAAGCTAGTTATATCCATCATCTCGCAGGGTTATTGTTTTTTTTTTTTTTTTTTTTGAGAGGAAGTCTTACTCTGTCCCCCAGGCTAGAGTGCAGTGGTGCCATCTTGGCTCACTGCAACCTCCGCTCCCAGGTTCCAGCAATTCTCGTGCCTCAGCCTCCTGAGTAGCTGGGATTACAGGCTTGTGTCACCACGCCTGGCTAATGTTTGCATTTTTAGTAGAGACAGGGTTTCACCATGTTGGCCATGCTGGTCTTGAACTCCTGACCTCAAGTGATCTGCCCGTCTTGGCCTCCCAAAGTGCTGGGATTACAGGCGTGAGCCACCGCGCCCGGCCTATGGTTTCTTTTTCTTTCTTTCTTTTTTTTTTTTTTGTGGTGAGGACCCTTAAGATCTACTCTCCCAGCCGGGCGTGGTGGCTCATGCCTGTAATCCCAGTACTTTGGGAGGCCGAGGCAGGCGGATCACGAGGTCAGGAGATCGAGACCATCCTGGCTAACACAGTGAAACCCCGTCTCTACTAAAAATACAAAAAATTAGCAGGGCGTGGTGGCGGGCGCCTGTAGTCCCAGCTACTCGGGAGGCTGAGGCAGGAGAATGGCGTGAACCCAGGAGGCGGAGCTTGCGGTGAGCCGAGATCGCGCCACTGCACTCCAGCCTGGGTGACAGAGCAAGACTCCAGCTCAAAAAAAAAAAAAAAAAAAAAATCTACTCTCCCATGCTTGCCTCGGCAGCACATATACTAAAATTGGAACGATACAGAGAAAACTAGCATGGCCCCTGCGCAAGAATGACACGCAAATTCGTGAAGTGTTCCATATTTAAAAAAAAAAATCTACTTTCCTGGTAAATTTCAAGTATAGAGTACAGTATTGTCAACCATAGTGGCAAAGCTGTACAAGAGATCTTCAGACCCATTCCTCCTGAATACCTGATAGTTTGTATCCTTTGATCAACATCTCCCAATTCCCTCCCCCACACTGTCCCTGTAGTTCTAGTGAGTTCCCCAGACTCTGATGTCTCAATTTCATTCAGTCACTTTCCTCCAGATACATCTACCCATTCCTACTGCATCTTAGTATCCTGAGCCTTGGGGGCAGTTTCTGTGCCAAGTGGAAATGTGGAAATGAGATATTACGAAGAAAAATCTTTGCCCACCTAGACAGGGATCTGATGTTTTCCAAGATGACACATGATTACATGTTGAAATGATAATATTTTGAGTCTACTTGTATAATAAAATAATATTTTGGATCTATTAGGTTAATATTTTGGGTCTGTTGGGTTAATAATATTTTGGGTCCATTGGGTTAACTTAAATTAATTTTATCTGTTTCTTGTTAGCTTTTTAATTTGGATACTAGCAAGTTTGAAAGAATGCATGTGGTTTGCATTATGTTTCTATAGGACAGAACTTACCTGTAGATGTAAGGGAGTCACAACAAAATTACAAGCATTGTTTTTGGTGGAAATGAGAAAAATGATTACAAATTTACATGGAAAAGCAAATAGCCAATAATAATAATAATGGCAATCTTAAAGAGGAAGGAGAAATTAGAGGATTCAGGCTGCCAAATTTTAAGGGGTTCTATAAGGCCACATAAAGTGCAGCATCCTCATGAGAGTGGACACAGAGAGCCACTGAGCAGAAAAGAGTGTGTAAAATACATCTGTGTACACACAGTCCTTTTATAGTTGACAGAGGCTGCCATGCGGATTAAGGTGGAATAGAATGTCTTCTCAGTAAATAACATTGGACCAGAGGGTTACAAGCAGGAAAAAATAAATCTAAGCTTATTTTCACACCATAAAAACACTGCTAATTTTTTATCTTATTATCATACATTTTGATGATTTATTTATAAAATTGATGAATGAAAATTATATACAGTAGTCCTTCACTATTCATGGGTGATTGGTTCCAGGAAACCCCCCTCCCTACCAGACACCAAAATCTGCAGATGCTCAAGCCTGTTGCATGAAATGGCACAGCGTTTGCATATAACCCATGCACATCCTCCTGTATACATGAAATCATCTCTAGATTACTTATAATTCCTGATACAGCCTACACACCACCTCACTTGTGTCCACACAATATAGTATTTTTGCTTTTTGGAACTTTGTGGATTTTTTCTCTGAATATTTTTGATTTATATTTGGTTCAATAAACACCTGTAAACCCCACAGATATGGAGGAGCGACTGTATATTTATAGTATGAAAGATGATGTGTTGACATGTGTCCCTGTGGAGATGAGACTAACAAGGCCTATGACTCTACAAATGTTTCATCTTGGAATGACTCTGCCAGCTTTCCAGGTCTGCAGAGAGTAAGAATATCACTTGTTCATGTGATTCACGATCCTTGGAACCTCCTATGTGCTGCATCTTTGGATGGAAATTGGAGTCCCAGAGACAAATGAGGCTCCACCCTGCTTCCAGAAGCTCAGAGTCCAGGGCTGAGAACCCAGTAGAGAACATATCAGGTTATATGGACATAGTAATGATAACACTGGAAACTTTTGGCGAATAAAGAGTCACATTATCGAAACCATGAGGGCAGACATGTTTATTTGAAGAGGAGAGAGCTACACTGAAGTTATAAAAAAAATTTATAAATTTTACTGATGACAGAAGGCTGAAAGATAGTCTGAGGGGAGGTGGAACAGCATGAGGGAAGGTGGAACAGCAAGTGTGTAAGTGCCGTGTTAAGAGGGAGCCTCTTGCATGTTTGGAATTGTGAGTTCCTCAGTGTGATTGCAGCCTCAAGTAGGACTAGGAAGTAAGCCAGTTAGGTTGGAGAGGTGGGCAGGGGTCAAGTGAAATAGATACTTGTGGGCTAAGCAAAGGAGTGTGTTTTCTCTGCAGCAGGCAGTGGCGACCTTAGGCATTTGTAAGCAAGAGAGAGGCATGTTCAGATTCGTGGTGTGAGGAAGAGCGATCCCCTAAGATGCAGACTGATGCCTTCAGATTCCAGCTGCTGGTTCATTGGATCTGGCAACCTGGTTTTGAGACAGGGCTGTTGTCTCCCTAGAAAACCCCCTCAAGACCTGACTGTGGTGCTCGTGGGCAGGAGACAACTTTGGATCTGGGCTCAGCATTTGGAAGTTCCGTGTACACGCTGGTATCTGTTAGGGGTGTCTTGGGCCTCTGAGAAGGGCGACTGATTTTTCTCTGTATGAAAACGCAGTGATCCAACTGTGCGTACATCACCTCCTGAGGGTCTTGTTCATCAGAGTCCTGGAGAGAGGGAAATGCTGAGTGAGGGAGGGTGCTCACATTTTTCAGGACTATTAGGGATAAGACTGTATCCGTGAGGCTGGGCCGAGGAGGACCTACCTGCCTATTCACTGTTCTGTCCCCCGCAGGCTCTTGGTCCATTACAGCAGCATCTGTAGGAGACGGAAGTCATCAAAACCGCTTGGAGGGCCCTTCTGGGTCCTCATTTCATGGGCAGACACCAACCCACAGGGGGAGGCTGTAGGTGCCTGAGGCTCTTCAGCTGCCAACATCCAGACTCAGACATTCTATCTCTCTGAGTTCAAGACCCCATCCCATGAAGTGCTCTCAATTGGCATCCCATTGATTCTGTCTCCCACTTTCTGCCTGTCATGGAAGCTTCTGGATGTCAGTGGCTGCAGGGGATGTGAGGATACAGTTCAGAACCAGGCAATGGTCTGTGAGCTGAAGGCAGGGGCAGGTTGTCTGGTGCTCTCTCTAGAAAGCCCTGCCTCTGTGGCTCCTCCCTTGGGCCAGGGACCATCCTGCCAGTGAGGAACACACACCCGCGTGCTCCCATCCTGCTTCCCCACATGGCCCTGAGCTCTCTGGCCTCTGCTTCGTGAGACTTACTCTTTTTGTTGGAGCACCAGCGATAAAGGAGAAAGAAGAGGAGGAGGATGAAGAGGAAGATGACCACTGAGGTCCCAATCAGAACATGCAGGTGTCTGCAGATACCTGGAGGAAGATGGGAATCCAATAAGAAGCTAATCATAGCAGTTCCTCTTTATGGATTGTCTCATTTCTTGATTGACAGGTAACCACATGGAACATCTCCTTAGGACAAGCAGCCTGATGGCGGGAGACCCAGCTTTCTCCTGCTTTCTCAGTTACAGCTCTCATAGAAACCATAGAACATGCTGAGGATACAGCTGCTTTAGTTTAGATGTTTGACCCTTTGAAACCTCACACTGAAATATTGAAATTTAACCCCCAGTGTGGAAGTTTGGGCCTATGGGAAGGTGTTTGAGTCATGGAGGTGGATCCATCATGAATAGATTAATGCTGCCCCACATGATGGGGTTAGCAAGTTCCCCCTCTATTAGTTCCCGGAGGGCTGGTTGTTAAAAAGAGCTTGGAAGCTCCATCGCTCGCCCTCCCCCTTGCTCCCTCTCTTGCCATGTGATCTCTGTGGTCTCTGCACAGACAGACCCTCCTTCCCTTCTGCCAGAGTGGGAGCAGCCTGAGGCCGTCACAGGAAACAGATGCTGGTGCCATGCTTCCAGTACAGCCTGCAGAACTGTGAGGCAAACAAATCTGTTTTCTCTAGAAGTTGCCCAGGCTCTGGGATGCAAGGCTGGTTCAATATATGCAAATCAATAAATGTAATCCATCATATAAACAGAACCAAAGACAAAAACCGGACGATTATCTCAATAGATGCAGAAAAGGCCTTTGACAAAATTCAACAACACTTCATGCTAAAAACTCTCAATAAATTAGGCATTGATGGGACGTATCTCAAAATAATAAGAGCCATCTATAACAAACCCACAGCCAGTATCATACTGAATGGGCAAAAACTGGAAGCATTCCCTTTGAAAACTGGCACAAGACAGGGATGCCCTCTTTCACCACTCCTATTCAACATAGTGTTGGAAGTTCTGGCCAGGGCAATTAGGCAGGAGAAGGAAATAAAGGGTATTGAATTAGGAAAAGAGGAAGTCAAATTGTCCCTGTTTGCAGATGACATGATTGTATATCTAGAAAACCCCATTGTCTCAGCCCAAAATCTCCTTAAGCTGATAAGCAGCTTCTACAAAGTCTCAGGATACAGAATCAATGTACAAAAATCACAAGCATTCTTATACACCAATAACAGACAAACAGAGAGCCAAATCATGAGTGAACTCCCATTCACAATTGCTTCAAAGAGAATAAAATACCTAGGAATCCAACTTACAAGGGATATGAAGGACCTCTTCAAGGAGAACTACAAACCACTGCTCAATGAAATAAAAGAGGATACAAACAAATGGAAGAACATTCCATGCTCATGGGTAGGAAGAATCAAGATCGTGAAAATGGCCATACTGCCCAAGGTAATTTATAGATTCAATGCCATCCCCATCAAGCTACCAATGACTTTCTTCACAGAATTGGAAAAAACTACCTTAAAGTTCATATGGAATCAAAAAAGAGCCTGCATTGCCAAGTCAATCCTAAGCCAAAAGAACAAAGCTGGAGGCATCATGCTGCCTGACTTCAAACTATACTACAAGGCTACAGTAACCAAAACAGCATGGTACTGGTACCAAAACAGAGATATAGATCAATGGAACAGAATAGAGCCCTCAGAAATAATGCCACATATCTACAACTATGTGATCTTTGACACACCTGAGAAAAACAAGCAATGGGGAAAGGATTCCCTATTTAATAAATGGTGCTGGGAAAACTGGCTAGCCATAGGTAGAAAGCTGAAACTGGATCCCTTCCTTACACCTTATACAAAAATTAATTTGAGATGGATTAAAGACTTAAACGTTAGACCTAAAACCATAAAAACCCTAGAAGAAAACCTAGGCATTACCATTCAGGACATAGGCATGGACAAGGACTTCATGTCTAAAACACCAAAAGCAACGGCAACAAAAGCCAAAATTGACAAACGGGATCTAATTAAACTAAAGAGCTTCTGCACAGCAAAAGAAACTACCATCAGAGTGAACAGACAACCTACAAAATGGGAGAAAATTTTCGCAACCTACTCATCTGACAAAGGGCTAATATCCAGAATCTACAATGAACTCAAACAAATTTACAAGAAAAAAACAAACAATCCTATCAAAAAGTGGGCAAAGGACATGAACAGACACTTCTCAAAAGAAGACATTTATGCAGCCAAAAAACACATGAAAAAATGCTCACCATGACTGGCCATCAGAGAAATGCAAATCAAAACCACAATGAGATACCATCTCACACCAGTTAGAATGGCGATCATTAAAAAGTCGGGAAACAACAGGTGCTGGAGAGGATGTGGAGAAATAGGAACACTTTTACACTGTTGGTGGGACTGTAAACTAGTTCAACCATTGTGGAAGTCAGTGTGGCGATTCCTCAGGGATCTAGAGCTTGAAATACCATTTGACCCAGCCATCCCATTACTGGGTATAAACCCAAAGGACTATAAATCATGCTGCTATAAAGACACATGGACACGTATGTTTATTGTGGCACTATTCACAATAGCAAAGACTTGGAACCAACCCAAATGTCCAACAATGATAGACTGGATGAAGAAAATGTGGCACATATACACCATGGAATACTATGCAGCCATAAAAAATGATGAGTTCATGTCCTTTGCAGGGACATGGATGAAATTGGAAATCATCATTCTCAGTAGACTATCACAAGGACAAAAATCCAAACACTGCATGTTCTCACTTATAGGTGGGAATTGAACAATGAGAACACATGGACACAGGAAGGGGAACATCACACTCTGGGGACTGTTGTTGGGTGGGGGGAGGGGGGAGGGATAGCATTAGGAGATATACCTAATGCTAAATGACGAGTTGATGGGTGCAGCACACCAGCATGGCACATGTATACATATGTAACTAACCTGCACATTGTGCACATGTACCCTAAAACTTAAAGTATAATAATAATAAAAATTTAAAAAAAAAGCTCATCAGAAGCACTATACAAAAAAAAAAAAAAAAAAAGAAGTAACCCAGGCTCAAGTGTTCTTTTATAGCAACAAAAATGGACTAAGACAGCAACGTCCTGAGATCAGGAGGAACGTCTCAGAACAGCCTGTGCTGTCTTCCTGTTCTTCCTGGAGGAGGACGTCATGCAGTGCTTTAGCTGAGTGCTTCCTGTGGCTTCAGGGTACGAAACCCAGGCTGGGCTATTTTCTGGCTTCCCCCAGATACACTGCAAATGAGGTGACTCCATATGTCCCGAGAAGCTTTTCTGAGCCTTGAGGGACTGGCTCACATTGAAATGTAGGCTTCTGTTGTCACTCGCTGCTTATCTGTTAGTAATGAACCTGCCTATGTAACGTATTCTCTGTGTGTTCTGTCTCCCTGGAGTGACGGTGAGTGATAGAAATTTGCATAGGCCCAGGTGCAGTACAGCAGGTGTTTAGAGTCTTCTCTGGAAAGACTGAACTGGGATTGATACACAGTGAATGTGCTTTACAGTTTCTACATCCACAACCCTCTTGACTCAAATTACATTCTCCAAGAAAAGGACACAAAAGTGAAATCAAGATCAAAAAAGCAAAGTAGAATTCTCTTATGTCAAACAGCCAGGAAATAATGATGAAGCCCATGTGAAACGTGCTACTCTTTGTGATCTCGCGAGACACATGTTAGGCTGCTGTTCCACCTGAGAGGCTGGGGGAAAGACCACCCCCTCCACCATCTATTGCTTCAAAACCACCTGTCCTCCTGTGAATTAGTAGGAAAGGGGAGCAGGAGCTAGTGCTGGTGCTGATCTCTGATTCCAAGATCTGAACTCACTCCAAGGAGTATTAGCGTTTACCTCCCCATGATCTATCTGTATCTCCACAGGTGATTGGAAGTAGGGGTGAGGTGGGGGATTTGGGTGAGGGGGCAAGTTTCTTGTGATGAACAGAGCACTTTCCCTATTTCAGGGCCTGTGCTGGTGGGTTCAGGGGGCTTTCATATTTTCCATATGATCTCATGTTCACAGAAAGCCAAATATGGAAGAGGTTTTAGGCTGATTTTCTAATGGATAAGATAAAGGATCAAAGAAGTAATTATAGAGAAATAGAAAAATGATGATTGGAATTCAGGTGCCTGCATCATTTGTGTATATTATTATATTTATGTATTTTTTATTTTTATTTTTTGAGCCAGAGTATCCCTGTGTAGCCCAGGCTGGTGTGCAGTGACGCGATCTCCACTCACTGCAACCTCTGCCTCCAGGGCTGAAGTCATTCTCCTGCTTCCTCCTCCAGAGTAGCTGGGATTACAGTCATGCACCACCATCATGCCTGTTTAATTTTTGTATTTTTAGTAGAGATAGGGTTTCTCCATGTTGGCCAGGCTGGTCTCGAACTCCTGACTTCATGTGATCCACCCGCGTTGGCCTCCTGAAGTGCTGGGTTACAGGCGTGAGCCACCGTTCACAGCCTTGTATATTATGCTATACTAGGTCCCTTCATTTGCACCACCCCTCATCTAGCTCTCCCTCCTCTGCCAGGTATTGATTTAGATGCAGGAGAAATAAATCTCAGAAATAAGTTAGTGAAGCGAGGATTAAACTACCAGGAAAAAATCAAACCCAGCAAGCCTTTCCAGCCAATGATTCTACCTCACAAACATATCTTATATCCATCTACTTCATTCATTTAGTGTCTAAATCAGCACCACATTTCACCAGTGGGGCGGGAATTGCCTTTTCCACGGTCTCCTAGATTCCAGTTACGCACCTGGGCCTCCCTTATTTTCATGTCAGTCATATTAATCATGTAGGGATTCCTGGTTACCCCGAGGTGAGTCCAATGGCTGTGAGTGTCAAACACACACTCCTTGTTGCTCCTTAGTTTCCTGTGTACCCAGTGTGCTCTCCGTCTCTCTACAGTCGTCTTGTCATTCTCCCCACGTCATTCCCAGCATTTGAGGCAGAGCCTCTTCCTTCAACATCAGATTATTTTCACCTTTGTGCCTTCACGGCTGACAGCTGTGTGTGCAAAATCCTTCCGCCCATCTTTCAGGGGTTCAATCCGTGTTTTTCATTAATGTCACAAATATCTGATTAGTGAGAACTTCTCTGTCACCTGAAATCATACACTCAGCATTATCTATTATTGATTTGAAAATTTGGCTTGGCCCCGTGGCTCATGCCTCTTATCCCAGCGTGTTGGGAGGCAGAGGCTATTGGATCACCTGAGGTTGGGAATTTGAGACCAGCCTGGCCAACATGGTGAAACATCCTCTCTACAGAAAATATGCAAAAAGAGTTAGCCGGGCGTGGTGGTTGTGGTCTGTAATCCCAGCTACTGGAGAGGCTGAGGGAGGAGATCCGTTCAGCCCAGGAGGTGGAGGTTGCAGTGAGCCGAGATCATGCCACCGCACTCTAGCCTGGACGACAGAGCAAGGCTCCGTCTCAATAAACAAGTAGGTAAATACATAAATAAATAGATTTCATGCACAGATGCTTCTCAATAGATCATTCATTTATTGGTCCCCTTGTGCCTACATTTTCTGCCCTCCCATTTAACCATCTGCAAGATCAGTGTCCCAAGAACAGAGGCCAAATGCATCTTGTTCACTGTTTGTGGAAGGCAGGAGAATGTTGTCCCACCCCAAAAATGTCCATGTCCTAGCCTCCATAGCTTGTGAATATGTTATTTTACATGAAAGGAGGAATGAAGATTGCAGATGGAATTATGGTTGCTAGTCAGCTGAACTTAAAAGGAGGGTATCCTGGATGATTTCCGGGAGATTATGATGGATTTTCATCTTGGTGAACCCAATAGAATCCCCAAGTTTTCAAAAGAAGGGGAAGAAGGGAGAGCAGCATTCAGAGAAAGAGGTGTGGTAAGGAAGAAGGGTCTGAGTGATGCCATGTGAGATGTGACCAGTCTTTGTGGGCTTTGAGGAAGGAGGAAGGGTACCAGGAGCCAAGGAACATGGGAGCCTCTAGAAGCTGAGAAAAGTGAGAAGCAGATTCTTGCCTGGAACCCTCAGAGGGAAGGCAGCCTTGCTGTCACCTTGATTTTAGCCCAGTGACATGCACGTCATGCTTTGAGCTACAGCACTGTAAGATAATTAAATAACCGTTTTGTTTTCACCCACGAATCTTGTGGAAATTTGTTATGGCAACAATAGGAAAAGCTTCCACACTGCACAGCCTGAGCATGGGGCTGTGGCTGAATGAGTCAGTGAGTCGAAGTGTGCGTGCATGAGCTCTGTTCTCTGTTACGGCAAGGCTCTTGCTCTGCTGAGTCAGCCAGGGTTGCCTGATGACCAACAGTAATTCATTCCTTGGCAAGTGGAACTTCTCTAAAACACCCACCCTCATCAGATGTTCCCTTCCCTTCCCTCTCTCAAGCCCCCGGGAATTTATCCTCCAGTTAGGAATGCAGGCAGAAAAAACACTGCATTTTTCCTGAGAAGGATGTCAGATTGGCAATTATTCTTCTAGCTTGTAGGAGGTCTCACCTGCAGGAAATTAAAGGTAAAGAGACTTCGCTGAGCCCTTTGGTGGCCCTAGATCCCTTTCACTGTTGGAGTGTCTGGAGTTCAGAGATGGTGGAAGACAGGCCCTCATTCACAGAGCTGGGAGGTTTGAGCCAACACTTGCATCCAAGGCTTCCACCTCCCCAGGTTTCCAAAAGCAGAGATAAGAGGGGTCCTTTACTCACCAGATTTGGAGCTTGGTTCTGTGGGTGAAGGCCAACTACTTGAAGGGTTTCCTAGAACACGGGACAGGAGAGATGTGAGGAAATGAGGGTGCTTGTCCTCTACTCAATGGAAATCTTTGAGGTTGGTTCATGGCCAACACTCTGTTATCTAATGTTGGACCCTGGGAGTCTTGGGATCCTTTTCTCCATAATTTTTGTGTGCGATGCCCACTGTCTTGAGACTTGAAGGTATAAAGAGAAAACAGGAGCATCACACTACCTGACTTAGAAATATGTTACAGAGCTGTAGTAAGCAAAACAGCATGACATTGGCATAAAGAAAGGCACATAAAAAATGGAACAGAATGGAGAACACAGATATAATCCATGCATTTACATCCAATGGCTTTCTTTTGTGTGTGTGTGATGGAATCTTGCTCTGTCATGCAGGCTGGAGTGTAGAGGTGCAATCTCAGCTCAATGCAACCTCCACTTCCTGGATTCAAGAAATTCTCTTGCTTCAAACTCCTGAGTAGTGGTATTACAGGCACTGATCACCATGCTCAGCTAATTTTTGTATTTTTAGTAGAGACGAGGTTTCACTCTGTTGGCCAGCCTGGTCTTGAACTCCTGGCTTTAGGTGATCCACCCGCCTCGGCCTCCCAAAGTGCTGGAATTGCAGGTGTGAGCCACCATGCCCAGCCCATTTAATGGACTTTGACAAAGGTGCCGAGAACTTACAATCAAGAAAGGACAGTCTTCAATAAATGGTGTGGGGAAAACTGGATATCTACATGCAGAGGAATAAAACTGCATCTATACCTGTCACCTTACACAAAAATCAAATGAAAATGGATTAAAAACATGAGTCTAAGGCCTGAACCTATGAAACATGTAGAAGAAAATAATGGGGAAGACATTTGTCTGACGAAAGACATTTTGTTTAAAACCTTCAAAACACAAGTAATCAAAGCAAAAAATAGACCATTAGGATTACATCAAACCAAGCAACTTCTGCACCACCAAAGATAAACCAACAAAGTGAAGAGACAACCCACAAAATAGGAGCAAATATTTGCAAACTATTCATCTGAGATGGGATTAATAACTGGAAATATAAGAAGCTCAAACAACTCAATAAAACAATTTAATTAAAAAACGAGCAAAAGACATGAGGAGACATTTCTCCACAAACAAAACATAGAAATGGCGATCACGTATATGAAAAAGTGCTCAGCATCACTCATCATCACAGAAATGTAAATTACAATCGCGATGAGTTTTCATCTCATCCCATTAAAATGCCTTTTAGGCCGGTGGCTCACGCCTGTAATTCCAGCACTTTGGGAGGCGGAGGTGGGCGGATCACCTGAGGTCGGGAGACCAGCCTGACCAACATGGAGAAACTCCCTCTCTACTAAACATACAAAAATTAGCTAGGCGTGGTGGCACATGCCTGTAATCCCAGCTACTTTGGAGGCTGAGGCAGGAGAATCAGTTGAACGCGGGAGGCAGAGGTTGCAGTGAGCCGAGATCACACCCTTGCACTCCAGCCTGGGCGACTATGAGTGAAACTCCATCTCAACATAAATAAATAAATAAATAAATAAAGTAAAATGGCTTTTATCTGCAAGACAGGCAAAACAAATGCTGGCAAGATGGTAGAGAAAGGAGAACCCTGGTACCCTGTTGGTAGGAATGTAAATTAGTACAACTATTATGGAGAAAAGTATGGAAAAACTTTAAAAAACTAAAAGGAGGCTGGGCATAGTGGCTTATGCCTGTAACTTCAGCACTTTGGGAAACCGAGGCAGGCACCTCACTTGAGGTCAGGAGTTTGAGAGCAGCCTGCCCAAAATTGGGATATCCCGTCTGTGCTAAAAAATACAAGAATTAGTCAGGCATGGTGGCGTGCACCTGTAATCACAGCTATTAGGGAGGCTGAGTCAGGAGAATCGTTTGAACCTAGGAAGCAGAGGTTGCAATGAGCCAAGATCGCACCACTTTGACTCCAGCTTGGACTAAGGAGGGAAACTCTTTCTCAAAAAAGAAAAAAAAAAAAGAGAACTTTCATAGTGTCCAGCAATTTCACTACTGGGTTTATATCCAAAGGAAAGGACATCAGTGTATCGAAGTGATATCTGCACTCATATGACTGTTCCAGCACTGTTCACAGTAGCCAAGATGTGGAGTCAACCTACCTGCCTATCAGTGGGTGAATGGATAGAGAACTGTAGTACACACACACGGTGGAGACTACTCATCCATAGAAACAATAACATCCTGTCATTTGCAGCCACATGGATGGAACTGGAGGTCATTACAAAGATTCCCATTTCTCACCACATGCAGGAGATAAAAGGTGGATCTCATGAAGGTAGAGAATAGAATGGTGGATACCAGAGGCCAGGAAGGGAAGGGTGGAGGGTAACAAAAAAAAGAATATAGATGTATTTATTTATTTAGAAACAGAGTCTCTCTCTGTCTCCCAGGCTGCAGTGCAGTGGCATGATCTCGGCTCAGTGCAACCTCTGCCTCCTGGCTTTAAGTGCTTCTCCTGCCTCAGCCTCCCAAGTAGCTAGGACTACAGGTGCATGCCGGCATGCTTGGCTAATTTTTCTTGTCTGTTTAGTAAAGATGAATTTCCCGCATGTTGGCCAGGCTGATCTCGAGTCCCTGATCTTAAATGATCCACCTTTCTTGGCCTCTCAAAGCGCCAAGATTACAACCGTGAACCACCACACCCAGCATATAAAGGTATTTATGACCACTAGATTTTACTTTTAAAAATGGTAAAGTTGGTAAATTATATAGTTACATTTAACCTCAATAAATATTTTTGAAAATGAAAAGAAAAGAGTGTAGGGGTTGCTGGTGATGACATCTCTCTGTGTGGGTGAGAGGCCAGGATGGGCTTCTGGGAAATGGGTAAGGTTGAGGGGCTGAGGGAACCTCTGATCTCCCCAAACTGAGCCCAGTCTCCCCTTCTCTGGGTCTGTCCTGACCGCTTTCTCCATCTGCCTGGGTGCCTGGAGCCCTGACCATGGGCCTCCATGCAGGCCATGCAAGAGGGTTTGGAGGTGCCCTGTCTGCCATCCTGCACCCTGACCCCCCCTTCACACCCAGTCTTCGTGTTCTCTCTGCATCTGTCCATGCTTCTCCCCATCATCGGCAGGAAGCTCCTCAGCTATGGCTCTAGGATCATAAGACATGGGACAGACACGGGTTTTCCTCACCTGTGACAGAAACAAGCAGTGGGTCACTTGAGTTTGACCACACGCAGGGCAGGGCACGGAAAGAGCCGAAGCATCTGTAGGTCCCTCCGTGGGTGGCAGGGCCCAGAGGAAAGTCTGCCTGGAATGTTCTGTTGACCTTGGGCACTGCACGGAGCCTACGTTCATGGGCCTCCCCTTCCCTGGACAGATGGTAGATGTCATAGGAGCTCCAGGAGCTACAGGACAAGGTCACGTTCTCTCCTGCCTGAACCGTGGGGCCCGGCTGGGCTGAGAGAGAAGGTTTCTCATATAGACCTGGAAGGAGAAGAGGCAGTTTCCTCAGGGAGGTTCTTCCTTGTCACAGCTCCCCTCATACCTGAGCTGAGAACTCACTCCCCTGCTCTATGACCTAATGCTCTCTCTCTCTCTCACCCTCCACCCCAACTCTCTTCATGTCTATTTCCTCCTTCCGCCTTCTCTGTCTCTCTAGGTCTCTGACCTCACTTCCCCACCCCTGGGTATGCTTTCCCTTTTTGGATTGTTTTATTCTCTCTGACTCTCCTTGGATTGGTTGACTTGATCTTCCTTTTTCTATAATTCTGAGTCTCTCACTTTCTGTCTTGTTCATAACTTTCTGCATATTTCTATCTATTATCTATCTATCTATTTTGTGTCTATCTACAAATTATCTGTCATCTATATCTATGTATCATTTATCTATCAATTGTCTATCTGTCTATCCATCAATCATCTATGTATTATCTGTATCTATGTATCATCTCTCTCTCTCTCTATTACCTCTCTGTCTGCCTGTCAGTCTCTATGTATCATCTATGTATCTATATATTTATATATGTGTCTTCTATCTATCTATCTTCATCATCATCATCATCATCATCTCTATGTATCATCTATCAATCATCATCTATGTATCTATAACCTATCCATTATCTATCATCTACCTATTTATCATCTATCTATATCTATCTATCCATCTATCATCTGTCTCTCTCCATCTCCTTGTCTTTCTCTGCCTCTCAGTCTCTCTAGTTCTATTTGGAATCTCTGCAATCCATCCCCACATCTTTATCTTTCTCTGTCTTTGTGCCCCTCCCTCAGGGTTCTGATTTTGGGGCTTTTCTCTCCTCCCTTCCAGCATTCTCTCCACTCCTCTGCCCTCTTTTCTTTCTTTTTGTGTGTCTGTGAGTCTCTCAATCCCCTTCCTCTGGCTCATTCTCTGTGTGTTTATGCCTTTGCTTTTTGAAGTCCCTGATTTATCTCTGTGTCTCTCAGTGATCCTATTATATGTAGGATTATTTGGAATATGAGCCTCAGAATCTAGTCTGGGGACACCAAGTACACACAGTATTTAGGGGTTGGTGTTCTGGGGCCATGATATCCTGGGATAATTATGGCTCCACTGCATGGAAGGCAGAGGTGTCAGAATAAACATGGCATCTGTAGATGCCACAAGGCCTGAGGCCACAGGGCCCAACTCAGGTCAGAAATATGGGTGTCCTTGGGTTCTCCTCGTAGAAGCACTTTGTGGAGACAAAACAGAAATGAAACTTCTAACCTGTGCCAGGTCTCTGAGCAAAGTCAGCATGGAAGGACACTTCTCTCTGGCACATGTCTGTCTGTCTGAGTGTCTCCTTTACCTCTTTCTCTCTTTTCTACTTCCCCGTATGGCCCCTGTGTCTGTCCTCTGTTATGACACCTGGTCTGTACTTATGTCTCCTGTTTCCCTGTCTCTGTTGGTACAGACCTCACCGAGTCAGTCTCTCTCCATAAGAATCTCACGCTTATCTTCCTCATGACCACCTGGGGGTTCCAAGTCCTGGATCATTCACTCTGTGTCCCAATGACAATGAGAAGAATGTCTGGACACTCTCACCTGTGATCACGATGTCCAGGGGGTCACTGGGAGCTGACAACTGATAGGGGGAGTGAGGAACAGAACCATAACATCTGTAGGTTCCTGCAAGGACAGGCATCAAGGGACCGATGGAGAAGTTGGCCTTGGAGACCCCATCATGGATCTGTCCAACGAGGCGTGAGGGGTCCTCAGAGATCCCCTCTCTGTGCAGAAAGAAGTGCTCAAACATGACATCTGACCAACATTGCAGGATGACTGTCTCTCCTGATTTCAGCAGGGGCCCTGGGTGGGCCAGGAGGGAAGGTTTTCTGTGGTTTCCTAGAAAGAGAAGTTGTGAGTTTAGAAGGCATCTCTCTTTATCATCCCATCCATGGCACCTGGAATGAGTGAGGGTTCCCCTCCCAGAGGTCTGTCTCTCTCCTCCCTCTCTGTGTCTCCGTGTCTTTTCTGTGCCCATATCCCCTGGTGCAGGTCCCTCCATTTGTCTTCCTCCCTCTTCTCTGTCCCTCTGTCTCCAGTAGCCCCTGACTCCCTTCCCACTGTGAAGAGAGCCTCATCTCTTGGGCTGTTGTATCTCTTTCCCACTAGTCTCTTTCCTGCTGTCTATGTGGGGGTGGAAGAGGACAGGCTGCATGTCCAGGCTCTCAGCAGCCTGAATCAATCTCTTTTGAACAAATTGGAGTCTCTGGCAGAGGTATCAACTCATCAGTAAGGCAGACATCAGTGTCCACACACCCTGTTCCTGATGGGGATTGGGAGCCTCTCCTGCCATGTCTGTGCCTTCTCCATGGCCCCAGCTTCCATAGGGTGGTCCCTGGTGCTGGTTCCAGGAGCATCAACCCCTTCCTATGTGGATGGAGCCTGGTGGTGGCATCAGCATCCCACCCTTGCTGATCCCACGGTAGCCAACCTTCTCCTTGTTTGGTTTCTTTAATTAATTGATTAATTAATTTATTTTTGAGACAGTCACTTTTTCACCCAGGCTGGAGTGCAGTGGTGTTGTCTTGGCTCACTGCAACCTCTGCCTCCCCGGTTCAAGTGATTCTCTTGCCTCAGCCTCCCCAGTCGTTGGATTACTCGTGCCCACCACCACACCTGGCTATCCTTGTTTGGTTTCCTAGCTTGTCCTTGACCTGGGTTCCTGTGTCGGTTTCCTGTTGCTGCTGCAGAAAATTATCACAAACATGGCAGCAGGAGAGAACACACTGACCCCTTCCACTTCTGGGGACAGAAATTGGATCCAGTTCTCCCTGTGCTGAAATCAAGGCATCTGCAGGGCTGCGTTCCCTCTGGAGACTCAGCGAATCAGTTCTCTTGACTTCTCCAGCCCTTAGAGGCCACCTGCATTCTGTGACTAGTGGCCTTCCTCCACCTTCAAAGCCCACAGTGGCTGATAGCGTCTCCCTCCCACTACACTGCTCTAATCCCCACTCCCCTCTTCCTCCACCTCTCACGCGGACCCTTGTGATTACACTGAGCCCAGCAGGACAGTCCAGGCTGTCTCCCCATCTCAAGGTCAACTCATCAACAACCTGAGCTCCACCTTCCCCTTCAGTCCCCTGCCCTATAACATAAATAGTCACAGGCTCCAGGGTTTACAATGTAGCCATCATTGGCGACAGTGATTCTTCCCACCACAGCGCCCATTTCCCCTGTATTCAATCCCCCTTGACCCCAAATACAGTTGGGGCCTGGGTGATGGGACCCTGATGGACACCCCCACCAGAAGCTCTGGGATTCAGGAGGTGGGACAGTGAGAAGCCCAGACAGAAAGCCTCTGACCTGTGACCATGATCACCAGGGGGTTGCTGGGTGTCGACCACCCAGTGAGGGAGTGTGGGCGTGAACCCCGACATCTGTAGGTCCCTGCATGTGCTGGGGTCACAGGGCCCATGATGAAGCTCTCCTGGAATATTCTGCCGTGGAAGATGGGAACGTGGCTTCTGTCTTCTTTGTACAGCATGAAATTGTTAAACCCACGACGATAGTGACACTGAAGAGCCACGTGTCCTCCTCGAGGCACCACAGTGCTGGGCCGGGCAGACAGGAAGGGTTTGTCCTGACCACCTGGGGGAGAAGGAGGCACTGCCTTAGAGAGGAGGATGTGGAGCCACCCCTCCCTCCCTGTGCTCAGAAGATTCTCCCATTTCCACTTTCTAAGGCTCCTACCACACCTGGGTGCCCAGGGCTACAGGAAGGACCCACCCCACATAGACATGGCGTCTCCCTACAACAAGTGTCAGCTGAGAACTTTGAGCAAGTGCTGAATAAGTGACTCTTACTAGATTTTAATACTGCAAAATTACTCACATAAAACAACACAAAGTAGACACGGCATGGAGGGCATGTCCTATGTGAATGGAATATCAGCCAATTCATGAACTGAGCCCCCTCAGAGGATTTGGAATGTCAGGGCCATGGCTGTGGTTTCCCCCCTCTTCTGGTAGAAAGACCGCAGCCACACTGCAGTCCCTACCGTCACGGAAACGCTGGAGGGTGTCAGTTATACCTTTGTCCTCAGAGGACCTGCTGTTCCTAGCACTGCTTCCCTCTCTTTCTCTGCTGCTGACACCACTTCCTCCCTGCACACCCCAGCTTGGAGCACCCCAGTCTCACCCCAGTCTTCACAGAGCTTGACTCAGGAAAGGGAAAGAAAGGCCGGGGAGGGCGAGGTCAGAAATGTGGGCCGAGTATCCAAGGGTCCCCTCTTCCTAGTTTATGAGAGACTCCCCGACAGGACTTCCCTCCTGTTTCAGAAAAATCCTCTTATGTGGGGAGATGACACCCTAAGGTTTGGGGAAGGACTCACCCATGAGTGGCCAGGCCCCCTGCAGCAAGAAGAACCCTGGAAAGAAAGATCATGATAGACGATCCAACTGCAGGCAAACCAGGGCACCCTGCTGCCCCCACTGCACTGTGTGTCTTGGCAGCCAGGCCCTTGCTGGGCTGAAGGTAAACTTAGCCTCCCTGCTACCTGCTGCCAAGAACAGGGCTCTCAGCTGTGGAGAGACCCAGGCTCCAGGCCCAGATCAACACTTCCTGGCCCAGATCTCCACTCCAGGCCCATATCTCCACTCCAGGCCCCTATCTCCACTCCAGGCCCATATCTCCACATCAGACCCATATCTCCACTCCAGGCCCATATCTCCACATCAGACCCATATCTCCACTCCAGGCCCAGATCTCCCCTCTAGGCCCATATCTCCACTCCAGGCCCATATCTCCACTCCAGGCCCATATCTCCACATCAGACCCATATCTCCACTCCAGGCCCATATCTCCACTCCAGGCCCAGATCTCCACCTGCAGGCCCATATCTCCACTCCAGGCCCATATCTCCACTCCAGGCCCGTATCTCCACTCCAGGCCCATATCTCCACACCCAGGCCCATATCTCCCCTCCAGGCCCATATCTCCACTCCAGGCCCATATTTACACCTCCAGGCCCATATCTCCACACCCAGGCCCATATCTCCACTCCAGGCCCATATCTCCACTCCAGGCCCATATCTTTACCTCTAGGCCGAGATCTCCATCCCCACTCTCCCTCCCTCTATTCCCTTCCAGGACTCACCAACGCACGCCATGCTGACGACAGTGAGCGACATGGTGCTGCCGGTGCAGACAGGAGGCCGCGCCCCAGCTCAGCTCAGCAGCGCACAGGATGTTATTTGGCGCCCTGCCCATGCAGTTTACATGTTGACCACATCATGGGAGGGTGACGTACGCAGGCTCTTTCTACCTTGCATGAGGCCCAGTGGGTGCTCGCTCAAGAGCGGAACATGGCTTCCTGGAAATTGTTGTGACTACAATTGCCACCTTGCATCCTTCACTATGACCAGACTCAAAAGACGTCTCAGATCCAACCTCTCACACATGAGGTGATTGAATTCTGTGCTTACATTAAAGACTTTTGATGTATTTTTGTTTTTATCTGAGATTCAAACTTTTCTTCATGTGTAATGTGCAAAATATCTAAGAGGTATTATTAACATTATCAGAGTAATTGTGACAAAAAGCCATTCTAATTTTCCTGATGAGTTTCTAGTACTAAACCTGAGGCACGAGAATTGCTTGAACCTGGGAGGCGGAGGCTGCAGTGAGCTGAGCTCAAGCCACTGAACTCCAGCTTGGGTGACAGAGGAAGAGTCTGTCTCAAGAAAGAAAAAAAAAAGCAAACTAAATAACCTATAATAACAAATCAGAGAACTCAGGTTACCAAATTTTAAGGGGTTCTATAAGTTTATATGAAATGCAGCATCCTCATGAGAGGGGATACAGAGAACCACTGGGCAGAAAACTGTGTCTAAAATACATCTGTGGATACACAGTCCCTTCATAGTTGACAAAGGCTGCCATGTAGTTTAAGGTGGAATAGAATATTTTCTCAATAAATAACACAGGACCATAGGGTTACACGTAGGAAAAAATAAATCTAAACTTATCCTCACACTATAAAAACACTTCTTATTTTTTATCTTGTTGTTGTAAACTTTTTATGCTTTATTTTTAAGATTGACAAATAAAAATTATATACTGTGGTCCTTCACTATTCCTGGGTGATTGGTTCCAGGATCCCCATTCAGATACCAAAATCTGCAGATGCTCAAGCCCCTTGCATGAAATGGCATAGCGAAGCTGGGCACCGTGGCTCACGCCTGTAATCCCAGCACTTTGGGAGGCTGAGTTGGGTAGATCACGAGGTCAGGAGTTCAAGACCAGCTGGTCCAACATTCTGAAACCCCATCTCTACTAAAAATACACACACAAAAAAATTTATCTGTGCATGGTGGCACGTGCCTGTAATCCTAGGGGAGGCTACTGGGGAGGCTGAGGGAAGACAATCGCTTGAACCTGGGAGGCGGAGGTTGCAGTGAGCTGAGATCATGCCACTGCACTCCAGCCTGGGTGAGAGAGTGAGACTGTCTCAAAAAAAAAAAATAGCATAGTAATTGCATAGAACCCATGCACATCCTCCTGTATACATGAAATCATCTCTTGATTACTTATAATTCCTGACACAGCCTACACGCCACTCAATTTGTGTCGA
This sequence comes from Homo sapiens, assembly GCF_000001405.40. Lineage (NCBI taxonomy): Eukaryota > Metazoa > Chordata > Mammalia > Primates > Hominidae > Homo > Homo sapiens. Next base: position 494,285 of record NW_003571055.2, on the reverse strand, counting down.
TTCAACATAGTTTTTTGCTTCTTGAAACTTCGGGGATTTTTTTCTGAAAACATTTTTGATTTATTGTTGGTTCAATAAACACCTGTAAACCCCACAGATATGGAGGACCGACTGTATATTTATATTATGAAAGATGATATGTTGATATGTGTCCCCGTGGAGATGAGGCTAACAAGGCCTATGACTCTACAAATGTTTCATCGTGGAATGACTCTGCCAGCTTTCCAGGTCTGCAGAGAGTAAGAATATCACTTGTTCATGTGATTCACGATCCTTGGAGCCTCCTATGTGCTGTATCTTTGGATGGAAATTGGAGTCTCAGAGACAAATCAGGCTCCATTCTGCTTCCAGAAGCTCAGAGTCCAGGGCTGAGAACCCAATGGAGAACAGATGGGGTTATGTGGACATGGTAATGATAACACCGGAAGCCTTAGGCAAGAAAAGAGTCTCGTTACCGAAACCATGAGGGCAGACATGTTTATTTGAAGGCGGGAAAACTACATTGAAATTATTTAAAAAATTTATAAGTTTTACTGCTGGCAGAAGGCTGAAAGATAGTCTGAAGGGAGGTGGAACAGCACGTGTCTAAGTGCTGTGTTAAGAGGCAGCCTCTTGTATGTTTGGAATTGTGAGTTCCTCAGTGTGATTGCAGCCTCAGGTAGACTAGGAAGTAAGCCAGTTAGGTTGGAGAGGTGGGCAGGGGTCAAGTGAAATGGAGAATTGTGGGCTAAGCAAAGGAGTGTGTTTTCTCTCCAGCAGGCAGTGGGGACCTTAGACATTTGTAAGCAAGAGAGAGGCATGTTCAGATTCGTGGTGTGAGGAAGAGCGATGCCCTAAGATGAAGACTGATGCCTTCAGATTCCAGCTGCTGGTACATGGGAGCTGGCAACCCGGTTTTGAGACAGGGCTGTTGTCTCCCTAGAAGATCCCCTCAAGGCCTGACTGTGGTGCTCGTGGACAGAAGACAACTTTGGATCTGGGCTCAGCATTTGGAAGTTCTATGTACATGCTGGTATCTGTTGGGGGTGTCTTGGGCCTCTCAGAAGGGCGAGTGATTTTTCTCTGTGTGAAAACACAGTGATCCAATTATGCGTATGACACCTCCTGATGGTCTTGTTCATCAGAATCCTGGAGAGAGGGAAATGCTGAGTGAGGGAGGGTGCTCACATTTTTCAGGACTCTTTGGGAATAAGACTAGCCACGAGGCTGGGCCGAGGAGCACCTACCTCGCTGTTCACTGTTCTGTTCCCTGCAGGCTCTTGGTCCATTACAGCAGCATCTGTAGAAGACGGAAGTCAACAAAAGAGCTCGGAGGGCACTTCTGGGTCCTCATTTCATAAGCAGATACCAACAAACAGGGGGAGGCCATAGGTGCCTGAGGTCCCTCAGTTGCCAACAGCAGACTCAGACATTCTATCTCTCTGAGTTCAAGGACCCATCCCATGAATAGCTCTGAGGTCCCATCCCATTGATTCTATCTCCCACTTTCTGCCTGTCATGGAACCTTCTCCTGGATGTGAGTGGCTGCAGGGGACGTGAGGATACAGTTCAGAATCAGGCAATGGTCTGTGAGCTGAAGGCAGGGGAAGGGAATCTGGTGCTCTCTCTAGAAAGTCCTGCCTCTGTGGCTCCTGTCTTGGGCCAGGGACCATCCTGCTGGTGAGGAACACACATCCGCGTGCTCCCATCCTGCTTCCCCACATGGCCCTGAGCTCTCTGGCCTCTGCTTCGTGAGACTTACTTTTTTTGTCGGAGCACCAGCGATGAAGGAGAAAGAAGAGGAGGATGGTGAAAGGGATTTTGACCACTGAGGTCCCAATCAGAACATGTAGGTGTCTGGGGTTACCTGGAAGAAGAGGAGACACCAATAAGAAGCTAATCATAGCAGTTCCTCTTTATGAATTGTCTCGCATTTCTTGATTGGCAGGTAACCACATACAACGTCTCTTTAGGACAAGCACCCAAATGGCGGGAGACCTAGCTTTCCCCTGCTTTCTCAATTATAGCTCTCATAGTAACCATAGAACGTGCTGAGGATACAACTACTTTAGTTGAGATGTTTGACCCTTTCAAACCTCACATTGAAATTTCACCCCCATTGTGGGAGGTTGGGCCTCTTCAGAGGTGTTTGGGTCATGGAGGTGGATCCATCATGAACAGACCAATGCTGTCCCAAGGAGACGGGGTTAGCAAGTTCCCCCTCTGTTAGTTCCTGGAGAGCTGGTTGTTAAAAAGAGCTTGGAAGCTCCATCGCTCCCTCTCCCCCTTACTCTCTCTCTTGCCGTGTGATCTCTGCGGTCTCTGCACAGACAGACCCTCCTTCCCTTCTGCCAGAGTGGGAGCAGCCTGAGGCCATCACGAGAAATAGATTCTGGTGCCATGCTTCCAGTACAGCCTGCAGAACTGTGAGGCAAACCAATCTCTTTTCTTTAGAAGTTACCCAGGCTCAAGTGTTCCTTTAGAGCAACAAAAATGGACTAAGATAGCAACATCCTGAGATCAGGAGGAATGTCTCAGAACAGCCTGGGCTGTCTTCCTGTTCTTCCTGGAGGAGGACGTCATGCAGTGCTTTAGCTGAGTGCTTCCTGTGGCTCCAGGGTACAAAACCCAGGCTGGGCTGCTTTCTGGCTTCCCCCAGTTACACTGCAAATGGGGTGACTCCATATGTCCCGAGCAGCTTTTCTGAGCCTTGAGGGACTGGCTCACATTGAAATGCAGGCTTCTGTTGTCACTCACTGCTTATCTGTTAGTAATGAACCTGCCTATGTAACGTATTCTCTGTGTGTTCTGTCTCCCTGGAGTGACGGTGAGTGATAGGAATTGGCATAGGCCCAGGTGCAGTCCAGGATTTGTTTAGAGTCTTCTCTGGGAAGACTGCACTGGGATTGATACACAGCGAATGTGCTTTAGGATTTCTACATCCACAGCATTCTTGAGTCAAACAAATTGCATTCACCAAGGAAAGGAAACAAAGGTGAAATCACGATTAAAAATAGCGAAGCAAGATTCTCTTATGTCAAACAGCCAGAAAATAGTGTTGAAGCCCGTGTGAAATGTGCTGCTCTTTGTGATCTCGGGAGACACATGTTAGGCTGCTGTTCTACCCGAGAGGCTGGGGGAAGGACCACCCCCTCCACCATCTATTGCTTCAATACCACCTGTCCTCCTGTGAATTAGTAGGAAAGGGGAACAGGAGCTAGTGCTGTCGCTGATCTCTGATTCCAAGATCTGGACTCACTCCAAGGAGTATTAATGTTTCCTCCCCATGGTCTATCTGAATCTCCACAGGTGATTGGAAGTAGGGGTGAGGTGGGGGATTTGGGTGAGTGGGCAAGTTTTTTTTTGCGATGAACAGAGCACTTTCTCTATTCCAGGATCCGTGCTGGAGGATTCAGCGGGCTTTCACATTTTCTATGTGATCTCATGCTCACAGAAAGCCAAATAGGGAAGAGGTTTTAGGCTCATTGCCTAATGGATAAGATAAAGGATCAAAGAAGTAATTATAGAGAAATAGAAAAATGATGATTGGAATTCAGGTGCCTTTGTCATTCGTGTGTGTTTTATTATATTTATGCATTTCTTATTTTTATTTTTTGAGACGGAGTCTCCTTGTGTCACCCAGGCTGGAGTGCAGTGATGCAATCTCCACTCACTGCAACCTCCACCTCCTGGGTTGAAGTCATTCTCCTGCTTCATCCTCCAGAGTAGGAGCTGGGATTACAGGGATGCACCACCATGCTCGGCTAATTTTTGTATTTTTAGTACAGATAGGGTTTCACCATGTTGGCCAGGCTGGTCTGGAACTCCTGACTTCATGGAATCCACCCGCCTTGGCCTCCTGCAGTGCTGGGTTACAAGCGTGAGCCACCGTTCACAGACTTGTATATTACGCTATAATAGGTCTCTTCATTTCCACCACCCCTCATATATCTGTCACTCCTTTGCCAGGTATTGATTTATGTGTAGGATGAATAAATCTCAGAAAGAAATTAATTAAGCGAGGATTAAACAAGTAGGAAAATCAAACCCAGCAAGCCTTTCCAGCCAATGATTCTACCTCACAAGCATAGCTTATATCCATCTGCTTCATCCACTTAGTGTCAAAATCAGCACCACATTTCACCAGTGGGTCGGGAATTGCCTTTTCCACGGTCTCCTAGATTCCAGTTACGCCCCTGGGCCTCCTTTATTTTCATGTCAGTCATATTAATCATGTAGGGATTCCTGGTTACCCCGAGGTGAATCCAATGGCTGTGAGTGTCAAACACACACTCCTTGTTGCTCCTTAGTTTCCTGTGTACCCAGTGTGCTCTCCGTCTCTCCACAGTCGTCTTGTCATTCTCCCCACCTCATTCCCAGCATTTGAGGAAGAGCCTCTTCCTTCCACATCAGATTGTTTTCACCTTTGTGCCTTCACGGCTGACAGCTGTGTGTGCAAAATCCTTCCGCCAATCTTTCAGGGGTTCAATCCGTGTTTTTCATTAATGTCACAAATATCTGAATAGTGAGACCTTCTTTGTCACCTGAAATCATACACTCAGCATTATCTATTATTGATTTTGAATTCTGGCTGGGCACAGTGGCTCACGCCTGTAGTCCCATTACTTTGGCATGCTGAGACGGTCGGATCACTTGAGGTTGGGAGTTTCAGACAAGCTTGGCCAACGTGGTGAAACATCCTCTCTACAAAAAATATACAAAAAGAATTAGCCGGGCACGGTGGCAGTTGCCTGTAATCCCAGCTACTCGAGAGGCGGAGGCAGGAGAATCACTTGAATCCAGGAGAAGCAGGTTGCAGTGAGCCAAGATCGTGACACTGCACTGTAGCCTGGAAGACAGAGGGCAACTCTGTCTCAATAAACAAAAGAACAAACAAAAAATAGATTTCATGCACAGATGCTTCCCAATGGATCATTCATTTATAGATCCACTTGTGCATTCATTTTCTGCCCTCCCATTTAACCATCTGCAATATCAGTGTCCCAAGGGCAGAGGCCAAATGCATCTTGTTCACTGTTTGTGGAAGGCAGGAGAATGCTGTCCCACCCCAAAATGTCCCTGTCCTAGCCTCCATAGCTTGTGAATATGTTATTTTACATGGAAAGGAGGAATGAAGATTGCAGATGGAATTATGGTTACTAATCAGCTGAACTTAAAACAAGGGTATCCTGGATGATTTCCAGGAGATTATGAGGGATTTTCATCTTGGTGAACCCAATAGAATCCCCAAGTTTTCAAAAGATGAGGAAGAAGGGAGAGCAGCATTCAGAGAAAGAAGTGTGGTAAGGAAGAAGGCACTGAGTGATGCCATGTGAGATGTGACCAGTCTTTGTGGGCTTTGAGGAAGGAGGAAGGGGACCAGGAGCCAAGGAACTGGGAGCCTTTAGAAGCTGGGACAAGTGAGAAGCAGATTCGTGCCTGGAATCCTCAGAGGGAAGGCAGCCTTGCTGTCACCTTGATTTTAGCCCAGTAAGATGCACTTCCTACTTTGAGCTACAGCACTGTAAGATAATTAAAAAACCGTTTTGTTTTCACCCACGAATCTTGTGGAAATTTGTTATGGCAACAATAGGAAAAGGTTCCGCACTGCACAGCCTGAGCATGGGGCCGTGGCTGAATGAGTCAGTGAGTCGAAGTGTGTGTGCATGAGCTCTGTTCTCTGTTACGGCAAGGCTCTTGCTCTGCTGAGTCAGCCAGGGTTGCTTCATGACCTACAGGAGCTCATTCCTTGGCAAGTGGAACTTCTCTAAAACACCTCGCCCTCATCAGATGTTCCCTTCCCTTCCCTCTCTCAAGTCTCCAGGAATTTATCCTCCAGTTAGGAATGCAGGCAGAACAAACATTGCATTTTTCCTGAGAAGGATGTCAGATTGGCAATCATTCTTCTAGCTTGTAGGAGGTCTCAGCTCCATAAAATGAGAGATGAAGAGATTTCACTGAGCCCTGTGTTGGGCCCAGATCCCTTTCGCTGTAGGAGTATCTGGAGTTCGGAGATGGTGGAAGACAGGTGTACAATGTCAGAGCTGTGAGATGCTGAGTCAACGCCTGAATCCAAGGTTTCCACCTCCCCAGGTTTCCAAAAGCGGATATAAGAGGGTTCTGTACTCACCGGTTTCGGAGCTTGGTTCAGTGGGTGAAGGCCAACTATTTGAAGGGTTTCCTAGAACATGAGACAGGAGAGAGGTGAGGAAATGAGGGTTTCTGTCCTCCACTCAGTGGAAATCTTTGAGGATGGTTCATGGCCAACACTCTGTTATCTAATATTGGGCCCTGGGAGTCCTGGGATCCTTTTTTCCATAATTTTTTTATGTGACACCCACTGTCTTGAGACTTCAAGGTATAAAGAGAAAACAGGAGCATCACACTACCTGATCTCAAAATATGTTACAGAGCTGTAGTAAGCAAAATAGCATGACACTGGCATAAAGAAAGGCACATAGAACAACGGAGCAGAATGAATAACACAGATATATTCCATGCATTTACATCCAATGGTTTTTTATTTTTTCTTTTGAGATGGAGTCTTGCTCTGTCACTCAGGCTGGAGTGCAAAGGTGCAATCTCGGTTCACTGCAACCTCAGCCTCCTGGGTTCAATCATTCTCTTGCCTCAAACTCCTGAGTAGTGGTATTACAGGTGCTGACCACCATGCTCAGCTAATTTTTATATTTTTAGTGGAGATGATGTTTCATCACGTCGGCCAGACTAATCTTGAACTCCTGGCCTCAGGTGATCCACCCACCTCGGGCTCCCAAAGTGCTGAAATTGCAGGTGTTAGCCACCAAGCCCAGCCCATCCAATGGACTTTGACAAAGATGCCAAGAACTCACAATCAGGAAAGGACAGTCTTTTCAATAAACAGTGCAGGGAAACCTGGACATCTACATGCAGAGGAATGAAACTGCACCTCTACCTGTCACCATACACAAAAATCAAATGAAAATGGATTAAAGATGTGAGTCTAAGGCCTGAACCTATGAAACACGTAGAACAAAATATTGGGGAAATGCTCCAGGACATTTGTCTGAAGAAAGACATTTTGTTTTAAACCTTGAAAACACAAGTAATCGAAGCAAAAATAGACCATTGGGATTACCTCATACTAAGCAACTTCTGCACCGCTAAAAATAAACCAACAAAGTGAAGAGACAACCCACAGATTGGGAGCAAATATGTGCAAACTATGCATCTGAGATGGGATTAATAACTAGAAATATAAGAAGCTCAAACAACTCAATAAAACAAATGATTTAATTGAAAAAGGAGCAAAAGACATGAAATTTCCCCACATACGAAAAACTGCTCAGTATCACTCATCATCAGAGAAACGCAAATTAAATTCAAAGTGAGTTTTCATCTCACCCCATTAAAATGGCTTTTAGGCCGGGTGAGGTGGCTCACGTTTGTCATCCTAGAACTTTGAGAGCCTGAGGTGGGTGAATCTCATAAGGTCGGGAGTTTGAGACCAGTATGACCCACATAGAGAAACACTGTCTCTACTAAAAATACAAAAATTAGTCGGGCGTGGTGGCGTGTGCCTGTAATTCCAGCTACTCGGGAGGCTGAGGCAGGAGAATCGCTTGAACCTGGGAGGTGGAGGTTGTGGTGAGCCGAGATCGCGCCACTGCACTCCAGCCTGGGTGAGAAGAGCAAAACTCCATCTCAAAATAAAATGAAATAAAATAAAATGGCTTTTAGCTGCAAGACAGGCAAAAGAAATGCTGGCAAGGTGGTAGAGAAAGGAGAACCCTGGTACCCTGTTGGGAGGAGTGTAAATTAGTACAGCCATTACGGAGAAAAGTATGGAAGTCCTTTAAAGAACTAAAAAGAGGTTGGGTGCGGTGGATCATGCCTGTAATCCCGGCACTTTGGGAGACTGAGGCGGGCACCTCAGTTGAGGTCATGAGTTTGAGAGCAGCCCAGCCAACATGGGGAAACCCCATCTATACTAAAAAAACCAAAAAGTAGCCAGGCATGGTGGTGTGCACCTGTAATCCCAGCTACTAGGGAGGCTGAGGCAGGAAAATCATTTGAACCCAGGAGGCGTAGGTTGCAATGAGCCAAGGTCGCACCACTTTGACTCCAGCTTGGGCTAAGGAGGGAAACTCTTTCTCAAAAAAGAAAAAAAGAAAAAAAGAGAACTTTCATAGTATCCAGCAATTTCACTACTGGGTTTATATCCAAAGGAAAGTAAATCAATATATCGAAGTGATATCTGCACTCGTATGATTGGTGCAGCACTGTTCACAGTAGCCAAGATGAGGAGTCAACCTACCTGCCCATCAGTGGGTAAATGGATAGAGAGAATGTAGTACATACGCATAGTGGAGACTACTCATCCATAGAAAGAATAACATCCTGTCATTTGCAGCCACATGGATGGAACTGGAGGTCATTACAAAGATTCCCATTTCTCACCCATATACAGGAGCTAAAAGGTGGATCTCATGAAGGTAGAGAGTAGAATGGTGGCTACTGGAGGACAGGAAGAAAAGGGTGGAGGGTAAAAAAAATGTATATATATATATATGTATATAAATGTATTTATGACCACTAGACTTTACACTTAAAAATGGTAAATGTGGCTGGGCGCGGTGGCCCATGCCTGTAATCCCAGCACTTTGGGAGGCAGATGCGGGTGGATCACTTGGTCAGGAGTTCGAGACCAGCTCGACCAACATGGTGAAACCACCTCCCTACTAAAAATACAAAAAGTAGCCTGGCGTGGTGGTGCGTGCCTGTAGCACCAGCTACTCAGGTGGCTGAGGCAGGAGAATCGCTTGAACCCAGGAGGTGGAGGTTGCAGTGAGCTGAGATTGTGCCACTGCACTCCAGCATAGGGGACACAGCTAGACTCCACCTCAAAAAAAAATGTTAAAAGTGGTAAGCTATATAGGTATATTTATCCTCAATAAATATTTCTTCAAAGAAAAGTAAAGGGTGTAGGGGTTGCTGGTGATGACATCTCTGTGTGGGTGAGAGGCCAGGATGGGCTTCTGGGAAATGGGTAAGGTTGAGGGGCTGAGGGAACCTCTGATCTCCCCAAACTGAGCCCAGTCTCCCTCCTCTGGGTCTCTCCTGACCGCTTTCTCCATCTGCCTGGGTGCCTGGAGCCCTGGCCGTGGGCCTCCATGCAGGCCATGTAGGAGGGTTTGGAGGTGCCCTGTCGGCCATCCTGTGCCCTGATCCCTCCCTCACACCGAGGCTGCGTCTTCTCTCTGCATCTGTCCATGCTTCTCTCCATCATCAGCAGGAAGCTCCTCAGCTAAGGCTCTAGGATCATAGGACATGGGACAGCCATGGGCTTTCCTCACCTGTGACAGAAACAAGCAGTGGGTCACTTGACTTTGACCACTCGTATGGAGAGTCACGGAAAGAGCCGAAGCATCTGTAGGTCCCTCCATGGGTGGCAGGGCCCAGAGGAAAGTTGGCCTGGAATGTTCCGTTGACCTTGGTCCCTGCAGGGAGCCTACGTTCATGGGCCTCCCCTTCCCTGGATAGATGGTACATGTCATAGGAGCTCCGGGAGCTGCAGGACAAGGTCACATTCTCTCCTGCCAGAACCGTGGGGCCCGGCTGGGCTGAGAGAGAAGGTTTCTCATATAGACCTGGAAGGAGAAGAGGCAGTTTCCTCAGGGAGGATCTTCCTTGTCACAGCTCCCTTCACCTGAGCTGAGAACTCACTCCCCTGCTCTATGACCTAATGCTCTCTCTCTCTCTCTCTCACCCTCTACCCCATCGCTCTTCATGTCTATTTCCTCCTTCCACCTTCTCTGTCTCTTTAGGTCTCTGACCTCACTTCCCCACCTCTAGATATGTTTTCTCTTTTTGGATTGTTTTATTCTCTCTGACTCTCCTTGGATTGGTTGACTTGATGTTACTTTTTTTAATTCTGAGTTTCTCACTTTGTGTCCTGTTCATAACTTTCTGCATATTTCTATCTATTATCTATCGATCTATCTATTTATCTATTCGGTGCCTATCTACAAATTCTCTACCTGTCATCTATATCTATATATCATCTATTTATCCATCAATTGTCTATCTATCCATCAATCATCTATTATCTATATCTATGTATCATCTCTCTCTCTCTATGATTTCTCTATGTCTGCCTCTGTATCTCTATGTATTATCTATCTATCTGTCTTCATCATCATCATCTCTATGTCTCATCTATTAATGAATCAATCAATCATCATCTATGTATCTATAACCTATTATCTATCATCTACCTATTTATCATCTATCTATATCTATCCATCTATCATCTGTCTTGCTCTGCCTCTCGGTCTCTCTAGTTCTCTTTGGAATCTCTGCAATTCATCCCCACATCTCCATCTTTCAATGTCCTTGTGCCTCTCCCTCAGGAGTCTAATTTTAGTGCTTTTCTCTGCTCCCTTCCATCATTCTCACTTCTCTGCCCTCTTTTCTCTTTATGTGTCTGTGAGTCTCTCAATCTCCTTCCTCTGGCTCATTCTCTGTGTGTTTATGTCTTTGCTTTTTGGTGTCCCTGATTTCTCTCTGTGCCTCTCACTGATCCTCTCATAAGTGGGCTTATTTGGAATATGAGCCTCAGAATCCAGTCTGGAGACTACAAGTTCACACAGCATACAGGGGTTGGTGTTGTGGGGCCATGATATCCTGGGACGATTACTCTCCATTACATGGAAGGCAGAGGTGTCAGAATAAACATGGCATCTGTAGGTGCCACAAGGCCTGAGGCCACAGGGCCCAACTCAGGTCAGAAATATGGGTGTCCTTGGGTTCTCCTGGTAGAGAACACTTTGTGGAGGTAAAACAGAAATGAAACTTCTAACCTGTGCCAGGTCTCTGAGCAAAGTCAGCATGGAGGGACACCTCTCTCTGGGACATGTCTGTCTGTGTGTTTCCTTTAACTCTTTCTGTCTTTTCAAACTCCCGGTATGGCCCCTGTGTCTGTTCTCTGTTATGACACCTGGTCTCTACTTGTGTCTCCTGTTTCTCTGTCTCTGTTGGCACAGACCTCACCAAGTCAGTCTCTCTCCATAAGAATACCAAGCTCATCTTCCTTACAGCCACCTGGGCCTCCAAGTCCTGGATCATTCACTCTGCATCCCAATGACAATGAGAAGAAAGTCTGGACACTCTCACCTATGATCACGATGTCCAGAGGGTCACTGGGAGCTGACAACTGATAGGGGGAGTGAGTAACAGAACCGTAGCATCTGTAGGTCCCTGCCAGGTCTTGCTTCATGCGACTGATGGAGAAGTTGGCCTTGGAGACCCCATCATGGTGTTCTCCAATGAGGCGCAAAGTGTCGTTAAACATCCCCTCTCTGTGCAGAAGGAAGTGTTCAAACATGACATCTGACCAACATTGCAGGATGACTGTCTCTTCTGATTTCACCAGGCGACCTGGGTGGGCCAGGAGGGAAGGTTTTCTGTGGACTCCTAGGAAGAGAGGTTGTGAGTTTAGAAGGTGTCTCTCTTTATCATCCCATCCATGGCACCTGGATTGAGTCAGGCTTCCCCTTCCTGGTGTCTTATCTCTCTCCTTCCTCTCTGTGTCTTCATGTTCTTTTCTGTGCCCATAACTCCTGGTGCAGGTCCTTCCATCTGTCTCCCTCACTCTTCTCTGTCCCTCTGTCTCTAGTAGCCTCTGATTCCCTTGCCGCTGGGCTCAGCCTCATCTCTTGGGCTGTTGTATCTATTTCGAACTAATGTCTTTCCTGCTGTCTGTGTGGGGGTGGAAGAGGAACCAGGATAGGCTGCACATCCAGGCTCTTAGCAGCCTGGTTCAATCTCTTTTGGACGAATTGGAATCCTTGGCAGGAGGTATGAACTGATCAGTAAGGCAGGCACCAGTGGCCACACACCCTGTTCCTGGTAGGGACTGGGAGACACTCTTGCCATGCCAGTGCCAGCTTCCATAGCCTGGCTCCTGGTGCTGGTTGGAGGAGTATCAACCGCTCCCTATGTGGATGGAGCCTGGTGGTGGCATCATCATCCGAGCCTTGCTGATCTCAGTGTAGCCAACCTTCTCCTTGTTTGGTTTCTTTAATTAATTAATTAATTTTGGCGACAGAGTCTCACTCCTTTGCCCAGGCTGGAGTGAAGTGGTGTGGTCTAGGCTTACTGCAACCTCTGTCTCCTGGGTTCAAGTGATTCTCCTGCCCTCAGCCTCCCAAGTCGCTAGGATTACATGCACCTGCCACCATGCCTGGCTATCCTTGTGTTGTTTCTTAACTTGTCCTTGACCTGGGTTCCAGTGTTGGTTTCCTGTTGCTGCTGTAGAAAATTATCAGAAGCATGGCAGCAGGAGAGAGCACACTAACCCCTTCCAATTCTGGAGACAGAAATCGGACCCTGTTTGTCGTGGGTAAAATCAAGGTACCTGCAGGGCTTCGTTCCCTCTGGAGACTCAGGAGAATCAGTTCCTTGACTTTTCCAGCCTCTATAGGCCACCTGCATTCATGGCTCCTGGACTTCCTCCACCTTCAAAGCTGATGGAGACTCCCATTATGCTGCTGTAATCCCCACTCCCCTCTTCCTCCTCCTTTCCTGTGGACCCCTGTGACTACACTGAGCCCATCAGGACAGTCCAGGTTGTCTCCCCATCTCAAGGTCAACTCATCAACAACCTGAGCTCCATCTTCTCCTTCAGTCCCTTCCCCTATATCATAAATAGTCACAGACTCCAGGGATTAGAATGTAGTCATCACTGGGGACAATTATTCTTCCCACCACAGCACCCATTTCCCTGTATTCAATCCCCCTTTACCCCAAATACAGTCAGGACTTGCATGATGGGACCCGCAAGGACACGCCCACCAGGAGCTCTGGGATTCAGGAGGTGGGACAAGGAGAATCCCAGACAGGAGCCCTCTGACCTGTGACCGTGATCTCCAGGGGGTTGCTGGGTGCCGACCACCCACTGGGGTAGTGTGGTTGTGAACCCCGACATGTATAGGTCCCTGCGTGTGCTGGGGTCACAGGGCCCATGAAAAGGCTGTTCCAGAATATTATGTTGTAGAGCTCAGGGACAGGCACCCCATCTTCCTTTTACAGACTGAAGTTGTTAAACCCAAGATAAGAATGACACTGAAGAATCACATATCCTGGAGGCACCACAGGGCTTGGCCAGGCAGACAGCAAGGGCTTGTCCTGACCACCGTGGGGAGAAGGAGGCACCGCCTTAGAGAGGAGGATGTGGAGCCGCCCCTCCCTCCCTGTGCTCTGAAGATTCTCCTCGCTTTCCAAGTTTCTATGGCTGCTATCACACCTTGGTGCCCAGGGCTAAAGGAAGAACCCATCCCGCAAACACAAGGTGTCTCCCTACAACAAAAGTGTCAGCTGAGAACTTTGAGCAAGTGCTGAGTAAGAGACTCCTACTAGATTTTAATACTGTAAGATTACTCACATAAAACAACACAGGGTAGACATGGGGTGGAGGGCATGTCCTTTGAGAATGGAATATCAGCCGATGCCTGAACGAAAATAAACAACTGAGTCCCCATCAGAGGATTGGAATGTCAGGGCCATGGCTGTGGTTTTCCCACCTCTTCTGGTAGAATGACAGCAGCCACACTGCAGCCCCTACCGTCATGGAAACGCTGAAGTGTGTGAGTAACACCTTTGTCCTCAGAGGATCTGCTGTTCCTACCACTTCCCCACCACACACCCCAGCTTTGAGCACCGTAGTCTAACCCTGGTCCCCACAGAACTTGACTCTGCCAAGGGAATGAAAGGCCAGGGAGGCAAGGTCAGAAATGTGGGCCCAGCACCCCAGGGTCCCTTCTTCCTAGTTTATGAGAGACTCCCTGACAGGACTTCCCTCCCATTTCAGGAAAATCCTCTTATGTGGGGAGATGACACCCGAAGGTTTGGAGAAGGACTCACCCTCATGTGGCCAGGCCCCCTGCAGCAAGAAGAACCCTGGAAAGAAAGATCATGATGGATGACCCATCTGCAGGCAAACCAGGGCACCCTTGCTGCCCCCACTGGGCTGTGAGTCTTGGTAGCCAGGCCCTTCCTGGGCTGAAGGTAAACTCACCCTCAGTGCCTACCTGCACCCAAGAACAGGGCTGTCGGCTGTGCAGAGACCCAGCCTCCAGGTCCATATCCCCACCTCAAGCCCATATCTCCACTCCAGGCCCATATCTCCACTCCAGGCCGATATTTCCACCCTAAGCCCATATCGCCAATCCAGGCCCATATCTCCAATCCAGGCTCAGATCTCCACCCTGGGCCCATATCTCCAATCCAGGCCCTTATCTCCACTCCAGGTCCATATCTCCTCTCCAGTCCCATATCTCCACTCCAGGCCCATATATCCTCTCCAGTCCCATATCTCCACACCCAGGCCCGTATCTCCATCCTAGGCACATATCTCCTCTCCAGGCCCAGATATCGACCTCTAGGCCCATATCTCCACTCCTGGCCCATATCTCCACTCCAGGCCCAGATATCGACCTCTAGGCCCATATCTCCACTCCTGGCCCATATCTCCACTCCAGGCCCATGTCTCCACTTCAGGCCCATATCTCTACTGCAGGCCCGTAACTCCACCTCCAGGCCCATGACTCCACTCCAGGCCCATATCTCCACCTCCAGGCCCATATCTCCCCTCCAGGTTCCTATCTCCCCTCCAGGTTCCTATCTCCACTCCAGGCCCAGATCTCCACTACAGTCCCATCACTCCACCTCCAGGCCTATATCTCGACCTCTGGGCCCAGATCTCCACTTCTAGGCCCATCACTCCATCTCTAGGCCCATATATCCACTCCAGGCCCAGATCTCCACTCCAGGCCCACAACTCCACCTCCAGGCCTATATATCCACCTCTGGGCCCAGATCTCCAACCCCACACTCCCTTCCTCTATTCCCTTCCAGGACTCACCAACACACGCCATGCTGACGACCGTGAGCGACATGGTGCTGCCGGTGCAGACAGGCGGCCGCGCCCCAGCTCAGCTCAGCAGCGCACAGGATGTTATTTGGCGCCCTGCCCATGCAGTTTACATGTTGACCACATCATGGGAGGGTGACGTACGCAGGCTCTTTCTACCTTGCATGAGGCCCAGTGGTTGCTCGCTCAAGAGCGGAACACGGCTTCCTGGAAATTGTTCTCACTAGAATTTACACCTAGCGTCCTTCACTATGACCAACTCAAAACACGTCTCAGATCCAACCTCCTGAACACGAGATGCCTAAAATCTGTGCTAACGTGAAAGACTTTTCATGTATTTTTATTGTTTTTATCTGAGATTCAAACTCTTCTTCCTGTGTAATATGCAAAATATCTAATAGGTATTATTAAGGTTTTCAGAGTCATTGTGACTAATAAACCATTAGAATTTTTCATGCTTGTATTTCTAGTATTACAGCAGAACCAGTTAAAATGATTTAAATTCCCAGGGAAGGATTATGCAATTATTTACAATCTTTGAATTGTACGTTATCAGCAAAAACCACACATTTAAACTCTGGATTTTTGTAGATTTATCTAAAATTTGTCTCATGACCCAAGTTTCCAGAGTCCCAACTCTGGAGTTTGCTCTCTCTCTGTCTCTCTCCCTCCCTCATTTTAAATTTTACAGAAATATCCAGTAACATAATGCTATAGAAAATCAAGTTTCCCCCAGCACGTCGGGAAGCCGAGGTGGGCGGATCAACTGATATAAGGAGTTTGAGAGCAGCCTGGCAACACAGTGAAACCGTGTCTCTGCTAAAAATCCAAAAATTAGCCGTGCCCAGTGGCAGGAACTTGTAACACCAGCTACCCAAGAGGCTGAGGCACGAGAATCGCTTGAACCTGGGAGGCGGAGGTTGCAGTGAGCTGAGATTGCACCACTGCAGTCCAGCCTGGGCGACAGAGCAAGACTCCGCCTCAAGAAAATAAAAATAGCAAATAGCCTATAATAACAAATTAGAGGCCTCTGGCTACTAAATTTAAAGGGTTCTATGGGGCTACATAAAGTGGAGCATCCTCAAGAATGTGGACACAGAGAGCCGTTTAGCAGAGACAGTGTCTAAAATACACATCCGTGTACACACAGTCCCTTTTTAGTTGACAAAGGCTGCCGTGTGGTTTAAGGTGGCATAGAATGTCTTCTCAATAAATAATATTAAACCAAAGGGTTACACATAGGAAATAATAAATCTAAACTTATTCTCACACTATAAAAACACTTCTTAGTTTTTATCTAGTTATTGTACATTTTTTATGATTTATATTTAAATTTGAGAAATAAAAGTCCTATACCGTCATCCTTCACTATTCATGGGTGATTGGTTTCAGGATCTCCACTCAGATACTAAAATCTGCAGATGCTCAAGCCTCTTACATAAAATGACACAGCATTTGGATATAACCCATGCACATCCTCCTGTATACATGAAATCATCTCTTGATTACTTATAATTCCTGATACAGCCTATACACCACCTCATTTGTGTGCATTCAACACAGTTTTGCTTTTTGGAACTTTGTGGGCTTTTTCTCTGAATATTTTTGATTTATACTTGGTTCAATAAACACCTGTAAACCCCACAGATACGGAGGAGCGACTGTATATTTATAGTATGAAAGATGATGCGTTGACATGTGTCCCCGTGGAGATGAGACTAACAAGGCCTATGACTCTACAAATGTTTCATCATGGAATGACTCTGCCAGCTTTCCAGGTCTGCAGAGAGTAAGAATATCACTTGTTCATGTGATTCACGATCCTTGGAACTTCCTATGTGCTGCATCTTTGGATGGAAATTGGAGTCTCAGAGACAAGTCAGGGTCCACCCTGTTCCAGAAGCTCAGAGTCCAGGGGTGAGAACCCAGTGGAGAACAGATGGGGTTATGTGGACATGGTAATGATAACACCAGAAGCCTTAGGCAAGAAAAGAGTCCCATTACCGAAACCATGAGGGCAGACATGTTTATTTGAAGGAGGGAAAACTACATTGAAATTACTAAAAACAATTTATAAGTTTTACTGCTGACAGAAGGCTGAAAGATAGTCTGAGGGGAGGTGGAACTGCATGAGAGAAGGTGGAACAGCACGTGTCTAAGTGCTGTGTTAAGAGGGAGCCTCTTGTATGTTTGGAATTGTGAGTTCCTCAGTGTGATTGCAGCCTCAAGTAGACTAGGAAGTAAGCCAGTTAGGTTGGAGAGGTGGGCAGGGGTCAAGTGAAATGGAGAATTGTGGGCTAAGCAAAGGAGTGTGTTTTCTCTCCAGCAGGCAGTGGGGACCTTAGACATTTGTAAGCAAGAGAGAGGCATGTTCAGATTCGTGGTTTGAGGAAGAGCGATCCCCTAAGATGAAGACTGATGCCTTCAGATTCCAGCTGCTGGTACATGGGAGCTGGCAACCCGGTTTTGAGACAGGGCTGTTGTCTCCCTAGAAGATCCCCTCAAGGCCTGACTGTGGTGCTCGTGGACAGAAGACAGCTTTGGATCTGGACTCAGCATTTGGAAGTTCTATGTACATGCTGGTATCTGTTGGGGGTGTCTTGGGCCTCTGAGAAGGGGGAGTGATTTTTCTCTGTGTGAAAACACAGTGATCCAATTATGCGTATGACACCTCCTGATGGTCCTGTTCATCAGAATCCTGGAGAGAGGGAAATGCTGAGTGAGGGAGGGTGCTCACATTTTTCAGGACTCTTTGGGAATAAGACTAGCCACGAGGCTGGGCCGAGGAGCACCTACCTCCCTGTTCACTGTTCTGTTCCCCGCAGGCCCTTGGTCCATTACAGATGCATCTGTAGAAGATGGAAGTCAACAAAACAGCTCGGAGGGCACTTCTGGGTCCTCATTTCATAAGCAGATACCAACAAACAGGGGGAGGCCATAGGTGCCTGAGGTCCCTCAGTTGCCAACAGCAGACTCAGACATTCTATCTCTCTGAGCTCAAGGACCCATCCCATGAATAGCTCTGAGTTCCCATCCCATTGATTCTATCTCCCACTTTCTGCCTGTCATGGAACCTTCTCCTGGATGTGAGTGGCTGCAGGGGACGTGAGGGTACAGTTCAGAATCAGGCAATGGTCTGTGAGCTGAAGGCAGGGGAAGGGAATCTGGTGCTCTCTCTAGAAAGTCCTGCCTCTGTGGCTCCTGCCTTGGGCCAGGGACCATCCTGCCTGTGAGGAACACACACCCGCGTGCTACCATCCTGCTTCCCCACATGGCCCTGAGCTCTCTGGCCTCTGCTTCGTGAGACTTACTTTTTTTGTTGGAGCACCAGCGATGAAGGAGAAAGAAGAGGAGGATGGTGAAAGGGAGTTTGACCACTGAGGTCCCAATCAGAACGTGTAGGTGTCTGGGGTTACCTGGAAGAAGAGGAGACACCAATAAGAAGCTAATCATAGCAGTTCCTCTTTATGAATTGTCTCGCATTTCTTGATTGACAGGTAACCACATACAACGTCTCTTTAGGACAAGCACCCAAATGGTGGGAGACCTAGCTTTCCCCTGCTTTCTCAATTATAGCTCTCATAGTAACCATAGAACGTGCTGAGGATACAACTACTTTAGTTGAGATGTCTGACCCCTTCAAACCTCACATGGAAATTTCACCCCCACTGTGGGAGGTTGGGCCTCTTGGGAGGTGTTTGGGTCATGGAGGTGGATCCATCATGAACAGAACAATGCTGTCCCAAGGAGACGGGGTTAGCAAGTTCCCCCTCTATTAGTTCCCGGAGAGCTGGTTGTTCAAAAGAGCTTGGAAGCTCCATCGCTCCCCCTCCCCCTTACTCTCTCTCTTGCCGTGTGATCTCTGCGGTCTCTGCACAGACAGACCCTCCTTCCCTTCTGCCAGAGTGGGAGCAGCCTGAGGCCGTCACAAGAAATAGATTCTGGTGCCATGCTTCCAGTACAGCCTGCAGAACGGTGAGGCAAACCGATCTCTTTTCTTTAGAAGTTACCGAGGCTCAAGTTTTCCTTTAGAGCAACAAAAAAAAACTACGACAGCAACGTCCTGAGATCAGGAGGAATGTCTCAGAACAGCCTGGGCTGTCTTCCTGTTCTTCCTGGAGGAAGGCGTCATGCAGTGCTTTAGCTGAGTGCTTCCTGTGGCTCCAGGGTACAAAACCCAGGCTGGGCTGCTTTCTGGCTTCCCCCAGCTACACTGCAAATGGGGTGACTCCATATGTCCCGAGCAGCTTTTCTGAGCCTTGAGGGACTGGCTCACATTGAAATGTAGGCTTCTGTTGTCACTCGCTGCTTATCTGTTAGTAATGAACCTGCCTGTGTAATGTATTCTCTGTGTGTTCTGTCTTCCTGGAGTGACGGTGAGTGATAGGAATTGGCATAGGCCCAGGTGCAGTCCAGGAGGTGTTTAGAGTCTTCTCTGGGAAGACTGCACTGGGATTGATACACAGCGAATGTGCTTTAGGATTTATACATCCACGGCATTCTTGAGTCAAACAACTTGCATTCTCCAAGAAAAGGAAACAAAAGTGAAATCAAGATAAAAAAAGCGAAGTAGAATTCTCTTATGTCAAATGGCCAGGAAATAGTGTTGAAGCCCATGTGAAACGTGCTACTCTTTGTGATCTCAGGAGACACATGTTAGGCTGCTGTTCTACCCCAGAGGCTGGGGGAAGGACCACACCCTCGGCCATCTATTGCTTCAATACCACCTGTCCTCCTGTGAATTAGTAGGAAAGGGGAGCAGGAGCTAGTGCTGACGCTGATCTCTGATTCCAAGATCTGGACTCACTCCAAGGAGTATTAGAATTTACCTCCCCATGGCCTATCTGAATCTCCACAGATGATTGGAAGTAGGGGTGAGGTGGGGGATTTGGGTGAGAGGGCATGTTTTTTTTGTGATGAACAGAGCACTTTGTGTATTCCAGGATCTGTGCTGGAGGATTCAGCGGGCTTTCACATTTTCTATATGATCTCATGCTCACAGAAAGCCAAATAGGGAAGAGGTTTTAGGCTCATTGCCTAATGGATAAGATAAAGGATCAAAGAAGTAATTATAGAGAAATAGAAAAATCATGATTGGAATTCAGGTCCCTTTGTCATTTGCGTGTGTTATATTATATTTATATTTATGCATTTCTTATTTTTATTTTTTGAGACGGAGTCTCCTTGTGTCACCCAGGCTGGAGTGCAGTGATGCAATCTCCACTCACTGCAAACTCCACCTCCTGGGTTGAAGTCATTCTCCTGCTTCATCCTCCAGAGTAGGAGCTGGCATTACAGGGATGCACCACCATGTTCGGCTAATTTTTGTGTTTTTCCTAGAGACAGGGTTTCACCATGTTGGCCAGGCTGGTCTCGAACTGCTGACTTCGTGTGATCCACCCGCCTTGGCCTCCTGCAGTGCTGGGTTACAGGCGTGAGCCACCGTTCACAGACTTGTATATTATGCTGTAATAGGTCCCTTCATTTCCACCACCCCTCATATATCTGTCACTCCTTTGCCAGGTATTGATTTATGTGTAGTAGGAATAAAGCTCAGAAAGAAATTAAGCGAGGATTAGACAACTAGGAAAATCATACCCAGCAAGCCTTTCCAGCCAATGATTCCACCTCACAAGCATATCTTATATCCATCTGCTTCACCCAGTTAGGGTCTAAATCAGCACCACATTTCACCAGTGAGGCGGGAATTGCCTTTTCCACGGTCTCCTAGATTCCAGTTACGCACCTGGGCCTCCCTTATTTTCATGTCAGTCACTATTAATCATGTAGGGATTCCTGGCTACCCCGAGGTGAATCCAATGGCTGTGAGTGTCAAACACACACTCCTTGTTGCTCCTTAGTTTCCTGTGTACCCAGTGTGCTCTCCGTCTCTCCACAGTCGTCTTGTCATTCTCCCCATCTCATTCCCAGCATTTGAGGCAGAGCCTCTTCCTTCCACATCAGATTGTTTTCAGCTTTCTGCCTTCACGGCTGACAGCTGTGTGTGGAAAATCCTTCCGCCAATCTTTCAGGGGTTCAATCCGTGTTTTTCATTAATGTCACAAATATCTGATTAGTGAGATCTTCTCTGTCACCCAAAATCATACACTCAGCATTATGTATTATTTATTTTAAATTCTGGCTGGGCACAGTGGCTCACGCCAGTTATCCCAGTACTTTAGGATGCTGAGACGGTCGGATCACTTGAGGTTGGGAGTTTCAGAGAAGCTTGGCGAAGATGGTGAAACATCCTCTACAAAAAATATACAAAAAGAATTAGCCGGGCATGGTGGCAGTTGCCTGTAATCCCAGCTACTCGAGAGGCTGACGCAGGAGAATCACTTGGATCCAGAAGGTGCAGGTTGCAGTGAGCCAAGATGGTGACACTGCACTGTAGCCTGGAAGACGGAGGGAGACTCTGTCTCAATAAACAAACGAAGAAACAAACAAATAGATTTCATACACAG
The DNA here is from genome assembly GCF_000001405.40 of Homo sapiens. Classification (NCBI taxonomy): domain Eukaryota; kingdom Metazoa; phylum Chordata; class Mammalia; order Primates; family Hominidae; genus Homo; species Homo sapiens. Next base: position 472,928 of record NW_003571055.2, on the reverse strand, counting down.
ATGCTTCCCAATGGATCATTCATTTATTGGTCCACTTGTGCATTCATTTTCTGCCCTCCCATTTAACCATCTGCAATATCAGTGTCCCAAGGGCAGAGGCCAAATGCATCTTGTTCACTGTTTGTGGAAGGTAGGAGAATGCTGTCCCACCCCAAAATGTCCCTGTCCTAGCCTCCATAGCTTGTGAATATCTTATTTTACATGGAAAGGAGGAATGAAGATTGCAGATGGAATTATGGTTGCTAATCAGCTGAACTTAAAACAAGGGTATCCTGAATGATTTCCTGGAGATTATGATGGATTTTCATCTTGGTGAACCCAATAGAATCCCCAAGTTTTCAAAAGATGAGGAAGAAGGGAGAGCAGCATTCAGATAAAGAGGTGTGGTAAGGAAGAAGGGTCTGAGTGATGCCACGTGAGATGTGACCAGCCTTTGTGGGCTTTGAGGAAGGAGGAAGGGGACCAGGAGCGAAGGAATGTGGGAGCCTCTAGAAGCTGGGACAAGTGAGAAGCAGATTCTTGCCTGGAACCCTCAGAGGGAAGGCAGCCTTGCTGTCGCCTTGATTTTAGCCCAGTGAGATGCACTTCATACTTTGAGCTAGAGCACTGTAAGATAATTAAAAAACCGTTTTGTTTTCACCCACGAATCTTGTGGAAATTTGTTATGGCAACAATAGGAAAAGCTTCCACACTGCACAGCCTGAGCATGGGGCCGTGGCTGAATGAGTCAGTGAGTCGAAGTGTGCGTGCATGAGCTCTGTTCTCTGTTACGGCAAGGCGCTTTCTCTGCGGAGTCAGCCAGGGTTGCTTCATGACCTACAGGAGCTCATTCCTTGGCAAGTGGAACTTCTCTAAAACACCTCGCCCTCATCAGATGTTCCCTTCCCTTCCCTCTCTCAAGTCTCCAGGAATTTATCCTCCAGTTAGGAATGCAGGCAGAACAAACATTGCATTTTTCCTGAGAAGGATGTCAGATTGGCAATCATTCTTCTAGCTTGTAGGAGGTCTCAGCTCCATAAAATGAGGGATGAAGAGATTTCACTGAGCCCTGTGTTGGGCCCAGATCCCTTTCGCTGTTGGAGTATCTGGAGTTCGGAGATGGTGGAAGACAGGGGTACAATGTCAGAGCTGTGAGATGCTGAGTCAACGCCTGAATCCAAGGTTTCCACCTCCCCAGGTTTCCAAAAGCGGATATAAGAGGGTTCTGTACTCACCGGTTTCGGAGCTTGGTTCAGTGGGTGAAGGCCAACTATTTGAAGAGTTTCCTAGAACACGAGACAGGAGAGAGGTGAGGAAATGAGGGTGTCTGTCCTCCACTCAGTGGAAATCTTTGAGGATGGTTCATGGCCAACACTCTGTTATCTAATATTGGGCCCTGGGAGTCCTGGGATCCTTTTTTCCATAATTTTTTTATGTGACACCCACTGTCTTGAGACTTCAAGGTATAAAGAGAAAACAGGAGCATCACACTACCTGATCTCAAAATATGTTACAGAGCTGTAGTAAGCAAAACAGCATGACATTGGCATAAAGAAAGGCACATAGAACAATGGAGCAGAATGAATAACACAGATATATTCCATGCATTTACATCCAATGGTTTTTATTTTTTCTTTTGAGATGGAGTCTTGCTCTGTCACTCAGGCTGGAGTGCAGAGGTGCAATCTCAGTTCACTGCAACCTCAGCCTCCTGGGTTCAATCATTCTCTTGCCTCAAACTCCTGAGTAGTGGTATTACAGGTGCTGACCACCATGCTCAGCTAATTTTTATATTTTTAGTGGAGACGATGTTTCATCACGTCGTCCAGACTGATCTTGAACTCCTGGCCTCAGGTAATCCACCCGCCTCGGCCTCCCAAAGTGCTGAAATTGCAGGTGTTAGCTACCAAGCCCAGCCCATCCAATGGACTTTGACAAAGGTGCCAAGAACTCACAATCAGGAAAGGACAGTCTTTTCAATAAACAGTGCAGGGAAACCTGGACATCGACATGCAGAGGAATGAAACTGCACCTCTACCTGTCACCATACACAAAAATCAAATGAAAATGGATTAAAGATGTGAGTCTAAGGCCTGAACCTATGAAACACGTAGAACAAAATATTGGGGAAATGCTCCAGGACATTTGTCTGAAGAAAGACATTTTGTTTTAAACCTTGAAAACACAAGTAATCGAAGCAAAAATAGACCATTGGGATTACCTCAAACTAAGCAACTTCTGCACTGCTAAAAATAAACCAACAAAGTGAAGAGACAACCCACAGATTGGGAGCAAATATGTGCAAACTATGCATCTGAGATGGGATTAATAACTAGAAATATAAGAAGCTCAAACAACTCAATAAAACAAATGATTTAATTGAAAAAGGAGCAAAAGACATGAAATTTCCCCACATACGAAAAACTGCTCAGTATCACTCATCATCAGAGAAACGCAAATTAAAATCAAAGTGAGTTTTCATCTCACTCCATTAAAATGGCTTTTAGGCCGGGCGAGGTGGCTCACGTCTGTCATCCTAGAATTTTGAGAGCCTGAGGTGGGTGAATCTCATAAGGTCGGGAGTTTGAGACCAGTATGACCCACATAGAGAAACGCTGTCTCTACTAAAAATACAAAAATTAGTAGGGCGTGGTGGCGTGTGCCTGTAATTCCAGCTACTCGGGAGGCTGAGGCAGGAGAATCGCTTGAACCTGGGAGGTGGAGGTTGCGGTGAGCCGAGATCGCACCACTGCACTCAGCCTGGGTGACAAGAGCGAAACTCCACCTCAAAATAAAATGAAATAAAATAAAATGGCTTTTAGCTGCAAGACAGGCAAAAGAAATGCTGGCAAGGTGGTAGAGAAAGGAGAACCCTGGTACCCTGTTGGGAGGAGTGTAAATTAGTACAGCGATTACGGAGAAAAGTATGGAAGTCCTTTAAAGAACTAAAAAGAGGTTGGGTGTGGTGGATCAGGCCTGTAATCCCGGCACTTTGGGAGACTGAGGCGGGCACCTCAGTTGAGGTCATGAGTTTGAGAGCAGCCCAGCCAACATGGGGAAACCGCATCTATACTAAAAAAACCAAAAAGTAGCCAGGCATGGTGGCGTGCACCTGTAATCCCAGCTACTAGGGAGGCTGAGGCAGGAAAATCATTGGAACCCAGGAGGCGGAGGTTGCAATGAGCCAAGGTCGCACCACTTTGACTCCAGCTTGGGCTAAGGAGGGAAACTCTTTCTCAAAAAAGAAAAAAAAAAAAAAGAGAACTTTCATAGTATCCAGCAATTTCACTACTGGGTTTATATCCAAAGGAAAGTAAATCAATATATCGAAGTGATATCTGCACTCGTATGATTGGTGCAGCACTGTTCACAGTAGCCAAGATGAGGAGTCAACCTACCTGCCCATCAGTGGGTGAATGGATAGAGAGAATGTAGTACATACGCACAGTGGAGACTACTCATCCATAGAAAGAATAACATCCTGTCATTTGCAGCCACATGGATGGAACTGGAGGTCATTACAAAGATTCCCATTTCTCACCCATATACAGGAGCTAAAAGGTGGATCTCATGAAGGTAGAGAGTAGAATGGTGGCTACTGGAGGACAGGAAGAAAAGGGTGGAGGGTAAAAAAAATGTATATATATATATATATAAATGTATTTATGACCACTAGACTTTACACTTAAAAATGGTAAATGTGGCTGGGTGCGGTGGCCCATGCCTGTAATCCCAGCACTTTGGGAGGCTGATGCGGGTGGATCATGTGGTCAGGAGTTCGAGACCAGCTCGACCAACATGGTGAAACCACCTCTCTACTAAAAATACAAAAAGTAGCCTGGCATGGTGGTGCGTGCCTGTAGCACCAGCTACTCAGGTGGCTGAGGCAGGAGAATCGCTTGAACCCAGGAGGCGGAGGTTGCAGTGAGCTGAGATTGTGCCACTGCACTCCAGCATAGGGGACAGAGCTAGACTCCACCTCAAAAAAAAATGTTAAAGGTGGTAAGCTATATAGGTATATTTATCCTCAATAAATATTTCTTCAAAGAAAAGTAAAGGGTGTAGGGATTGCTGGTGATGACATCTCTGTGTGGGTGAGAGGCCAGGATGGGCTTCTGGGAAATGGGTAATGTTGAGGGGCTGAGGGAACCTCTGATCTCCCCAAACTGAGCCCAGTCTCCCTCCTCTGGGTCTCTCCTGACCGCTTTCTCCATCTGCCTGGGTGCCTGGAGCCCTGGCCGCGGGCCTCCATGCAGGCCATGTAGGAGGGTTTGGAGGTGCCCTGTCTGCCATCCTGTGCCCTGATCCCTCCCTCACACCGAGGCTGCGTCTTCTCTCTGCATCTGTCCATGCTTCTCTCCATCCTCAGCAGGAAGCTCCTCAGCTAAGGCTCTAGGATCATAGGACATGGGACAGCCATGGGCTTTCCTCACCTGTGACAGAAACAAGCAGTGGGTCACTTGACTTTGACCACTCGTATGGAGAGTCACGGAAAGAGCCGAAGCATCTGTAGGTCCCTCCGTGGGTGGCAGGGTCCAGAGGAAAGTCGGCCTGGAATGTTCTGTTGACCTTGGGCCCTGCAGGGAGCCTACGTTCATGGGCCTCCCCTTCCCTGGATAGATGGTACATGTCATAGGAGCTCCGGGAGCTGCAGGACAAGGTCACGCTCTCTCCTGCCAGAACCGTGGGGCCCGGCTGGGCTGAGAGAGAAGGTTTCTCATATAGACCTGGAAGGAGAAGAGGCATTTTCCTCAGGGAGGATCTTCCTTGTCACAGCTCCCTTCACCTGAGCTGAGAACTCACTCCCCTGCTCTGTGACCTAATGCTCTCTCTCTCTCTCTCTCACCCTCCACCCCATCTCTCTTCACGTCTATTTCCTCCTTCCACCTTCTCTGTCTCTCTAGGTCTCTGACCTCACTTCCCCACCTCTAGATATGTTTTCTCTTTTTGGATTGTTTTATTCTCTCTGACTCTCCTTGGATTGGTTCACTTGATGTTACTTTTTTTAATTCTGAGTTTCTCACTTTGTGTCCTGTTCATAACTTTCTGCATATTTCTATCTATTATCTATCGATCTATCTATTTATCTATTCCGTGCCTATCTACAAATTCTCTACCTGTCATCTATATCTATATATCATCTATTTATCTATCAATTTTCTATCTATCCATCAATCATCTATTATCTATATCTGTGTATCATCTCTCTCTCTCTATGATTTCTCTATGTCTGCCTCTCTATCTCTATGTATTATCTATCTGTCTTCATCATCATCATCTCTATGTCTCATCTATTAATGAATCAATCAATCATCATCTATGTATCTATAACCTATTATCTATCATCTACCTATTTATCATCTATCTATATCTATCCATCTATCATCTGTCTTGCTCTGCCTCTCGGTCTCTCTAGTTCTCTTTGGAATCTCTGCAATTCATCCCCACATCTCCATCTTTCTATGTCCTTGTGCCTCTCCCTCATGACTCTAATTTTAGTGCTTTTCTCTGCTCCCTTCCATCATTCTCACCACTCCTCTGCCCTCTTTTCTCTCTCTTTATGTGTCTGTGAGTCTCTCAATCTCCTTCCTCTGGCTCATTCTCTGTGTGTTTATGTCTTTGCTTTTTGGTGTTCCTGATTTTTCTCTGTGCCTCTCAGTGATCCTTTCATATGTGGGGTTATTTGGAATGTGAGCCTCAGAATCCAGTCTGGAGACTACAAGTTCACACAGCATACAGGGGTTGGTGTTCTGGGGCCATGATATCCTGGGACGATTACTCTCCATTACCTGGAAGGCAGAGGTGTCAGAATAAACATGGCATCTGTAGGTGCCAGAAGGCCTGAGGCCATAGGGCCCAACTCAGGTCAGAAATATGGGTGTCCTTGGGTTCTCCTGGTAGAGAACACTTTGTGGAGGTAAAACAGAAATGAAACTTCTAACATGTGCCAGGTCTCTGAGCAAAGTCAGCATGGAGGGACACCTCTCTCTGGGACATGTCTGTCTGTCTGTCTCCTTTAACTCCTTCTGTCTTTTCTAACTCTCGGAAAGGCCCCTGTGTGTGTCCTCTGTTATGACACCTGGTCTGTACTTGTGTCTCCTGTTTCTCTGTCTCTGTTGGTACAGACCTCACCAAGTCAGTCTCTCTCCATAAGAATACCAAGCTCATCTTCCTTACAACCACCTGGGCCTCCAAGTCCTGGATCATTCACTCTGCATCCCAATGACAATGAGAAGAATGTCTGGACACTCTCACCTGTGATCACGATGTCCAGAGGGTCACTGGGCGCTGACAACTGATAGGGGGAGTGAGTAACAGAACCGTAGCATCTGTAGGTCCCTGCCAGGTCTTGTGTCATGCGACCGATGGAGAAGTTGCCCTTGGAGACCCCATCAATGTGCTCTCCAATGAGGCGCAAAGTGTGGTTAAACGTCCCCTCTCTGTGCAGAAGGAAGTGCTCAAACATGACATCTGACCAACATTGCAGGATGACTGTCTCTTCTGATTTCACCAGGGGACCTGGGTGGGCCAGGAGGGAAGGTTTTCTGCGGAATCCTAGGAAGAGAGTTTGTGAATTTAGAAGGTGTCTCTCTTTATCATCCCATCCATGGCACCTGGATTGAGTGAGGCTTCCCCTCCCTGGTGTCTGTCTCTCTCCTTCCTCTCTGTGTCTTCATGTTCTTTTCTGTGCCCATAACTCCTGGTGCAGGTCCTTCCATCTGTCTCCCTCCCTCTTCTCTGTCCCTCTGTCTCTAGTAACCTCTGATTCCCTTGCCGCTGGGCTCAGCCTCATCTCTTCGGCTGTTGTATCTATTTTGAACTAATGTCTTTCCTGCTGTATATGTGGGGGTGGAAGAGGAACCAGGATAGGCTGCACATCCAGGCTCTTAGCAGCCTGGTTCAATCTCTTTTGGTCGAATTGGAATCCTTGGCAGGAGGTATGAACTGATCAGTAAGGCAGGCACCAGTGTCCACACACCCTGTTCCTGGTGGGGACTGGGAGCCACTCTTGCCATGCCTGTGCCAGCTTCCATAGCCTGGCTCCTGGTGCTGGTTGGAGGAGTATCAACCGCTCCCTATGTGGATGGAGCCTGGTGGTGGCATCATCATCCCTCACTTGCTGATCTTGGTGTAGCCAACCTTCTCCTTGTTTGGTTTCTTTAATTAATTAATTTTGGAGACAGAGTCTCACTCCTTTGCCCAGGCTGGAGTGAAGTGGTGTGGTCTAGGCTCACTGCAACCTCTGTCTCCTGGGTTCAAGTGATTCTCCTGCCCTCAGCCTCCCAAGTCGCTAGGATTACATGCACCTGCCACCACGCCCGGCTATCCTTGTGTCCTTTCTTAACTTTTCCTCGAGCTGGGTTCCGGTGTTGGTTTCCTGTTGCTGCTGTAGAAAATTATCAGCAGCATGGCAGCAGGAGAGAGCACACTGACCCCTTCCATTTCTGGAGGCAGAAGTTGGGCCCTGTTTTTCCTGGGCTAAAATCAAGGCACCTGTAGGGTTTCGTTCCCTCTGGAGACTCAGGAGAATCAGTTCCTTGACTTTTCCAGCCTCTATAGGCCACCTGCATTCATGGCTCCTGGCCTTCCTCCACCTTCAAAGCTGATGGAGACTCCCATTACGCTGCTCTAATCCCCACTCCCCTCTTCCTCCTCCTTTCCTGTGGACACTTGTCATTACACTGAGCCCAGGGGGACAGTCCAGGCCTTCTCCCCATCTCAAGGTCAACTCATCAACAACCTGAGCTCCATCTTCCCCTTCAGTCCCTTCCCCTATAACATAAATAGTCACAGACTCCAGGGATTAGAATGTAGTCATCACTGGGGACAATTATTCTTCCCACCACAGCACCCATTTCCCTGTATTCAATCCCCCTTTACCCCAAATACAGTCAGGGCCTGCGTGAAGGGACCCTCAAGGACATGCCTACCAGAAGCTCTGGGATTCAGGAGGTGGGACAAGGAGAATCCCAGACAGGAGCCCTCTGACCTGTGACCACGATCACCAGGGGGTTGCTGGGTGCCGACCCCCCACTGGGGGAGTGTGTGTGTGAACCCCGGCATCTATAGGTCCCTGTGTGTGACGGGGTCACAGGGCCCATGAAAAGGCTTTTCCAGAATATTCTGTTGTAGAGCTCAGGGACAGGCACCCCATCATCCTTGTACAGACTGAAGTTGTTAAACCCAAGATTAGAGTGACACCGAAGAGTCACATGTTCTGGAGGCACCACAAGGCTGGGCCAGGTAGAAAGCAAGGGCTTGTCCTGACCACCTTGGGGAGAAGGAGGCGCCGCCTTAGAGAGGAGGATGTGGAGCCGCCCCTCCCTCCCTGTGCTCAGAAGATTCTCCCCACTTTCCACATTTCTATGGCTGCTATCACACCTTGGTGCCTAGGGCTAAAGGAAGGACTCATCCCACAAAGACAAGCTGTCTCCCTACAACAAAAGTGTCAGCTGAGAACTTTGAGCAAGTGCTGAGTAAGAGACTCCTACTAGATTTTAATACTGTAAGATTACTCACATAAAACAACACAGGGTAGACATGGGGTGGAGGGCATGTCCTTTGAGAATGGAATATCAGCAGATGCCTGAATGAAAATAAACAACTGAGCCCCCATCAGAGGATTTGGAATGTCAGGGCCATGGCTGTGGTTTCCCACCTCTTCTGGTAGAATGACAGCAGCCACACTGCAGCCCCTACCGTCATGGAAACGCTGAAGTGTGTGAGTAACACCTTTGTCCTCAGAGGATCTGCTGTTCCTACCACTTTCCCACCACACACCCCAGCTTTGAGCACCCTAGTGTAACCCTGGTCCCCACAGAACTTGACTCTGCCAAGGAAATGAAAGGCCAGGGAGGCAAGGTCGGAACTGTGGGCCAAGCACCCCAGGGTCCCCTCTTTCTAGTTTAAGAGAGACTCCCTGACAGGACTTCCCTCCCGTTTCAGGAAAATCCTCTTATGTGGGGAGATGACACCTTAAGGTTTGGAGAAGGACTTACCCTCATGTGGCCAGGCCCCCTGCAGCAAGAAGAACGCTGGAAAGAAAGATCATGATGGACCATCCATCTGCAGGCAAACCAGGCCTTCCTTGCTATCCCCACTAGGCTGTGAGTCTTGGTAGCCAGGCCCTTCCTGGGCCGAAGGGAAACTCACCCTCAGTGCCTACCTGCACCCAAGAACAGGGCTCTCGGCTGTGCAGAGACCCAGCCTCCATTCCCATATCCCTACCCCAAGCCCATATCTCCACTCCAGGCACATATCTCCACTCCAGGCTGATATTCCCACCCTAGGCCCATATAGCCAATCTGGGCCCACATCTCCAATCCAGGCTCAGATCTCCACCCTAGGTCCATAACTCCAGTCCAGGCCCATATCTCCACTCCAGGCCCATATCTCCTCCCCAGGCCCATATCTCCACTCCAGGCCCATATCTCCACCCCGGGCCCAGATCTCCACCTCCAGGCCCATAACTACACTCCAGGATCATATCTCCACTCCAAGCCCATATCTCCACAACAGGCCCATATCTCCACTCCAGTCCCATATCTCCACCCCACGCCCATATCTCCACTCCAGGCCCATATCTCCATTCCAGGCCCATATCTCCACCCCACGTCCATATCTCCACTCCAGGCACATATCTCCACCCCACGCCCATATCTCCACTCCAGTCCCATATCTCCACTCCAGGCCCATATCTCCACCCCACGCCCATATCTCCACTCCAGTCCCATATCTCCACCCCACGCCCATATCTCCACTCCAGTCCCATATCTCCACCCCATGCCCATATCTGCACTCCAGTCCCATATCTCCACCCCACACCCATATCTCCACTTCAGTCCCATATCTCCACTCAAGGCCCATATCTCCACCCCACGCCCATATCTCCACTCCAGGCCCATATCTCCACTCCAGGCCCATATCTCCACCTCCAGGCCCATATCTCCACTCCAGGCCCATATCTCCATCTCCAGGCTCATATCTCCACTCCAGGCCCATATCTCCACTCCAGGCCCTTATCTCCACCTCCAGGCCCATATCTCCACTCCAGACCCACATCTCCACTCCAGGGCCATATCTCCACTCCAGGTCCATATCTGCACCTCCAGGCCCATATCTCCACTCCAGGCCCATATCTCCACCTCCAGGCCCATAACTTCACTCCAGGCCCATAACTCCACTCCAGGCCCATATCTCTACTCCAGTCCCATATCTCCACTCCAGTCCCATATCTCCACCCTAGGCTCCTACCTCCCATCCAGGTTCCTATCTCTTCTCCAGGTTCCTCTCTCCACTCCAGGCCCATATCTCCACTGCAGGCCCATATCTCCACTCCAGACCCAGATCTCCACTTCTAGGCCCATCACTCCATCTCTAGGCCCATATATCCCCTCCAGGCCCAGATCTCCACTCCAGGCCCATAACTCCACCTCCAGGCCTATATCTCCACCTCTGGGCCCAGATCTCCATCCCCGCGCTCCCTCCCTCTATTCCCTTCCAGGACTCACCAACACACGCCATGCTGATGACCATGAGCGACATGGTGCTGCCGGTGCAGACAGGCGGCCGCACCCCTAGCTCAGCTCAGCAGCGCACAGGATGTTATTTGGCGCCCTGCCCATGCAGTTTACATGTTGACCACATCACGGGAGGGTGACGTACGCAGGCTCTTTCTACCTTGCATGAGGCCCAGTGGGTGCTTGCTCAAGAGCGGAACACGGCTTCCTGGAAATTGTTCTCACTAGAATTGGCACCTCGCGTCCTTCACTATGACCAACTCACAACACGTCTCAGATCCAACCTCCCGAACACAAGATGCCTAAAATCTGTGCTAACGTGAAAGACTTTTCATGTATTTTTATTGTTTTTATCTGAGATTCAAACTCTTCTTCCTGTGTAATATGCAAAGTATCTAATAGGTATTATTAATGTTTTCGGAGTCATTGTGACTAATAAACCATTAGAATTTTTCATGCTTGTATTTCTAGTATTACAGCAAAACCAGTTAAAATGATTTAAATTCCCAGGAAAGGATTATGCAATTATTTACAATCTTCGAATTGTACTTTATCAGCAAAAACCACACATGTAAATTCTGGATTTTTATAGTTTTATCTATAATTTGTCTCATGACCCAAGATTCCAGAGTCCCAACTCTGGAGTTTGCTCCCTCTCTGTCTCTGTCCCTCCCTCATTTTAAATTTTACGGAAATATCCAGTAACATAATGCTATAGAAAATCAAGTTTCCCCCAGCATGTTTGGAAGCCGAGGTGGGCGAATCAACTGAGATGAGGAGTTTGAGAGCAGCCTGGCCAACATAGTGAAACCGTGTCTCTGCTAAACATTCAAAAATTAGCCGTGCCTGGTGGCAGACACCTGTAATGCCATCTACTCAAGAGGCTGAGGCACGAGAATCGCTTGAACCTGGGAGGCGGAGTTTGCAGTGAGCTGAGATTGCACTACTACAGTCCAGCCTGGGTGACAGAGCAAGATTCCGCCTTAAGAAAAAAAAAATAGCAAGTAGCCTATAATAACAAATTAGAGGGCTCTGGCTACTAAATTTAAAGGGTTTTATAAGGCTACATGAAGTGCAGCATCCTCAAGAGTGTGGACACAGAGAGCCCCTTAGCAGAAACAGTGTCTAAAATACATCCGTGTACACACAGTCCCTTTAGAGTTGACAAAGGCTGCCCTGTGGTTTAAGGTGGCATAGAATGTCTTCTCAATAAATAATATTAAACCAAAGGGTTACACGTAGGAAAAAATAAATCTAAACTTATTCTCACACTATAAAAACACTTCTTGTTTTTATCTAGTTTATAATTTTTTTATGATTTATATTTAAAATTTAGAAATAACAGTTTTATACGGTCATCCTTCACTATTCCTGGGTGATTGGTTTCAGGATCTCCACTCAGATACCAAAATCTGCAGATGCTGAAGCCTCTTACATGAAATGGCACAGCGCTTGCATATAACCCATGCACATCCTCCTGTATACATGAAATCATCTCTAGATTACTTATAATTCCTGATATGGCCTACACACTGCTTCATTTGTGTCCCTTCAACATAGTTTTGCTTTTTGAAAGTTTGTGGATTTTCTTCTCTGAATATTTTTTATTTATAGTTGGTTCAATAAACACCTGTAAACCCCACAGATACGGAGGAGCGACTGTATATATATATATAGCATGAAAGATGATGTGTTGATATGTGTCCCCATGGAGATGAGACTAACAAGGCCTATGACTCTACAAATGTTTCATCGTGGAATGACTCTGCCAGCTTTCCAGGTCTGCAGAGAGTAAGAATATCACTTGTTCATGTGATTCATGATCCTTGGAACCTCCTATGTGCTGCATCTTTGGATGGAAATTGGAGTCCCAGAGACAAATGAGGCTCCACCCTGCTTCCAGAAGCTCAGAGTCCAGGGGAGAGAACCCAGTGGATAACAGATGGGGTTATGTGGACATGGTAATGATAACAGCGGTTTCTTTCAGCGAATAGTGTCACATTACCTAAAGCAATGAGGGCAGACATGTTTATTTGAAAAGGAGACAGCTACATTGAAATCACAAAAAATTTTATAAGTTTCACTGCTGACTGACAGAAGGCTGGAAAATAGTCTGAGGAAAGGTGAAACAGCATGAGGGAAGGTGGAACAGCACGTGTCTCAGTGCCATGTTAAGAGGGAGCCTCTTGTATGTCTGGAATTGTGAGTTCCTCAGTGTGATTGCAGCCTCAAGTAGACTAGGAAGTAAGCCAGTTCAGTTGGAGAGGTGGGCAGGGGTCAAGTGAAATAGAGAATTGTGGGCTAAGCAAAGGAGTGTGTCTTCTCTCCAGCAGGCAGTGGGGACCTTAGACATTTGTAAGCAAGAGAGAGGCATGTTCAGATTTGTGGTGTGAGGAAGAGCGATCCCCTAAGATGAAGACTGATGCCTTCAGATTCCAGCTGCTGGTACATGGGAGCTAGCAACCCGGTTTTGAGACAGGGCTGTTGTCTCCCTAGAAGATCCCCTCAAGGCCTGACTGTGGTGCTTATGGGCAGGAGACAATGATCTTGGCTTAGCATTTGGAAGTTCCATGTACATGGTGGTATCTGTTGGAGGTGTCTTGGGCCTCTGAGAAGGGGAAGTGATTTTTGTCTGTGTGAAAACGCAGTGATCCAACTGTGCATATGTCACCTCCTGAGGGTCTTGATCATCAGAGTCCTGGAGAGAGGGAAATGCTGAGTGAGGGAGGGTGCTCACATTCTTCAAGACTATTAGGGAATGAGACTCAATCCATGAGGCTGGGCTGAGGAGAACCTACCTCCCTGTTCACTGTTCTGTCCCCGGCAGGCTCTTGGTCCATTACAGCAGCATCTGTAGGAGATAGAAGTCATCAAAACAGCTGGAAGGGCACTTTTGGGTCCTCATTTCATGAGCAGACACCAACACACAGCGGGAGGCCGTAGGTGCCTGAGGTCCCTCAGCTGTCATCAGCCAGACCCAGACATTCTATCTCTCTGAGCTCAAGGACCCATCCCATGAATAGCTCTGAGTTCCCATCCCAGTGATTCTGTCTCCCCTTTCTGCCTGTCATGGAACCTTCTCCTGGATGTCAGTGGCTGCAGGGGACGTGAGGATACAGTTCAGAATCAGGCAATGGTCTGTGAGCTGAAGGCAGGGGCAGGGTGTCTGGTGCTCTCTCTAGAAAGCCCTGCCTCTGTGGCTCCTGCCTTGGTCCAGGGACCATCCTGCCAGTCAGGAACACACACCAGTGTGCTCCCATCCTGCTTCCCCACATGGTCCTGAGCTCTCTGACCTCTGCTTCGTGAGACTTACTCTTTTTGTTGGAGCAGCAGCAATGAAGGAGAAAGAAGAAGAGGATGATGAAGAGGATGATAGCCACTGAGGTCCCAATCAGAATGTGCAGGTGTCTGCGGATACCTGGGGGAAGGTGGGAATCCAATAAGAAGCTAATTATAGCAGTTCCTCTTTATGGATTGTCTCTCATTTCTTGGTTGCCAGCTAAGCACATACAACATCTGTTTAGGACAAGTTCCCCGATGGCAGGATACCCAGCTTTCTCCTGCTTTCTCAGTTATAGTTCTCAAAATAATCAGAGAACATGCTGGGGATACCACTGCTATAGTTTGGATGTTTGACCCCGCCAAACCTCACGTTGACACTTATCTCGCAGTGTGGGAGGCTGGGCCTATTGAGAGACGTTCCAGTTATGGGGGTGGATCCATCATGAATACATTAATGCTGTCCCCATGAGACGTGGTTGGCAAGTTCTCCATGAGGTCCCTAGGACTGGTTGCTAAAAAGAGCATGGGGTTTCTCCATGTTGGCCAGGCTGGTCTCAAACTCCTGACCTCAAGTGATCCAAACGCCTTGGCCTCCCAAAGTGTTGGGTTACAGGCGTAAGCTCCCATTCACAGACTTGTATATTATGCTATAATAAGTCCCTTCATTTGCACCACCCCTCATCTATCTATCAATCACTCCTCTGCCAGATATTGATTTACATGTAGGAAAAATAAATCTCAGAAAGAAATTAATATATTCAAAATTAAATAAGTAGGCATTATCAAATCCAGCAAGCCCTCCCTACAAATGATTCTACCTCACAGACATATCTTATACCCATCTACTTCATTCATTTAGTGTCTAAATCAGCACCACATTTCACCAGTGGGGCGGGAATTGCCTTTTCCACGGTCTCCTAGATTCCAGTTACGCACTTGGGCGTCCTTATTTTCATGTCAGTCATATTAATCATGTAGGGATTCCTGGCTACCCCGAGGTGAATCCAATGGCTGTGAGTGTCAAACACACGCTCCTTGTTCCTCCTTAGTTTCCTGTGTACCCAGAGTGCTCTCCGTCTCTCCACAGTCGTCTTGTCATTCTCCCCACTTCATTCCCAGCATTTGAATGCAGAGCCTCTTCCTTCCACATCAGATTGTTTTCACATTTGTGCCTTCACGGCTGACAGCTGTGTGTGGAAAATCCTTCCGCCAATCTTCCAGGGGTTGAATCTACTTTTTTTTTTCATTATGGTCACAAATATTATCTGATTAGTGAGACTTTCTCTGTCTCCTGAAATTATACACTTAGAATTCTTTATTATTTATTTTAAATTTCGGCTGGGCGCAGTGGCTCACACCTTGAGTCCCAGCATTTTGGGATGCTGAGACGGTCGGATCACTTGAGGTTGGGAGTTGGAGACAATCTGCGCAACATGGTGAAACTCCATCTCTACTAAAAAATATAAAAGAATATTAGCTGGGTGTGGTGGAGGGGACTGGAATCACAACTAGTCAGGAGGCTGAGGCAGGAGAATCGCCTGAACCCGGGAGGCGGAGGTTGTGGTGAGCTGAGGTCATGCCACTGCACTCCAGCCCGGGGACAGAGAATGACTTCGCCGCAAATAAATAAATACATAAATAGATAAATAGATAAATAAATAGGTAAATAGATTTCATGCACGGATGCTTCCCAATGGATCAATCATTACTGGTCCACTTGTGCATTCATATTCTGCCCTCCCATTTGCCCATCTGCAATGTCAGTGTCCTAAGAGCAGAGGCCAAATGCATCGTGTTTACCATTTGTGGAAGGCAGGAGAATGCTGGCCCACCCCCAAAATGTCCCTGTCCTAGCCTCCATAGCTTGTGAATATGTTATTTTACATGAAAGGAGGAATAAAGATTGCAGATGGAATTATGGTTGCTAATCAGCTGAACTTAAAAAGAGGTTATCTTGGGTGATTTTAGGGAGATTGTGATGGATTATCTTGGTAAACTCAATAGAATCCCAAAGTCTTTAAAAGAGGAAGAAAAAGTCAGAGCAACACTTAGAGAAAGAGGTGAGGTAAGGAAGAGGGATCTGAGTGATGCCACGTGAGAGATGTGATGAGCTTTTGTGGGCTTCGAGGAAGGAGGATGGGGACCAGATGCCAAGGAGCGTGGGAACCTCTGGGAGCTGGGAAATGTGAAAAGCCGATTCTCGCCTGGAACCTTCAGAGAAAAGGCAGCCTCGCAGTCACCTTGATTTTAGCCCAGTGAAATGCATTTCATATTTCTGAGCTATAACACTGTAAGATAATTTTAAAAGCTGTGTTGTTGTCATCCATGAAGATTGTGGAGATTTATTATGGCAACAGCAGGAAAGGGTTCCACACTGTACAGTCAGAGCACAGGGCAGTGGCTGAATAAGTGAGTAAGTGGAAGTGTCATATTTGTGGATGAACTACGTTCCTTCTTACTGCAAGGCTCTTGCTCTGCTGACTCAGCCAAGGTCGCATCATGACCAACAGGGGCTCATTCCTTGGCAAGTGGAACTTCTCTAAATCACCTTTCCCTCATCAGATGTTCCCTTCCCCTCCCTCTCTCAAGTCCCCTCAAATTTATCCTCCAATTTGGAATGCAGGCAGAAAAAACACCACTTTATCCCTGAGAAGGATGTCAGATTTGTACTCGTCCGTCTAGCTTGGAGGAGGTCTCAGCTGCAGAAATTTGAAATGAAGAGACTTCACTGAGCCCTTTGCTGTCCTCAGATACCCTTCGCTGTTGTAGTGTCTGGGGGTCAGAGATGTTAGAAGACAGGCCCACAATCACAGAGCTGGGAGGTGCTGAGCCAATGCTTGAATCCAAGATACCAACCTCCCCAGGTTTCCAAAAGCAGAGATAAGAGGGATCTTTACTCACCAGTTTTGGAGCTTGGTTCAGTGGGTGAAGATGAACTACTTGAAGAGTTTCCTAGAACACAGGACAGGAGAGAGGTGAGGAAATGAGGATGCCTGTCTTCTACTCAAAGGAAATCTTTGAGGTTGGTTCATGGCCAACACTCTGTTATCTAATGTTGGGCCCTAGGAGTCCTGGCGTCCCCTTCTCCATCATCATTGTTAAATGATGCCCAGTGTCCTGAGATTTCGAGGTATAAAGACAAAACAGGTGCTGGAGGCCTCACACTCCCTGACTTAAAAATATGTTACAAAGCTGTAGTAAGCACAACAGCATGACATTGGCATAAAGGCCCTTAGAGCAATGGAGCAGAATGAAGAACACAGATATAATTCATGCATTCACATCCAATGGACTTTGACGATTGTACGTGCCAAGAACCTGCAATCAGGAAACGACGGTCTTTTCAATAAATGGAGCAGGGAAAACTGGTATCTACATGCAGTTGATGAAACTGCACCTCTACCTCTCACCATACACAGAAATCAAATGAAAATGGAAGAAACACTTAAGGCCTGAAACCATTAAGCGTCTAAAAGGAAAGAGTGGGGAAATGCTCCAGGACATTTGTCTGAGGAAAGACATTTTATTTGAAATCTCAAAAACACAAGAAATCAAAACAAAATAATAGACCTTCGGGATTACATCAAAGTAAGCAGCTTCTGCACCGCAAAGGAAGCAACCAACAAAGTGAAGAAGAGACAAATTGGGAGAAAATATTTGTGAAGTATGCATCTGAGAGGGGATTAATAACTAGAATATACATAAAACTCAAGCAACGGTATAAAACAATGAATTTAATTTAACAATTAGTAAAAGACCTGAACAGACATTTCTCAACAAACAAAACGTACAAATGGCGAACATGTACATGAAAAAGTGCTCAGTATCACTAATCATGCCAATTGAAATCACAGTGAGCTATCATCTCATCCCATTAAAGTGGCTTTTATCTGAAACACAGACAAAATAAATGCTGGCAAGGTGGTAGAGAAAGGAGAACCCTGGTACCCTGTTGATAGGATCTAGCAATTCCACTACTGGGTGTAAACCCAAAGGGAAGGACATCAGTGTATCGAAGTGATATCTGCACTCATACGATTGGTGCAGCACTGTTCACAGTAGCCAAGATGTGGAGTCAACTTACCTGCCCGTCAGTGGGTGAATGGATAGAGAGAATGTAGTACACACACACAGTGGAGAGTACTCATCCGTAGAAAGAATAACATCCTGACATTTGCAGCCACATGGATGGAACTGGAGGTCATTGCAAAGATTCCCATTTCTCACCCATATACAGGAGCTAAAAGGTGGATCTCATGAAGGTAGAGAGTAGAATGGTGGCTACCAGAGGGCAGGAAGTAAAGGGTGGAGTGTAACAACAACAATAAAAAAGAATATAGATGTATTTATTTATTTAGAGACAGAATCTCTCTCTGTCTCCCAGGCTGCAGTGCAGTGGCCTGATCTCAGCTCAGTGCAACCTCTGCCTCCTGGGCTTACGTACTTCTCCTGCCTCAGCCTCCCATGTAGCTAGGAATACAGGTGCATGCCAGCATGCCCAGCCAATTTTTCTTGTCTGTTTAGTAAAGATGAATTTCCCTCATGTTGGCCAGGCTGATCTCGAGCCTCTGATCTTAAATGATCCACCTTCCTTGGCCTCTCAAAGCACCGAGATTATAACTGTGAGCCACTGCACCCTGCATATAAAGGAATTTATGACCACTAGATTTTACTTTTAAAAATGGTAAAGGTGGCAAATTATATAGTTACATTTAACCTAAATAAATGTTTTTTCAAACGGAAAGAAAAGGGTGTAGGGGTTGCTGGTGATGACATCTCTGTGTGGGTGAGAGGCCAGTATGGGCTTCTGGGAAATGGGTAAGGTTTAGGGTCTGAGGGAGCCTCTGATCTCCCCAAACTGAGCCGAGTCTCCCTCCTCTGGGTCTGTCCTGACCACTTTCTCCATCTGCCTGGGTGCCTGGAGCCCTGGCCGCGGGCCTCCATGCAGGCCGTGCAGGAGGGTTTGGAGGTGCCCTGTCTGCCATCCTGTGCCCTGATCCCTCCCTCACACCATGCTGCGTGTTCTCTCTGCATCTGTCCATGCTTCTCTCCATCATCAGCAGGAAGCTCCTCAGCTAAGGCTCTAGGATCACAGGACATGGGACAGGCATGGGCTTTCCTCACCTGTGACAGAAACAAGCAGTGGGTCACTCGGGTCTGACCACTCATAGGGTGAGTCATGGAGAGAGCCGAAGCATGTGTAGGTCCCTCCGTGGGTGGCAGGGCCCAGAGGAAAGTCAGCCTGGAATGTTCCATTGACGCTGGGCACTGCAGGGAGCCTAGGTTCATGGGCCCTCCCCTCCCTGGATAGATGGTACATGTCAAATGAGCTCCTGGAGCTGCAGGACAAGGTCACGTTCTCTCCTGTGCGAACCGTGGGGCCCGGCTGGGCTGAGAGTGAAGGTTTCCCAAATAGACCTGGAAGAAGAGGCAGTTTCCTCAGGGAGGTTCTTCCTTGTCACAGCTCCCCTCACACCTGAGCTGAGAACTCACTCCCCTGCTCTATGACCTAATGCTCTCTCTCTCTCTCACCCTCCACCCCCGACTCTCCCTGTGGATCCCTCCCTATGCGGCTCCAGCCTGGTGGTGGCATCAGCAGTGCACCCTTGCTGACCTTAGGGTAGCCAACCCTCTTGTTTGGTTTTTTAACTTGTCCTTGACCTGGATTCCTGTGTTGTTTCCTGTTGTTGCTGCAGAAAATTATCACAAACACGGCGGCGGGAGAGAACACTTCTGTTGACAGAAATCAGACCCTGTTCTTCCTGGGCTACAATCAAGGCATCTGCAGGGCTGCATTCCCTCTGGAGACTCGGGAGAATCAGTTCCATTGACTTCTCCAGCCCCTAAAGGCCACCTGCATTCCGTGGCTTCTGGCCTTCCTCCACTTTCAAAGCCCGCAGTGGCTGGTGGACTCTCCCTCCCACTACGCTGCTCTAATCCCCACTCTCCTCTTCCTCCTCCTCTCATGTGGACCCTTGTGATTACACTGAGCCCAGTGGGAGAGTCCAGGTCGTCTCCCCATCTCAAGGTCAACTCATCAACAACCTGAACTCCATCTTCCCCTTCAGTCCCATGTCCTATAACATAAATAGTCACAGGCTCCAAGGATTACAATATAGCCATGCTGCCGACAGTTACTCTTTCCACCACAGCACCCATTCCCCTGTATTCAATCCCCATTGACACCAAATACAGTCAGGGCCTGGATGATTGGACCCTGGTGGACACCCCCACCAGATGCTCTGGGATTCAGGAAGTGGGAGAAGGAGAAGCCCAGACATGAGTCCTCTGACCTGTGACCACGATCACCAGGGGGTTGCTGGGTGCTGACCACTCAATGGGGGAGCGTGGGTGTGAACCCCGACATCTGTAGGTCCCTGCGTGTGCAGGGGTCACAGGGCCCATGAGGATGCTCTTCCAGAATATTTTGTTGTAGAGCTCAGGGACAGGCACCCCATCTTCTTTGTACAGACTGAAGATGGTAAACCCAAGACGAGAGCGACACAGAAGAGTCACATGTCCTCCTCGAGGCACCACAGCGCTGGGCCAGGCAGACAGCAAGGGCTTGTCCTGACCACCTGGGGGAGAAGGAGGCGCCACCTTAGAAAGGAGGATGTGGAGCCGCCCCTCCCTGCCAGTGCTCAGAAGATTCTCCCCACTTTCCTCGTTTCTAAGGCTCCTACCACACTTGGGTGCCCATGGGTACGGGAAGGACCCACCCCGCATAGACTTGGCGTCTCTCTACAACAAAAGTGTCAGCTGAGAACTTTGAGCAAGTGCTGAGTAAGGGACTCCTACTAGATTTTAATACTGCAAGATTACTCACATAAAACAACACAAATAGACATGGGGTCGAGGGCATGTTCTTTGTGAATGGAATATCAGCCAATGTGTGAACCACAATACACAACTGAGCCCCCAACAGAGGATTTGGAAGGTCAGGGCCCTGGCTGGGGTTCCCCCACCTCTGAGGTAGAATGACAGCAGCCACACTGCAGCCCCTACCGTCATGGAAACGCTGGAGGGTGTGAGTTACACCTTTGTCCTCAGAGGCCTGCTGTTCCTAGCACTGCTTTGCTCCCTTCCTCTGCCAGTGACACCACATCCCAGCCGCACAGCCCAGCTTGGAGGACCCCAGTCTACCCTCCCGGGTTCCCACAGAACCTGACTCAGCCAAGGGAAAGGAAGGCTGGGGAGGGCAAGGTCGGAACTGTGGGCTGAGCACCCCAGGGTCTCCTCATCCTTGTTTATAAGAAAATCCCCCACCGGGCTTCCCTCCTGTTTCAGGAAAATCCTCTTATGTGGGGAGATGACACCCGAAGGTTTGGAGAAGGACTCACCCTCATGTGTCCAGGCCCCCTGCAGCAAGAAGAACCCTGGAAAGAAAGATCATGATGGACCATCCATCTGCAGGCAAACCAGGACTCCCTTGCTGCCCCCACTGGGCTGTGAGTCTTGGTAGCCAGGCCCTTGCTGGGCTGAAGGGAAACTCACCCTCAGTGCCTGCTTGCACCCAAGAACAGGGCTGTCGGCTGTGTAGAGACCCAGCCTCCAGGCCCATATCCGCACCCCAGGCCCCTATCCCCACCCCAAGCCCATATCTCCACTCCAGGCCCATATCTCCACTCCAGGCCAATATTTCCACCCTAGACCCATATCTCCAATCCAGGCCCATATCTCCACCCCAAGCCCATATCTCCATCCTAGGCCCATATGTCCACTCCAGGCCCAGATATCCACCTCTAGGCCCATATCTCCACCTCCAGGCCCATATCTCCACCTCCAGGCCCATGTCTCCACTCCAGGCCCATATCTCCATCCCAGGCCAATATCTTCACTCCAGGCTCCTATCTCCCCTCCGGGTTCCTATCTCCACTCCAGGCCCAGATCTCCACTCCAGGCCCATATCTCCACCTCCAGGCCCATATCTCCACTCCAGACCCAGATCTCCACTTCTAGGCCCATCACTCCATCTCCAGGCCCATATATCCACTCCAGGCCCAGATCTCCACTCCAGGCCCATAACTCCACCTCCAGGCCTATATCTCCACCTCTGGGCCCAGATCTCCATCCCCGCACTCCCTCCCTCTATTCCTTTCCAGGACTCACCAACACACGCCATGCTGATGACCATGAGCGACATGGTGCTGCCGGTGCAGACAGGCGGCCGCGCCCCAGCTCAGCTCAGCAGCGCACAGGATGTTATTTGGCGCCCTGCCCATGCAGTTTACATGTTGACCACATCACGGGAGGGTGACGTACGCAGGCTCTTTCTACCTTGCATGAGGCCCAGTGGGTGCTTGCTCAAGAGCGGAACACGGCTTCCTGGAAATTGTTCTCACTAGAATTGGCACCTCGCGTCCTTCACTATGACCAACTCACAACACGTCTCAGATCCAACCTCCCGAACACAAGATGCCTAAAATCTGTGCTAACGTGAAAGACTTTTCATGTATTTTTATTGTTTTTATCTGAGATTCAAACTCTTCTTCCTGTGTAATATGCAAAGTATCTAATAGGTATTATTAATGTTTTCGGAGTCATTGTGACTAATAAACCATTAGAATTTTTCATGCTTGTATTTCTAGTATTACAGCAGAACCAGCTAAAATGATTTAAATTCCCAGGGAAGGATTATGCAATTATTTACAATCTTAGAATCGTACTTTATCAGCAAAAACCACACCTGTAAATTCTGGAGTTTTGTAGTTTAATCTAAAATTTGTCTCATGACCCAAGATTCCAGAGTCCCAACTCTGGAGTTTGATCTCTCTCTGTCTCTCTCCCTCCCTCGTTTTAAATTTTACAGAAATATCCAGTAACATAATGCTATAGAAAATCAAGTTTTCCCCAGCACGTTGGGAAGCCGAGGTGGGCGGATCAACTGAGATAAGGAGTTTGAGAGCAGCCTGGTCAACATAGTGAAACCGTGTCTCTGCTAAAAATCCAAAAATTAGCCGTGCCTGGTGGCAGGCACCTGTAACGCCAGCTGCTCAAGAGGCTGAGGCACGAGAATCGCTTGAACCTGGGAGGTGGAGGTTGCAGTGAGCTGAGATTGTGTCACTGCAGTCCAGCCTGGGCGACAGAGCAAGACTCCGCCTCAAGAAAAAAAAAGCAAATAGCCTATAATAACAAATTAGAGGGCTCTGGCTACTAAATTTAAAGGGTTCTATAAGGCTACATAAAGTGCAGCGTCATCAAGAGTGTGGACACAGAGAGCCCCTTAGCAGAAACAGTGTCTAAAATACATCCATGTACACACAATCCCTTTAGAGTTGACAAAGGCTGCTGTGTGGTTTAAGGTGGCATAGAATGTCTTCTCAATAAATAATATTAAACCAATGGGTTACACCTAGTAAAAAATAAATCTAACTGACACTATAAAAACACTTCTTAGTTTTTATCTAGTTGTACATTTTTTATGATTTATATTTAAATTTGAGAAATAAAAGTCATATACGGTCATCCTTCACTATTCGTGGGTGATTGGTTTTGAGATCTCCACTCAGATACCAAAATCTGTAGATGCTCAAGCCTCTTATATGAAATGGCACAGCATTTGCAAATAACCTATGCACATCCTCCTGTATACATGAAATCATCTCTAGATTACCTATAATTCCTGATACAGCCTACACACAGCTTCATTTGTGTCCATTTAACATAGTTATGCTTTTTGAAACTCTGTGGATACTTTCTCTCAATATTTTTGATTTATACTTGGTTCAATAAACACCTGTAAACCCCGCAGATATGGAGGAGTGACCGTATATTTATATTATGAAAGAAGATGTGTTGATATGTGTCCCCATGGAGATGAGACTAACAAGGCCTATGACTCTACAAATGTTTCATTGTGGAATGACTCTGCCAGCTTTCCAGGTCTGCAGAGAGTAAGAGTATCACTTGTTCATGTGATTCGCGATCCTTGGAACCTCCTATGTGCTACATCTTTGGATGGAAATTGGAGTCCCAGAGACAAATGAGGCTCCACCCTGCTTCCAGAAGATCAGAGTCCAGGGATGAGAACTCAGTGGGGAACAGATGGGATTATATGGACATGGTACTGATAACACCGGAAGCCTTAGGCAAGAAAAGAGTCCCATTACCGAAACCATGGGGGCAGACATGTTTATTTGAAGGATGGAAAACTACATTGAAGTTATTTTAAAAAGTATATAAGTTTTACTGCTGACAGAAGGCTGAAAGCTAGTCTGAGGGGAGGTGGAACAGCATGAGGGAAGGTGGAACAGCACGTGTCTAAGTGCTGCGTTAAGACGGAGCCTCTTGTATGTGTGGAATTGTGAGTTCCTCAGTGTGATTGCAGCCTCAAGTAGACTAGGAAGTAAGCCAGTTAGGTTGGAGAGGTGGGCAGGGGTCAAGTGAAATGGAGAACTGTGGGCTAAGCAAAGGAGTGTGTTTTTTCTCCAGCAGGCAGTGGGGACCTTAGACATTTGTAAGCAAGTGAGAGGCACATTCAGATTTGTGGTGTGAGGAAGAGCGATGCCCTAAGATGAAGACTGATGCCTTCAGATTCCAGCTGCTGGTACATGGGAGCTGGCAACCCAGTTTTGAGACAGGGCTGTTGTCTCCCTAGAAGATCCCCTCAAGGCCTGACTGTGGTGCTCGTGGACAGAAGACAACTTTGGATCTGGGCTCAGCATTTGGAAGTTCTATGTACATGCTGGTATCTGTTGGGGGTGTCTTGGGCCTCTGAGAAGGGCGAGTGATTTTTCTCTGTGTGAAAACACAGTGTTCCAATTATGCGTATGACACCTCCTGATGGTCTTGTTCATCAGAATCCTGGAGAGAGGGAAATGCTGAGTGAGGGAGGGTGCTCACATTTTTCAGGACTCTTTGGGAATAACACTAGCCACGAGGCTGGGCCGAGGAGCACCTACCTCGCTGTTCACTTCTGTTCCCTGCAGGCTCTTGGTCCATTACAGCAGCATCTGTAGAAGACGGAAGTCAACAAAAGAGCTCGGAGGGCACTTCTGGGTCCTCATTTCATAAGCAGATACCAACAAACAGGGGGAGGCCATAGGTGCCTGAGGTCCCTCAGTTGCCAACAGCAGACTCAGACATTCTATCTCTCTGAGTTCAAGGACCCATCCCATGAATAGCTCTGAGGTCCCATTCCATTGATTCTATCTCCCACTTTCTGCCTGTCATGGAACCTTCTCCTGGATGTGAGTGGCTGCAGGGGACGTGAGGATACAGTTCAGAATCAGGCAATGGTCTGTGAGCTGAAGGCAGGGGAAGGGAATCTGGTGCTCTCTCTAGAAAGTCCTGCCTCTGTGGCTCCTGTCTTGGGCCAGGGACCATCCTGCTGGTGAGGAACACACACCCGTGTGCTCCCATCCTGCTTCCCCACATGGCCCTGAGCTCTCTGGCCTCTGCTTCGTGAGACTTACTTTTTTTTGTTGGAGCACCAGCGATGAAGGAGAAAGAAGAGGAGGATGGTGAAAGGGATTTTGACCACTGAGGTCCCAATCAGAATGTGCAGGTGTCTGAGGTTACCTGGAAGAAGAGGAGACACCAATAAGAAGCTAATCATAGCAGTTCCTCTTTATGAATTGTCTTGCATTTCTTGATTCACAGGTAACCACATACAGCGTCTCTTTAGGACAAGCACCCAGATGGCGGGAGACCCAGCTTCCTCCTGCTTTCTCAGTTATAGCTCTCATAGTAACCATAGAACGTGCTGAGGATACCACTACTTTAGTTGAGATGTTTGACCCCTTCAAACCTCAGATTGAAATTTACCCCCCAGTGTGGGAGGGTGGGCCTCTTGGGAGGTGTTTGAGTCATGGGGGTGGATACATCATGAACAGATCAATGCTGTTTTAAGGAGACGGGGTTAGCAAGTTCTCCCTCTATTAGTTCCTGGAGAGCTGGTTGTTCATAAGAGCTTGGAAGCTCCATCACTCCCCCTCTCCCTTGCTCCCTCTCTTGCCGTGTGATCTCTGTGGTCTCTGCACAGACAGACCCTCCTTCCCTTCTGCCAGAGTGGGAGCAGCCTGAGGCAGTCACAAGAAATAGATGCTGGTGCCATGCTTCCAGTACAGCCTGCGGAACTGTAAGGCAAACCAAAATCTTTTGTTTAGAAGTTACCCAGGCTCAAGTGTTCCTTTAGAGCAACAAAAATGGACTAAGACAGCAACGTCCTGAGATCAGGAGGAAAGTCCCAGAACAGCCTGGGCTGTCTTCCTGTTCTTCCTGGAGGAGGACGTGATGCAGTGCTTTAGCTGAGTGCTTCCTGTGGCTCCAGGGTACAAAACCCAGGTTGGGCTGCTTTCTGGCTTCCCCCAGCTACACTGCAAATGGGGTGACTCCACATGTCTCGAGCAGCTTTTCTGAGCCTTGGGGAACTGGCTCACATTGAAATGTAGGCTTCTGTTGTCACTCGCTGCTTATCTGTTAGTAATGAACCTGCCTGTGTAATGTGTTCTCTGTGTGTTCTGTCTCCCTGGAGTGACGGTGAGTGATAGGAATTGGCATAGGCCCAGGTGCAGTCCAGGAGGTGTTTAGAGTCTTCTCTGGGAAGACTGGACTGGGATTGATACACAGCGAATGTGCTTTAGGATTTCTACATCCACGGCATTCTTGAGTTAAACAACTTGCATTCTCCAAGAAAAGGAAACAAAAGTGAAATCAAGATCAAAAATGCGAAGTAGAATTCTCTTATGTCAAACAGCCAGAAAATAGTGTTGAAGCCCGTGTGAAATGTGCTATTCTTTGTGATCTCGGGAGACACATGTTAGGCTGCTGTTCTACCTGACAGGCTGGGGGAAGGACCACCCCCTCGACTATCTATTGCTTCAATACCACCTGTCCTCCTGTGAATTAGTAGGAAAGGGGAGCAGGAGCTAGTGCTGGCACTGATCTCTGATTCCAAGATCTGGACTCACTCCAAGGAGTATTAGCATTTACCTCCCCATGGTCTATCTGTATCTGCACAGGTGATTGGAAGTAGGGGTGAGGTGGGGGATTTGGGTGAGGGGGCAAGTTTTTTTTGTGATGACCAGAGCACTTTCTCTATTCCAGGATTTGTGCTGGAGGATTCAGCGGGCTTTCACATTTTCTATATGATCTCATGCTCACAGAAAGCCAAATACGGAAGAGGTTTTAGGCTGATTGTCTAATGGATAAGATAAAGAATCAAAGAAGTAATTATAGAGAAATAGAAAAATGATGATGGGAATTCAGGTGCCTTTGTCGTTCGTGTGTGTTTTATTATATTTATGCATTTCTTATTTTTATTTTTTGAGACGGAGTCTCCTTGTGTCACCCAGGCTGGAGTGCAGTGATGCGATCTCCACTCACTGCAACCTCCACCTCCTGGGTTGAAGTCATTCTCCTGCTTCATCCTCCAGAGCAGGAGCTGGGATCACAGGGATGCACCACCATGCTCGGCTAATTTTTGTATTTTTAGGAGAGATAGGGTTTCACCATGTAGAGATAGGGTTTCACCATGTTGGCCAGGCTGGTCTCGAACTCCTGATTTCTTGGAATCCACTGGCCTTAGCCTCCTGCAGTGCTGGGTTACAGGAGTGAGCCACCGTTCACAGACTTGTATACTATGCTATAATAGGTCCCTTCATTTCCACCACCCCTCATATATCTGTCACTCCTTTGCCAGGTATTGATTTATGTGTAGGAGGAATAAATCTCAGAAAGAAATTAATTTAGCAAGGATTAAACAACTAGGAAACTCAAACCCAGCAAGCCCTCCCTGCAAATGATTCTACCTCCCAAGCATAGCTTATATCCATCTGCTTCATCCACTTAGGGTCTAAATCAGCACCACATTTCACCAGTGGGGTGGCAATTGCCTTTTCCACAGTCTCCTAGATTCCAGTTACGCACCTGGGCCTCCTTTATTTTCATGTCAGTCATATTAATCATGTAGGGATTCCTGGTTACCCCGAGGTGAATCCAATGGCTGTGAGTGTCAAACACACACTCCTTGTTGCTCCTTAGTTTCCTGTGTACCCAGTGTGCTCTCCGTCTCTCTACAGTCGTCTTGTCATTCTCCCCACTTCATTCCCAGCATTTGAGGCAGAGCCTCTTCCTTCAACATCAGATTGTTTTCACCTTTGTGCCTTCACAGCTGACAGCTGTGTGGAAAATCCTTCCGCCAATCTTTCAGGGGTTCAATCCGTGTTTTTCATTAATGTCACAAATATCTGATTAGTGAGACCTTCTCTGTCACCCAAAATTATACACTCAGCATTATCTATTATTGATTTTGAATTCTGGCTGGGCAAAGTGGCTCACGCCTGTAATCCCAGTACTTTGGGTTGCTGAGATGGTCGGATCACTTGAGGTTGGGAGTTTCAGACAAGCTTGGCCAACATGGTGAAACATCCTCTCTACAAAAAATATACAAAAAGAGTTAGCCGGGCATGGTGGCAGTTGCCTGTAATCCCAGCTACTCGAGAGGGTGAGGCAGGAGAATCACTTGGATCCAGGAGACGCAGGTTGCAGTGAGCCAAGATCGTGACACTGCACTGTAGCCTGGAAGACAGAGGGAGACTCTGTCTCAATAAATAAATGAACGAACAAACAAATAGATTTCATGCACAGATGCTTCCCAATGGATCATTCATTTATTGGTCCACTTGTGCATTCATTTTCTGCCCTCCCATTTAACCATCTGCAATATCAGTGTCCCAAGAGCAGAGGCCAAATGCATCTTGTTCACCGTTCGTGGAAGGCAGGAGAATGCTGTCCCACCCCAAAATGTCCCTGTCCTGGCCTCCATAGCTTGTGAATATGTTATTTTACATGGAAAGGAGGAATGAAGATTGCAGATGGAATTACGGTTGCTAGTCAGCTGAACTTAAAACAAGGGTATCCTGAATGATTTCCGGGAGATTATGATGGATTTTCATCTTGGTGAACCCAATAGAATCCCCAAGTTTTCAAAAGATAAGGAAGAAGGGAGAGCAGCATTCAGAGAAAGAGGTGTGGTAAGGAAGAAGGGTCTGAGTGATGCCATGTGAGATGTGACCAGTCTTTGTGGGCTTTGAGGAAGGAGGAAGGGGACCAGGAGCCAAGGAACTGGGAGCCTTTAGAAGCTGGGACAAGTGAGAAGCAGATTCTTGCCTGGAACCCTCAGAGGGAAGGCAGCCTTGCTGTCACCTTGTTTTTAGCCCAGTGAGATGCACTTCATACTTTGAGCTACAGCACTGTAAGATAATTAAAAAGCCGCTTTATTTTCACCCACGAATCTTGTGGAAATTTGTTATGGCAACAATAGGAAAGGATTCCAACTGCACAGCCTGAGCATGGGGCCGTGGCTGAATGAGTCAGTGAGTCGAAGTGTGCGTGCATGAGCTCTGTTCTCTGTTACGGCAAGGCTCTTGCTCTGCTGAGTCAGCCAGGGTTGCTTCATGACCAACAGTAATTCATTCCTTGGCAAGTGGAACTTCTCTAAAACACCCACCCTCATGAGATGTTCCCTTCCCTTCCCTCTCTCAAGTCCCCAGGAATTTATCCTCCAGTTAGGAATGCAGGCAGAAAAAACACTGCATTTTTCCTGAGAAGGATGTCAGATTGGCAATCATTCTTCTAGCTTGTAGGAGGTCTCACCTGCAGGACATTAAAGGTTAAGAGACTTCGCTGAGCCCTTTGGTGGCCCTAGATCCCTTTCACTGTTGGAGTGTCTGGAGTTCAGAGATGGTGGAAGACAGGCCCTCATTCACAGAGCTGGGAGGTTTGAGCCAACGCTTGCATCCAAGGCTTCCACCTCCCCAGGTTTCCAAAAGCAGAGATAAGAGGGGTCCTTTACTCACCAGATTTGGAGCTTGGTTCTGTGGGTGAAGGCCAACTACTTGAAGGGTTTCCTAGAACATGGGACAGGAGAGATGTGAGGAAATGAGGGTGCTTGTCCTCTACTCAATGGAAATCTTTGAGGTTGGTTCATGGCCAACACTCTGTTATCTAATGTTGGACCCTGGGAGTCTTGGGATCCTCTTCTCCATAATTTTTGTGTGCGATGCCCACTGTCTTGAGACTTGAAGGTATAAAGAGAAAACAGGAGCATCACACTACCTGACTTAGAAATATGTTACAGAGCTGTAGTAAGCAAAACAGCATGACATTGGCATAAAGAAAGGCACATAAAAAATGGAACAGAATGGAGAACACGGATATGATCCATGCATTTACACCCAATGGCTTTTTTTTGTGTGTGTGTGATGGAATCTTGCTCTGTCATGCAGGCTGGAGTGCAGAGGTGCAATCTCAGCTCAATGCAACCTCCACTTCCTGGATTCAAGCAATTCTCTTGCCTCAAACACCCGAGTAGTGGTATTACAGGCACTGGTCACCATGCTCAGCTAATTTTTGTATTTTTAGTAGAGACGAGGTTTCACTCTGTTGGCCAGCCTGGTCTTGAACTCCTGGCTTCAGGTGATCCACCCGCCTCGGCCTCCCAAAGTGCTGGAATTGCAGGTGTGAGCCACCATACCCAGCCCATTTAATGGACTTTGACAAAGGTGCCAAGAACTCACAATCAGGAAAGGACAGTCTTTTCAATAAATGGTGTGGGGAAAACTGGATATCTACATGCAGAGGAATAAAACTGCATCTATACCTGTCACCATAAACAAAAATCAAATGAAAATGGATTAAAAACATGAGTCTAAGGCCTGAACCTATGAAACATGTAGAAGAAAATAATGGGGAAGACATTTGTCTGACGAAAGACATTTTGTTTAAAACCTTCAAAACACAAGTAATCAAAGCAAAAAATAGACCATTAGGATTACATCAAACCAAGCAACTTCTGCACCACAAAAGATAAACCAAGAAAGTGAAGAGACAACCCACAAAATAGGAGCAAATATTTGCAAACTATTCATCTGAGACGGGATTAATAACTGGAAATATAAGAAGCTCAAACAACTCAATAAAACAATTTAATTAAAAAACGAGCAAAAGACATGAGGAGACATTTCTCCACAAACAAAACATAGAAATGGCGATCACGTATATGAAAAAGTACTCGGCATCACTCATCATCAGAGAAATGTAAATTACAATCGCGATGAGTTTTCATCTCATCCCATTAAAATGCCTTTTAGGCCGGTGGCTCACGCCTGTAATTCCGGCACTTCAGGAAGCGGAGGTGGGCGGATCACCTGAGGTCGGGAGACCAGCCTGACCATCATGGAGAAACTCCCTCTCTACTAAACATACAAAAATTAGCTAGGCGTGGTGGCACACGCCTGTAATCCCAGCTACTTTGGAGGCTGAGGCAGGAGAATCAGTTGAACGCGGGAGGCGGAGGTTGCAGTGAGCTGAGATCACACCCTTGCACTCCAGCCTGGGCGACTATGAGTGAAACTCCATCTCAACATAAATAAATAAATAAAATAAAGTAAAGTAAAATGGCTTTTATCTGCAAGACAGGCAAAACAAATGCTGGCAAGATGGTAGAGAAAGGAGAACCCTGGTACCCTGTTGGTAGGAATGTAAATTAGTACAACTATTATGGAGAAAAGTATGGAAATTCTTTAAAAAACTAAAAGGAGGCTGGGCATAGTGGCTTATGCCTGTAATTTCAGCACTTTGGGAAACCGAGGCAGGCACCTCACTTGAGGTCAGGAGTTTGAGAGCAGCCTGCCCAAAATTGGGATATCCCGTCTGTGCTAAAAAAATACAAAAATTAGCCAGGCATGGTGGCATGCACCTGTAATCACAGCTACTAGGGAGGCTGAGTCAGGACAATCATTTGAACCTAGGAGGCACAGGTTGCAATGAGCCAAGATCTCACCACTTAGACTCCAGCTTGGACTAAGGAGGGAAACTCTTTCTCAAAAAAGAAAAAAAAAAAAAAGAGAACTTTCATAGTATCCAGCAATTTCACTACTGGGTTTATATCCAAAGGAAAGGACATCAGTGTATCGAAGTGATATCTGCACTCATATGACTGTTCCAGCACTGTTCACAGTAGCCAAGATGTGGAGTCAACCTACCTGCCTATCAGTGGGTGAATGGATAGAGAACTGTGGTACACACACACAGTGGAGACTACTCATCCATAGAAACAATAACATCCTGTCATTTGCAGCCACATGGATGGAACTGGAGGTCATTACAAAGATTCCCATTTCTCACCCACATGCAGGAGATAAAAGGTGGATCTCATGAAGGTGGAGAATACAATGGTGGACACCAGAGGCCAGGAAGGGAAGGGTGGAGGGTAACAAAAAAAAGAATATAGATGTATTTATTTATTTAGAAACAGAGTCTCTCTCTGTCTCCCAGGCTGCAGTGCAGTGGCATGATCTCGGCTCAGTGCAACCTCGGCCTCCTGGCTTTAAGTGCTTCTCCTGCCTCAGCCTCCCAAGTAGCTAGGACTACAGGTGCATGCCAGCATGCTCGGCTAATTTTTCTTGTCTGTTTAGTAAAGATGAATTTCCCACATGTTGGCCAGGGTGATCTCGAGTTCCTGATCTTAAATGATCCACCTTCCTTGGCCTCTCAAAGCGCCGAGATTACAACTGTGAACCACCACGCCCAGCATATAAAGGTATTTATGACCACTAGATTTTACTTTTAAAAATGGTAAAGGTGGTAAATTATATAGTTACATTTAACCTCAATAAATATTTTTGAAAATGAAAAGAAAAGGGTGTAGGGGTTGCTGGTGATGATATCTCTCTGTGTGGGTGAGAGGCCATGATGGGCTTCTGGGAAATGGGTAAGATTGAGGGGCTGAGGGAACCTCTGATCTCCCCAAACTAAGCCCAGTCTCCCCTTCTCTGGGTCTGTCCTGACCGCTTTCTCCATCTGCCTGGGTGCCTGGAGCCCTGATCGGAGGCCTCCATGCAGGCCATGAAGGAGGGTTTGGAGGTGCCCTGTCTGCCATCCTGCGCCCTGACTCCGCCCTCACACCTGCTGTGTCTTCTCTCTGCATCTGTCCATGCTTTTCTCCATCATCAGCAGGAAGCTCCTTAGCTAAGGATTTAGGATCATAGGACATGAGAGAGATATGGGCTTTTCTCACCTGTGACAGAAACAAGCAGTGGGTCACTCGGGTCTGACCACTCGTAGGGAGAGTGACGGAAAGAGCCGAAGCATCTGTAGGTCCCTCCGTGGGTGGCAGGGCCCAGAGGGAAATCTGCCTGGAATGTTCTGTTGACCTTGCGCACTGCAGGGAGCCTACGTTCATGGGCTCCCCCCTCCCTGGATAGATGGTACATGTCATAGGAGCTCCGGGAGCTACAGGACAAGGTCACGCTCTCTCCTGCCTGAACCTTGGGGCCCGGCTGGGCTGAGAGAGAAGGTTTCTCATATAGACCTGGAAGGAGAAGAGGCAGTTTCCTCAGGGAGGTTCTTCCTTGTCACAGCTCCCCTCACACCTGAGCTGAGAACTCACTCCCCTGCTCTATGACCTAATGCTCTCTCTCTCTCTCTCACTCTCCACCCCATCTCTCTTCATATCTGTTTCCTCCTTCTACCTTTTCTGTCTCTCTAGGTCTATGACCTCACTTCCCCACCCTGAGGTATGTTTTCCCTTTTTGGATTGTTTTATTCTCTCTGACCCTCCTTGGATTGGTTGACTTGATCTTCCTTTTTCTTTAATTTTGAGTCTCTCACTTTCTGTCTTGTTCATAACTTTCTGCACATTTCTATCTATTATCTATCGATCTATCTATTTATCTATTTTGTGTCTATCTACAAATTATCTATCATCTATATTTATGTATCACTTATCTATCTCTCTATCAATTGTCTATCTGTCTATCTATCCATCAATCATCTATTATCTATATATGTATCATCTATCTCTCTCTCTATTACCTCTCTGTCTGCCTCTCTGTCTCTATTTATGTATCATCTATGTATATATCTATGTGTCTATCATCATCATCGTCATCATCATCATCTCTATGTATCATCTATCAGTCATCATCTATGTATCTATAACCAATCCATTATCTATCATCTACCTATTTATCATCTATCTACGTCTATCTATCCATCTATCATCTCTCTCTCTCCGTCTCCTTGTCTTTCTCTGCCTCTCAGTCTCTCTAGTTCTATTTGGAATCTCTGCAATCCATCCCCACATCTTTATCTTTCTCTGTCTTTGTGTCCCTCCCTCAGGGTTCTGATTTTGGGGCTTTTCTCTCCTCCTTTCCATCATTCTCTCCACTCTGCCCTCTTTTCTTTCTTTTTATGTGTCTGTGAATCTCTTAATCTCCTTCTTCTGGCTCATTTTGTGTGTGTTTATGTCTTTGCTTTTTGGTGTCCCTGATTTTTCTCTGTGTCTCTCAGCGATCCTATCATATGTGGGATTATTTGGAATATGAGCCTCAGAATCCAGTCTGGGGACCCCAAGTTCACACAGCATACAGGGGTTGGTGTTCTGGGGCCATGATATCCTGGGATGATTACTCTCCATTGCATGGAAGGCAGAGGTGTCAGAATAAACACGGCATCTGTAGGTGGCACAAGGCCTGAGGCCACAGGGCCCAACTCAGGTCAGAAATATGGGTGTCCTTGGGTTCTTCTGGTAGAAACACTTTGTGGAGGTAAAACAGAAATGAAACTTCTAACCTGTGCCAGGTCTCTGAGCAAAGTCAGCATGGAAGGACACCTCTCTCTGGGACATGTCTGTCTGTCTGAGTGTCTCCTTTACCTCTTTCTCTCTTTTCTACCTCCCTGTATGGCCCCTGTGTCTGTCCCCTGTTATGACACCTGTTCTGTACTTATGTCTCCTGTTTCTCTGTCTCTGTTGGTACAGACCTCACCAAGTCACTCTCTTTCCATAAGAATCCCACACTTATCTTCCTCATGACCACCTGGGGGTTCCAAGTCCTGGATCATTCACTCTGTGTCCCAGTGACAATGAGAACAATGTCTAGACACTCTCACCTGTGACCACGATGTCCAGGGGATCACTGGGAGCTGACAACTGATAGGGGGTGTGAGTAACAGAACCGTAGCATCTGTAGGTCCCTGCAAGGGCACGCATCATGGAACCGATGGAGAAATTGGCCTTGGAGACCCCATCATGGATCTGTCCAACGAGGCGTGAGGGGTCCTTAGAGATCCACTCTCTGTGCAGAAAGAAGTGCTCAAACATGATATCTGACCAACATTGCAGGATGACTCTCTCTCCTGATTTCACCAGGGGACCTGGGTGGGCCAGGAGGGAAGGTTTTCTGTGGTTTCCTAGAAAGAGAAGTTGTGAGTTTAGAAGGCATCTCTCTTTATCATCCCATCCATGGCACCTGGAATGAGTGAGGGTTCCCCTCCCCGTGTCTGTCTCTCTCCTCCCTCTCTGCATCTCCGTGTCTTTTCTGTGCCCATATCCCCTGGTGCAGGTGCCTCCATCTGTCTTCCTCCCTCTTCTCTGTCCCTCTGTCTCCAGTAGCCCCTGACTCCCTTGCCACTGTGAAGACAGCCTCATCTCTTGGGCTGTTGTATCTGTTTCCCACTAATCTCTTTCCTGCTGTTTATATGGGGGTGGAAGAGGACAGGCTGCATGTCCAGGCTCTTAGCAGCCTGAATCAATCTCTTTTGAACAAATTGGAGTCTCTGGCAGGTGGTATCAACTCATCAGTAAGACAGACATCAGTGACCACACACCCTGTTCCTGATGGGGATTGGGAGCCTCTCCTGCCATGTCTGTGCCTTCTCCATGGCCCCAGCTTCCATAGGGTGGCCCCTGGTGCTGGTTCCAGGAGCATCAACCCCTTCCTATGTGGATGGAGCCTGGTGGTAACATCAGCATCCTGCCCTTGCTGATCTCAGGGTAGCCAACCTTCTCCTTGTTTGGTTTCTTTAATTAATTGATTAATTAATTTATTTTTGAGACAGTCACTTTTTCACCCAGGCTGGAGTGTAGTGGTGTTGTCTTGGCTCACTGAAACCTCTGCCTCCCCAGTTCAAGTGATTCTCTTGCCTCAGCCTCCCCAGTCGTTGGATTACTCGCGCCCACCACCACACCTGGCTGTCCTTGTTTGGTTTCCTAACTTGTCCTTGACCTGGGTTCCTAACTTGTCCTTGACCTGGGTTCCTGTGTTGGTTTCCTGTTGCTGCTGCAGAAAATTACCACAAACATGGCAGCAGGAGAGAACACACTGACCCCTTCCACTTCTGGAGACAGAAATTGGATCCAGTTCTCCCTGTGCTGAAATCAAGGCGTCTACAGGGCTGCGTTCCCTCTGGAGAATCAGCGAATCAGTTCTCCTGACTTCTCCAGCCCTTAGAGGCCACCTGCATTCTGTGACTAGTGGTCTTCCTCCACTTTCAAAGCCCGCAGTGGCTGATAGCGTCTCCCTCCCACTACACTGCTCTAATCCCCACTCCCCTCTTCCTCCACCTCTCACGCGGACCCTTGTGATTACACTGAGCCCAGTGGGACAGTCCAGGCTGTCTCCCCATCTCAAGGTCAACTCATCAACAACCTGAGCTCCACCTTCCCCTTCAGTCCCCTGCCCTATAACATAAATAGTCACAGGCTCCAGGGATTACAATGTAGCCATCATTGGGGACAGTTATTCTTCCCACCACAGCACCCATTTGCCCTGTATTCAATCTCCCTTGACCCCAAATACAGCCAGGGCCTGGGTGATGGGACCCTGACGGACAGCCCCACCAGAAGCTCTGGGATTCAGGAGGTGGGACAGTGAGAAGCCCAGACGGAAAGCCTCTGACCTGTGACCATGATCACCATGGGGTTGCTGGGTGCCGACCACCCAGTGGGGGAGTGTGGGTGTGAACCCCGACATGTGTAGTTCCCTGCATGTGCTGTGGTCACAGGGCTCATGTTGAAGCCCTCCTGGAATATTCTGCCATGGAAGATGGGAACGTGGATTCTGTCTTCTTTGTATAGCATGAAATTGTTAAACCTATGACGATAGTGACACCGAAGAGTCACGTGTCCTCCGCGAGGCACCACAGCGCTGGGCCAGGCAGACAGGAAGGGCTTGTCCTGACCACCTGGGGGAGAAGGAGGCACTGCCTTAGAGAGGAGGATGTGGAGCCGCCCCTCACTCCCAGTGCCCAGAAGATTCTCCCCATTTCCACTTTCTAAGGCTCCTACCACACCTGGGTGCCCAGGGCTACAGGAAGGACCCATCCTGCATAGACATGGCGTCTCCCTACAACAAGTGTCAGCTGAGAACTTTGAGCAAGTGCTGGAGAAGCAACTCTTACTAGATTTTAATACTGCAAAATTACTCATATAAAACAATACAAAGTAGACACGGCATGGAGGGCAAGTCCTATGTGAATGGAATATCAGCCAATTGATGAACTGAGCCCCCATCAGAGGATTTGGAATGTCAGGGCCATGGCTGTGGTTTCCTCACCTTTTCTGGTAGAAAGACCGCAGCCACACTGCAGCCCCTACCATCACGGAAACGCTGGAGGGTGTGAGTTACACCTTTGTCCTCAGAGGACCTGCTGTTCCTAGCACTGCTTCCCTCTCTTTCTCTGCTGCTGACACCACTTCCTCCCTGCACACCCATCTTGGAGCACCCTAGTCTCACCCCAGTCTTCACAGAGCTTGACTCAGGAAAGGGAAAGAAAGGCCGGGGAGGGCAAGGTCAGAAATGTGGGCCGAGCATCCGAGGGTCCCCTCTTCCTAGTGTATGAGAGACTCCCCGACAGGACTTCCCTCCCATTTCAGGAAAATCCTCTTATGTGGGGAGATGACACCCTAAGGTTTGGGGAAGGACTCACCCATGTGTGGACCGGCCCTCTGGACCAAGAACAACCCTAGAAAGAAAGATCATGATGGACCATCCATCTGCAGGCAAACCAGGGCACCCTGCTGCCCCCACTGGGTTGTGCGTCTTGGCAGCCAGGCCCTTGCTGGGCTGAAGGTAAACTCACCCTCGCTGCCTACCTGCCCCCAGGAACAAGGATCTCGGCTGTGCAGAGACTCAGCCTCCAGGCCCAGATCTCTACCTCCAGGCCTAGATCTACACAACAGGCCCAGATCTCCACTCCAGGTCCGTATCTCCACTCCAGACCCATATCTCCTCTCCAGGCTGATAAGTCCACTCCAGGCCCATATCTCCACTCCAGGCTCCTATCTCAACTCCAGGCTCATATATCCACTCCAGGCTCATATCTCCACTCCAGGCCCATATTTCCACTCCAGGCTTCTATCTCCTCTCCAGGCCCATATCTCCTTTCCAGGCTTGTATGTCTGCTCCAGGCCCGTATCTCCACCCCAGGCCCATATCTCCACTCCAGGATCATATCTCCACTCCAGGCCCAGATCTCCACTTCATGCCCTTAACTCCACCTCCGGGCCCATAACTCCACCTCTAGGCCCATATCTCCACTCCAGGCCCATATCTCCACTTCAGGCCCATATCTCTACTGCAGGCCCATAACTCCACCTCCAGGCCCATATCTCCACTCCAGGCCCATCGCTCCACTTCTAGGCCCATCACTCCACCTCTAGGCCCACATCTCCCCTCCAGGCCCATATCTCCCCTCCAGGCCCATATCTCCACCCCAGGCACATATCTCCACCCCAGGCCCATATCTCCACTCCAGGCCCAGATCTCCACTCCAGGCACATATCTCCACCCCAGGCCCCTATCTCCACTCCAGGCCCAGATCTCCACTCCAGGCCCAGATCTCCACTTCAGGCCCATAACTCCACCTCCAGGCCCATAACTCCACCTCTAGGCCCATATCTTTACCTCCAGGTCCAGATCTCCATCCCCGCACTCCCTCCCTCGATTCCCTTCCAGGACTCACCAACACACGCCATGCTGACGACCATGAGCAACATGGTGCTGCCGGTGCAGACAGGCGGCTGCGCCCCAGCTCAGCTCAGCAGCGCACAGGATGTTATTTGGCGCCCTGCCCATGCAGTTTACATGTTGACCACATCATGGGAGGGTGACGTACGCAGGCTCTTTCTACCTTGCATGAGGCCCAGTGGGTGCTCGCTCAAGAGCGGAGCATGGCTTCCTGGAAATTGCTCTCACTAGAATTGACACCTCGCGTCCTTCACTATGACCAACTCAAAACACGTCTCAGATCCAACCTCCTGAACACGAGATGCCTAAAATCTGTGCTAACATGAAAGACTTTTCATGTATTTTTATTGCTTTTATCTGAGATTCAAACTCTTCTTCCTGTGTAATATGCAAAATATCTAATAGGTATTATTAAGGTTTTCAGAGCAATTGTGACTAATAAACCATTAGAATTTTTCATGATTGTATTTCTAGTATTACAGCAGAACCAGTTCAAATGATTTAAACTCCCAGGGAAGGATTATGCAATTATTTACAATCTTAGAATTGTACTTTATCAGCAAAAATCACAACATGTAAATTCTGGATTTTTGTAGATTTATCTAGAATTTGTCTCATGTCCCAAGATTCCAGAGTTCCAACTCATGGTTTGCTCTCTCTCTGTCTCTCTGCCTCCCTCATTTTAAATTTTACAGAAATATCCAGTAACATAATGCTATAGAAAATCAATTTCCCCAGCACTTTGGAAGCCGAGGTGAGTGATCAACCGAGGTCAGGAGTTTGAGACCAGCCTGGCCAATATAGTGAAACCATGTCTCTGCTAAAAATACAAAAATTAGCCATGCCTGGTAGCAGGCACTTGTAATGCCAGCTATTCAAGAGGCTGAGGCACGGAATCCCTTGAACCTGGGAGGCAGAAGTTGCAGTGAGCCGAGATCGTGCCACTGCACTCCAGCCTGGGCAACAGAGCGAGACTCTGCCTCAAGAAAAATAAAAAAAGCATAGCAAATAGCCTATAATAAATAACTAGAGGACTCCAGCTACCAAATTTTAGGGGTTGTATAAGGCTGCATAAAATGCAGCATTCTCAAGAGAGTGGACAGAGAGAGAGCCACTGAGCAGAAAACAGTGTCTAAAATACATCCGTGTACACACAGTCCCTTTATAGTTGACAAAGGCTGCCATGTGGTTTAAGGTGGAATAGAATGTCTTCTCAATAAATAACATGGGCCCAAGGGTTACACATGGAGAAAAATATATCTAAAAGTATTCTCACACTATAAAACACTTGTTTATTTTATCTTGTTATTGTAATTTTTTTATGTTTTATATTTAAAATTGAGAAATAAAAATTATATACAGTCATCCCTCATTATTCGTGGGTGATTGGTCTCAGGATCTCCACTCAGATAGCACAATCTGCAGATGCTCAAGCCTCTTACATGAAATGGCACAGCATTTGCAAATAACCCATGCACATCCTCCTGTGTACATGAAATCATCCCTTGATTATTTATAATTCCTGATACAGCCTACACACAGCTTCATTTGTGTCCATTCAACATAGTTTTGCTTTTTGAAACTTTGTGGATTTTTTCTCTGAATATTTTTGATTTATATTTGGTTCAATAAACACCTGTAAATCCCACAGATACAGAGGACCGACTGTATATTTATAGTATGAAAGATGATGTGTTGATATGTGTCCCCGTGGAGATGAGACTAACAAGGCCTATGACTCTACAAATGTTTCATCATGGAATGACTCTGCCAGCTTTCCAGGTCTGCAGAGAGTAAGAATATCACTTGTTCATGTGATTCACGATCCTTGGAACCTCTTATGTGCTGCATCTTTGGATGGAAATTGGAGTCTCAGAGACAAATGAGGCTCCACCCTGCTTCCAGAAGCTCAGAGTCCAGGGGTGAGAACCCAGTGGAGAACAGTTGGAGTTATTTGGACATGGTAATGATAACACTGGAAACTTTCAGCCAAAAAAAGAGTCACCTAAAGAATGAAGGCAGACATGTTTATTTGAAGAGGAGAGAACTACACTGAAATCAAAAAAATTTTATAAGGTTTGCTGATGCCAGAAGGCTGAAAAATAGTCTGAGGAAAGGTGGAACAGCACGAGGGAAGGTGGAACAGCACGTGTCTAAGTGCCGTGTTAAGAGAGAGCCTCTTGTATGTTTGGAATTGTGAGTTCCTCAGTGTGATTGCAGCCTCAAGTAGACTAGGAAGTAAGCCAGTTAGGTTGGAGAGGTGGGCAGGGGTCAAGTGAAATAGAGAATTGTGGGCTAAGCAAAGGAGTGTGTTTTCTCTGCAGCAGGCAGTGGGGACCTTAGACATTGGTAAGCAAGAGACAGGCACCAGATTTGTGGTGTGAGGAAGAGTGATGCTCTAAGATGGAGACTCACGCCTTCAGATTCCAGCTGCTGGTACATTAGAGCTGGCAAGCTGGGTTTGAGACAGGGCTGTTGTCTCCCTAGAAGATCCCATCAAGGCCTGACTGTGGTGCTCATGGGCAGGAGACAACGCTCTGGGCTCAGCATTTGGAAGTTCTATACACACGCTGGTATCTGTTGAGGGTCTCTTGCTCCTCTGAGAAGGGCCAGTGATTTTTCTCTGTGTGAAAATGCAGTGATCCAACTGTGCGTATGTCACCTCCTGAGGGTCTTGTTCATCAGAGTCCTGGAGAGAGGGAAATCCTGAGTGAGGGAGGGTGTTCACATTTTTCAGGACTATTAGGGAATAAGACTGTATCCATGAGGCTGGGCTAGGAGGACCTACCTCCCTGTTCACTGTTCTGTGTCCCGCAGGCTCTTGGTTCATTACAGCAGCATCTGTAGGAGACGGAAGCAATCGAAACAGCTGGGAGGGCACTTCTGGGTCCTCATTTCATGAACAGATACCAACACACAGGGGGAGGCCATAGGTGCCTGAGGTCCCTCAGCTGCCAACAGCCAGACTCAGACATTCCATCTCTCTGAGTGCAAGACCCCATTCCATGAATAGCTGTCAGTTCCCATCCCATTGATTCTATCTCCCACTTTCTGCCTGTCATGGAATCTTCTCCTGGATGTGAGTGGCTGCAGGGGACGTGAGGATACAGTTCACAATCAGGCAATGGTCTGTGAGCTGAAGGCAGGGGCAGGTTGTCTGGTGCTCTCTCTAGAAAGCTCTGCCTCTGGCTCCTGCCTTGGGCCAGAGACTTTCCTGCCAGTGAGGAACACACACCTGCGTGCTCCCATCCTGCTTCCGCACAGGGCCCTGAGTTCTCTGGCCTCTGCTTCGTGAGGCTTACTTTTTTTTTTGGAGCACCAGCGATGAAGGAGAAAGAAGGGAAGGATGGTGAAGAGGATGATGGCCACTGAGTACCTAATCACAGCATGCAGGTGTCTGGCGATACCTGGAGGAAGATGAGAATCCAATAAGAAGCTAACCATAGCAGTTCCTCTTTGTGGATTGTCTCTCATTTCTTGGTTGCCAGGCAACCACATAAAACACCTCTTTAGGACAAGCACCCACGAGGCGGGAGACCCAGCTTTCTCCTGCTTTCTCCGTTATAGTTTTCATAATAACAATAGAATGTGCTGATGATACAA
Organism: Homo sapiens; assembly: GCF_000001405.40. Classification (NCBI taxonomy): domain Eukaryota; kingdom Metazoa; phylum Chordata; class Mammalia; order Primates; family Hominidae; genus Homo; species Homo sapiens. The sequence goes on along the minus strand of NW_003571055.2, from coordinate 430,792 downwards.
CTGCTATTGTTTCAATGTTTGACCCCTCCAAACCCCACTTTGAAATTTAATCCCCAGTGTGGGAGGTTGTGCCTATTGGGAGGGGTGTTTTGGTCATGGGGGTGGATCCATCATGAATAGATTAATGCTGTCCCCAGAGGACGGGGTTAGCAAGTTCTCCCTCTATTAGTACCCTGGAGAGTTGATTCTTAAAAAGAGCTTGGAAGCTCCATCACACCCCCTTTCTCCCTCTCTTGCCATGTGATCTCTGTGGTCTCTGCACACGCAGGACCCCCTTCTCTTCTGTCAGTGTGGGAGCAGCCTGAGGCCGCAGCCAGAAATAGATGGTAGTGTCCTGCTTCTAGTACAGCGTGCAGATCAGTGAGCCAAACACATCTCTTTTCTTTAGAAGATACCCAGGCTCAAGTGTTCTTTTATAGCAACAAAAATAGGCTAAGACAGCAACATCCTGAGATCAGGAGGAACGTCTCAGAACAGCCTGGGCTGTCTTCCTGTTCTTCCTGGAGGAGAACATCATGCAGTGCTTTAGCTGAGTGTTCCCTGTGGCTCCAGGGTACAAAACCCAGGCTGGGCTGCTTTCTGGCTTCCCCCAGCTACAGTGCACATGAAGTGACTCCATGTGTCCTGAGCAGTTTTTCTGAGCCTTGAGGGACTGGCTCACCCTGAAAGGAAGGTTTCTGTTGTCACTCGCTGCTTATCTATAAGTAATGAACCTGCCTATGTAATGTATTCCCTGTGTGTTCTGTCTCCCTGGAGTGATGGTGAGTGATAGAAATTGGCACAGCCCCAGGTGCAGTATGGGAGGTGTTTAGAGTCTTCTCTGGGAAGACTGGACTGGGATTGATACACAGTGAATGTGCTTTACAGTTTCTACATCCACAACCCTCTTGACTCAAACAAATTACATTCTCCAAGAAAAGGAAAAAACAGTGACATTGAAATCAACATAAGTGAGGTTGAGCTGTCTTATATCAAACAGCCAGGAAATAATGATGAAGCTCGTGGGCAACATGCTACTTTTGTCATCTTGGGAGTCAGATATTAGGCTGCTGTTCCACCCGAGAGTCTGGGGGAAAGACCACCCCCTCCATCATCTGTTGCTTCAATACAGCCTGTCTTTCTGTGAATTACTCCAAAAGGTGACCAGGAGATAGTGCTGGCACTGGTCTCTGAGTCTACGATCTGAACTCCAAAGAATATTAGTTTTTACCTCCCCATGATCTATCTGTATCATTAATGTGATTGGAAGTAGGGGTGAGGTGGGGGATTTGGGTGAAGGGGCAAGTTTTGTGCCATGAACAGATCACGTTCTCTATTCCAGGACCTGCGCTGGTGGGTTTCACATTTTCCATATGATCTCATGCTCACAGAAAGCCAAATAAGGAAGATGTTTTCGCCTGATTTTCTTATGGATAGGATAAAGGATCAAAGAAGTCATTATAGAGAAATAGAAAAATGATGATTGGAATTGGTGTGCCTTTGTCATTCGTGTATGTTATATTATATTTATGTATTCTTTATTTTTATTTTTTGCCATGGAGTCTCACTCTGTCACCTAGGGTGCAGTGCAATGACGCGATCTTGGCTCACTGTAACCTCTCCCTCCCTGGTTGAAGCCATTCTCCTTCTTCAACTTCCCGAATAGCTGGTATTACAGGCATGCGCCACCACCCCCAGCTAGTTTTTGTATATTTAGTAGAGATGGGGTTTCACCATGTTGTCCAGGCTGATCTCGAACTCCTGATCTCACTTGATCCAGCCTCCTCAGCCTCCCAAAATGTTGGGTTACAGGTGTGAGCCACCGTTCAGAACCTTGTGTGTTATATTATAATAGGTCTCTTCCTTTGCACCACCCCTCATGTATCTCTCACTCCTCTGCCAAGTATTGATTTACATGTAGGAAAAATAAATCTCAGAAAGAAATCAATGAAGTGAAGATTAAACAATTAGGAAAAATCAAAGCAGGCAAGCCCTCCCTGCAAATTACTCTACCTCACAAACACATCTTGTGTCCATCTTTCATTCATTTAGTGTCTAAATCAGCACCACATTTCACCAGGGGGGCGGGAATTGCCTTTTCCACAGTCTCCTAGATTCCAGTTATGCACCTGGGCCTCCCTTATTTTCATGTCAGTCACTATTCATCATGTAGGGATTCCCAGTTAGCCCCGAGGTAAGTCCAATGGCTGTGAGTGTCAAACACACGCTCCTTGTTCCTCCTTAGTTTCCTGTGTACCCAGAGTGCTCTCTGTCTCTCCACAGTCGTCTTGTCATTCTCCCCATCTCATTCCCAGCATTTCAGGCAGAGCCTCTTCCTTCCACATAACATTGTTTTCACCTTTGTGCCTTCACGGCTGACAGCTGTGTGGAAAATCCTTCCGCCAATCTTCCAGGGGTTGATCTATTTTTTTCATTAAGGTCACAAGTATTATTTGATCAGTGAGAACTTCTCTGTCACCCGAAATTATACACTCAGCATTATCTATTATTTCTTTTAAAATACGGCTCGGCGCCTTGGCTCACGCCTCGAATCTCAGCACTTTGGGAGGCTGAGACGGGCGGATCCCTTAAGGTTGGGAGTTTGAGATAGCCTGGGCAACATGGTAAAACCTTGTCTGTACTAAAAAAAAAATACCAAAAAAAAATTAGCCAGGCGTGGTGGGACATGGGTGTAATCCCAGCCTCTCGGGAAGCTGAGTGTAGAGAATCGCTTTAACCTGGGAGGTGGAGGTTGCGGTGAGCCGAGATCCCGCCACTGCACTCCAGCCTGGGGCACAGAGGGAGACACCGTCTCATAAAAACAACCAATCAATCAATCATTCTCATGCACAGATGCTTCCCAATGGATCATTCATTTATTGGTCCACTGGTGCATTCATTTTCTGCCCTCCCATTTAATCCTTTGCAATATCAGTGTCCAAGAGCAGAGGCCAAATGCACCTTGTTTACCATTTGTGGAAAGGATAAGAATGCCGCCCCACCCCAAAATGTTCCTGTCCTAGTCGCCATATCTTGTGAATATGTTATTTTACATGGAAAAAAGGAATGCAGATTGCAGATGGAATTACGGTTGCTAATCAGCTAACCTTAAAAGGAGGGTATCCTAGATGATTTTAGGGAAATTATGATGGATTATCTTGGTGTTTCCAATAGAATGCCAAAGTCCTTAAAAGATGAGGAAGAAGGCAGAGCAGCATTCAGAGAAAGAGGTGTGGACAAGGAAGAAGGGTCTGAGTGATGCCGTGTGAGAGGCGTGACCAGCCTTTGTGGACTTTGAGGGAGGAAGACGGGGACCAGGAGCCAAGGAATGTGGGAGCCTCTAGGAGCTGGGAAAAGTGAGGAAGCAGATTCTTGCCTGGAACATTCAGAGGGAAGGCAGCCTTGCTGTCACCTTGATTTTAGCCCAGTGAGATGATGCATTTCATACTTCTGAGCTACAGCACCATGAGATATTTTTTTAAAATGTGGTTTCCATCCACGAAGCTTGTGGAAATTTGTTATGGCAACATAGGAAAAGGTTCCACACTGCACAGTCTGAGCATGGGGCAGTGGCTGAACGAGTAAGTGGAAGTGTCATGTGCACGGATGAACTACGTTCTCTCTTACCGCAAAGCTCTTGTTCCACTAAGTCAACCAGGGTTGGATCATGACAGACAGGAGCTCATTCCTTGGCAAGTAGAACTTCTCTACAAATACACCACCCTCAAAAATGTTCCCCGTCCTTCCCCTTCTCAAGCCCCCAGGCATTTGTCCTCCCAGTTAGGAATGCAGGCAGAACAAACACAGCATTTTTCCTGAGAAGAATGTCTGATTTGCACTCATCCTTCTACCCTGAGGTCTCAGCAGCAGAAAATTAGAGATTAAGAGATTTCACTGAGCCCTGTGCTGGGCCCAGATCCCTTTCGCTGTTGGAGTGTCTGGGGTTCAGAGACAATGGAAGACAGGCCCACAATCACAGAGCTGGCAGGTGCTGAGCCAACGCTTGAATCCAAGGCTTCTACCTCCCCAGGTTTCCAAAAGCAGAGATAAGAGGGGTCCTTCACTTACCAGTTTTGAAGCTTGGTTCAGTGGGTGAAGGCCAACTACTAGAAGGGTTTCCTAGAACATGGGACAGGAGAGAGGTGTGGCAATGAGGATGCCTGTCTTCTACTCAATGGAAATCTTTGAGGTTGGTTCATGGCCAACATTCTATTATCTAATGTTGGGCCCTGGGAGTCCTGGCATCCCATTCTCCATAATCATTGTAGGTGACACCAACTATCTTGAGACTTCAAGGTATAAGGAGAAAACAGGAGCATCACACTACCTGACTTAAAAATATGTTACAGAGCTGTAGTAAGCAAAACAACATGACATTGGCATAAAGAAAAGCACATAAAACAATGGAGCAGAATGAAGAACACGGATGTAATCCACCCATTTACATCCAATGGACTTTGACAAAGGTTCGAAGAATCTACAATCTGGAAAGGACAGTCATTTCAATAAATGGTGCAGGGAAAACTGGATATCTACATGCAGAGGGATGAAACTGCACCTCTACCTCTCACCATACACAAAAATCAGATGAAAATGGATTAATGACTTAAGACCTGAATCCATTAAATGTCTAAAAGGAAACACTGGAGAAATGCTCCAGGACATTTGTCTGAGGGAAGACATTTTGTTTAAAACCTCAAAAACACAAGTAATCACAACAACAACAAAAAAATAGACCATTGGGATTATATCAAATCAAGCAGCTTCTGCACCGCAAAGGAAGCAACCAATGAAGTGAAGAAGAGACAACCCACAGAATGGGAGCAAATATTTGCAAACTATGCATCTGAGATGGGATTAATAACTAGAATATAAAAGAAGCTCAAACACCTCAATAAAACTAATAATTTAATTATAAAATTAGTAAAAGACCTGAACAGACATTTCTCAATGAACAAAACATACAAATGAACATATATACATTGCATATATGAAAAAGTGCTCAGTATCACTAATCATCAGAGAAATGCAAATGAAGTCACAATGAGCTATCATCTCACCCCATTACAATGGGTTTTATCTCAGAGACAGACAAAACAAATGTTGGCAAGGTGGTGGAGAAAGGAGAACCCTGATACACTGTTGATAGGAATGTAAATTAATACAGCCATTACAGAGGAGAAGAATATGGAAGTTCCTTAAAAACTAAAAAGAGATTAGGCACTGTGGCTCACGCTTGTAATCCCAGCACCTTGGGAGGCTGAAGTGGGCAGATCACTGGAGGTCAAGAGTTCGAGACCAGCCTGGCTAACATGGTGAAACCCCGTCTCTACTAAAAATACAAAAATCAGCCAGGCGTGGTGGCGGGCACCAGTAATCCCAACTACTCGGGAGGCTGAGGCTGGAGAATCACTTGAATCCTGGAGGTAGAGGTTGCAGTGAGCCCAGGTGGTGCCATTGCACTCCAGCTTGGGCAACAAGAGTGAAACGCTATGTCAAAAAAACAAAAAGCATAAAACAAAACCTAAAAAGAGAACATCCAGAGGATCTAGCAATTCCACTAGTGGGTGTAAATGCAAAGAAAAGGACTTCAGTGTATTGAAGTGACATCTGCACTCCCATGACTGTTCCAGCACTGTTCACAGTAGCCAAGATGTGGAGTCAACCTACCTGCCCATCAGTGGATGAATGGATAGAGAGAATGTAGTACATACACACAATGGAGACAACTCATCCATACAAAGAGAAACGTCCTGTCATTTGCAGCCACATGGATGGACTGGAGGTCATTACAAGGATTGCCATTTCTTACTCACATGCAGGATGTAAAAGGTGGACCTCATGAAGGTAGAGAGTAGAATGGTGGATACCAGAGGTTAGGAAGGAAGGGGTGGAGGGTAACAAAAGAAGAATATAAAAGTATTTATTTATTTATTTAGAGACAGAGTCTCTCTGTGTCACCAGGCTGCAGTGCAGTGGCATGATCTCAGCTCACTGCAACCTCCTCCTCCTGGGTTTAAGCCACTCTCCCGCCTCAGCCTCCCAAGTTGCTGGGATTATAGGCGCCTGGCACCATGCCTGGCTAATTTTATTTTTTTTGTCTTTTTAGTAAAGATTGGTTCCCCCATGTTGGCCGGGCTGGTCTCCAGCCCCTGATTTTAAATGATCCACCTGCCTTGGCGTCTCAAAATGCTGAGATTACAGGCGTGAGCCACCGCACACAGCATATAAAGGTATTTATGATCCCTAGATTTTACACTTAAAAATGGTAAAGTTGATAAATTATATAGGTATATTTAACCTCAATCAGCATTTTTTCAAAGGAAAAGAAAAAGTGTAGGGGTTGCTGGTGATGACATCTCTGTGTAGGTGAGAGGCCAGGGTGGGCTTCTGGGAAATGGGTAAGGTTGAGGGGCTGAGGGAACCTCTGATCTCCCCAAACTGAGCCCAGTCTCCCTCCTCTGGGTCTGTCCTGACCACTTTCTCCATCTGCCTGGGTACCCGGAGCCCTTACTGCAAGCTTCCATGCAGGCCATGCAGGAGGGTTTGGAGGTGCCCTGTCTGCCATCCTGTGCCCTGATCCCACCCTCACACCATGCTGCATCTTCTCTCCACATCTGTCCATGCTTCTCTCCATCATCAGCAGGAAGCTCCTCAGCTAAGGCTCTAGGACCATAGGACATGGGACAGACATTGGCTTTCCTCACCTGTGACAGAAACAGGCAGTGGGTCACTCGGGTCTGACCACTCGTAGGGAGATCCATGGAAAGAGCCGAAGCATCTGTAGGTCTCTCCGTGGGTGGCAGGACCCAGAGGGAAGTCGGCCTGGAATGTTCCATTGATGCTGGGCACTGCAGGGAGCCTAAGTTCATGGGCTTCCCCCTCCCTGGATAGATGGTAGATGTCAAAGGAGCTCTGGGAGCTGCAGGACAAGGTCACGTTCTCTCCTGCGCGAACCGTGGGGCCCGGCCGGGCTGTAAGCGAAGGTTTCTCATATAGACCTGGAAGGAGAAGAGGCAGTTTCCTCAGGGAGGTTCTTCCTTGTCACAGCTCCCCTCCCACCTGAGCTGAGAACTCACTGCCCTGCTCTATGGCCTAGTGCTCTCTCTCTCTCTCTCTCTCTCACCCTCCACCCCCAACTCTTCCTGTCGATCCCTCCCTATGTGGTTCCAGCCTGGTGGTGGCATCAGCAGTGCACCCTTGCTGATCTCAGGGTAGCCAACCTTCTTGTTTGGTTTTTTAACTTGTCCTTCACCTGGGTTCCTGTGTTGGTTTCCTGATGTTGCTGGAGAAAATTATCACAAACATGGCGGCAGGAGAGAACACACTGACCCCTTCCACTTCTGGAGACAGAAATCAGACCCTGTTCTTCCTGGGCTACAATCAAGGCATCTGCAGGGCTGCATTCCCTCTGGAGACTCGGGAGAATCAGTTCCATTGATTTCTCCAGCCCCTTCGTGGCTCGTGGTCTTCCTCCACCTTCAAAGCCCACAGTGGCTGGTGGAGTATCCCACGATGCTGCTCTAATCCCCATTCTCCTCTTCCTTCTCCACTCATATGGACCCTTGTGATTACACTGAGCCCAGTGGGAGGGTCCAGGCCATCTCCCCATCTCAAGGTCAACTCATCAACAACCTGAGCTCCATCTTCCCCTTCAGTCCCCTGCCCTATAACATAGTCACAGGCTCCAAGGATTACAATGTGGCCATCGATGGGGACAGTTATTCTTTCCAACACAGCACCCATTCCCCTGTATTCAATCCCCCTTTACCCCAAATATAGTTGGGGCCTGGATGATCGGACTCTGGTGGACACCCCCACCAGAAGCTCTGGGACTCAGGAGGTGGGACAAGGAGAAGCCCAGACAGGAGCCCTCTGACCTGTGACCATGATCACCAGGGGGTTGCTGGGTGCCGACCACTCAGTGGGGGAGTGCGGGTGAAAACCTCGACATCTGTAGGTCCCTGCGTGTGCTGGGGTCACAGGGCTAATGAGGAAACTGTTCCAGAATATTCTGTTGTAGAGCTCAGGGACAGGGACCCCATCTTTCTTGTACAGCGTGAAGATGTTAAACCCACGACGACAGTGACACCGAAGAGTCACGTGTCCTCCTTGAGGCACCACAGCGCTGGGCCAGGCAGAGCAGAAGGGCTTGTCCTGACCACCTTGGGGAGAAGGAGATGCCGCCTCAGAGAGGAGTATGTTGAGCTGCCCCTCCCTCCCTGTGCTCAGAAGATTCTCCCCATTTCTTCTTTCTAAGGCTCCTACCACACCTGGGTGCCTGGGGCTACAGGAAGGACCCATCCCGCATAGACGTGGCGTCTCCCTACAACAAAAGTGTCAGTTGAGAACTGAGCAGGTGCTGAGTAAGGGACTCTTACTAGATTTTAATACTGCAAGATTAGTTACACCAAACAACACAAAGTAGACATGGGGTGGAGGGTATGACCTTTGTGAATGGAATATTAGCTAATGCCTGAACCACAATAAACAACTGAGCTCCATCAGAGGATTTGGAATGGCAGGGTCGTGGCTGTGGTTCCCCCACCTCTTCTGGCAGAATGACAGCAGCCACACTGCAGCCCCTACCGTCATGGAAACGCTGGAGGGTGTGAGTTACCCTCTTGTCCTCAGAGGACCTGCTGTTCCTAACACTGCTACCCTTCCCTCCTCTGTCGGTGACACCACATCCCCCCACACACCCCAGCTTTGAGCACCTCAGTATCCCGCCTGGGCCACACAGAGCTCAACTCAGCCATGGGGAAGAAAGGCTGGGGAGGGCTAAGACAAAACAGAAGGCTGAGCATACCAGGATCTCCTCTTACTAGTTCATGAGAGACTCCCAGGATCTCCTCTTACTAGTTCATGAGAGACTCCCAGGATCTCCTCTTACTAGTTCATGAGAGACTCCCCCCAGGCCTTCCCATGGTCAGCCCATCAGCCCACCCTCTGTGCTGCCTCCCTCCCATTTCCGGAAAATTCACTTGTATTGGGGTGAAGATGGCAACCCATCATTTGGGGAAGGACTCACCCACGTGTGCCCACACACTCTGGTCCAAGAAGAACCCTGCAAAGAAAGATCATGAGGAACTATTCATCTCGGCAGCAACCTACCCTTTCCTCCTGAGCCACTGGGCGCCACGCTGGACTGAAAATTAACTCATCCTCACCACTCACTTGCTTCAGAACATGGCTCTCTGCTGGGGAGACACCCAATCTGCAGGCCCATAGTGTAACCCTGGTGCTCCTTCCCTTCCAGGACTCACCAAGACATGCCAGGATGATGACCGTGGGTGACATGGACATGGTGCAGCTTCTGCTGCCAGGACGCAGTGACTCGGCTCGACTGACCGGTGCAGAGGATGTGGTGAGGGGCCCGGATCGTGCAGTTGACACATTGACCACAACATGTGAAGGGGACATAGGTAGGCTTCTTCTACGTCATATGAGGTTCAAGTGGTGAATCAGTCAAGGGAGGAATGAGGGTTTCTGAAAACTGCAGACTAGACTTGTCACTTCACATCATGCGCAACGGCCAGGCTCAAAACACATCTCAGACTCACTTACCCCTGCACGGGACGATTGAATTCTGCACTCACATGAGGAACTTTTGATGTATTTTTTTTTGTTTCTACCTGAGATTCAAACTCTCCTTGATATGTAATATGCAAAATACCTAATAGGTTTTATTAACACTATAGAGCAATCGTATTAAATAAATCATCATAATTTTCCATGGTTGTATTTTTCCTGTTAAGCCAGAAACAGATAAAATGATTTAAATCCCAGTAGAAAAGACTATATAGTTATTTCGCATCATAGAATTCCACCTTATTAGCAAAAACACAATATGTCAATTGAAGGTCTGGTCGTGTTATCTAGAATTTGTCTTATGACACAAGAGTCCAAATTCACAGTTCCCTGTCTCCCTTTTTGTCTCTCTGTAACGTGTGCTTTTTTTCTCCCTGTGTTGTTTGTGTGTCTTTCTTTCTCTCTCTCATTTGAGGAAAAAATATCAGACTGATAACATCCTCCAACTTGATACTGGAATATTGCAATAACTGAAGGTTGAAATCTACACATTTAATGTGCTGTCATTCTTACAAATGTCTCTTATTTACACCTACCTTTCTGGAGTTTGTAAGAACTTTTTCACTATGCATTTTAAATTTGTAAAACTCATAATTTTTAAAAAGGGATGGGTCTCACTGTTTGCCCAGGGTGGCCTTTACTCATTCTATAAGGCTGGCATCACCCTGATACTAAAGACAGAAAAGAACATTAAACAAAAGAAAACTACATGCCAATATTCCTGATGAACATAGAGGCAAAAATCCACAAAAAATACTAAGAACTGAATCCCGCAGCATATCAAAAAGTGAATCCACCATGATCAAGTCAACTTTATTCTTAGGGTGCAAGGTTGGTTGAACATACACAATCAATACATGTGATTCATCACCTAAACAAAACTAAAAACAAAAACCACATGATCTTCTCAACACACATGTAGAACATACTTTTTACTAAGCATTTCTTCATGTTAAAAGCCCTCAACAAGCTAAGCATTGAAGAAACATAACTCAATATAATAAGAGCCGCCTGTGACAAACCCACAACCAACATCATACTGAATGAGTAAAAGCTGGAAGAAGTTCCCTTCATAAGTGAAACAAGACAAGAATGCCCACTCTCACCATCCTATTCAACATAGTACTTGAAGTCCTAGACAGAGCCATCAGGAAAGAGAAAGAATTATAAGGCATCCAAGTAAGAAGAGAGTAGCAGAGAGAGGTAGTCAAATTACCTCTGTTTGAAGATGAGATAATTTCTATACCTAGAAACCCCATAGTCTCTGCCCAAAGGCTCCTACATCTGAGAAACAAACTTCAGCACAGTTTAAGGGCAGAAAGTCAATGTACAGGCTGGGTGTGGTGTCTCAGCCTGAAATCTAGCACTTTGGGAGGGCGAAGCGGGTGGATCACCTGAGGTCTGGAGTTCGAGACCAGCCTGGCCAACATGGCGAAACCCTGTCTCTACTAGAAACACAAATATAGCCGGACGGGGTGGTACGCAACTGTAGTCCCAGCTGCTTGGGAGGCTGAGTCAGGAGAACCGCTTGAACCTGGGAGGCAGAGGTTGCAGTGAGCGGAGATCACGCCATTGCACCTCAGCTTGGGCAACAACAGTGAAACTGCATCTCAAAAAAAAAACCAAAACAAATTTAATTAATGAGGAAAAGGGTATTTGTGGTGTCCATCATGATGTTTTCATATAGGTACACATTGTGGAATGGATGAAACAACCTCTTTATCATATTTATTTTTTCACATACTTGTATGTTTTGTGTGTGTGGTGAGAACATGTAAAATCTAATCTCTTAGTAATGTTCAATACACCATATGTTGCTATTAACTGGAGTCACCAAGACATACAATAGATCTCTTGAACCGATTTCTTCTAACTGAAATTTTGCATCCTTTGACCAACATCTCTTCAATCTCTCTCCATCCCAGGTTCTTTCGACGACCATTTTACTGTTCCTCTAGGTTCCACTTCTTACACTCCACACATGAGATCATGTGGCATTTGTCTTTCTGTGCCTGGATTGTTTCCCTTAACATAATGTCCTCTAAGTTTTTTCACATTGTCACAAATGAGAGGACTTCCTTCTTTGTTGTAAAGGTTGTATAGTACTTCATTACGTTCCTATCGTATACCACGTTTTCTTTGTCCATGCACCCATAGATGGGCAGTAAGGGTGATTCCACATCTTGGCTGTTATGAATAATGCGGCTGTAAACATGGGAATGCAGATATCTCTTCAACATACTGATTCCACTTCCTTTGGATACATGCGCAGTAGTTGGATTGCAGACACATATGGGAATTCTATGTTTAATTTTTTCAGGAACTTCCAGACTGTTTTCCATAATGGTTGTGCTAATTTACATTCCCATCAACTGCATACAAATGTTCCCTTTTCTCCACATCCTCGTTAACCCTTGTTATTTTTTATGTTTTTGATAATGGTCTTTTTTTTTTTTTTTTTTTGAGACTCAGTCTTGCTCTGTCACCCAGGCTGGAGTGCAGTGGCACAATCTCGGTGTACTGCAACCTCTGCCTCCTGGGTTCAAGCGATTCCCCTGCCTCAGTCTCCAGAGTAGCTGGGACTACAAGTGTGCGCCACCAAACTCTGCTAATTTTTGTATTTTTAGTAGGGATGGGGTTTCACCATATTGGCCAGGCTGGTTTCGAACTGCTGACCTCAGGTAATCTCCCTGCCTCGGCCTCCCAAAGTGCCTGAATTACAGGCATGAGCCACCATGCCCAGACTGTTAATGGTCATTCTAAGAGGTGTGAGGTGATATCTCATTCTAGTTTTAATTTTTATTTAGCTGATGTTTAGTAATGCTAATCATTTTTTCATATACCTTTTGGTGATTTGTCTTATTCTTAGAAATGTTTATTCAGATACTTTGCCCATTTTTTTAAGTTGGGTTATTTGATTTCTTACCATTGAGTTGTTTGAGTTTCTTATATATTTTGGATATTAATTCCTTATTAGATGTATGGGTGCAAATATATTCTCCCATTCCATAGGTTGTCTTTCCACTTGTTGAGTTTTTTTTTTCTTTGCAGAAACTTTCAATTTGATATAATGTTATTTGTCTACTTTTGCTTTTGTTGCCTGGGCCTTTGGGTTAATATCCAAAATGGTTTTGCCCAAGCCAGTGGAGTTTTCCCTTGATTTCTTTTAGTAGTTTTTTTTTTTTTTTTAAGATGGAGTCTCACTGTGTTGCCCCGGCTGGAGTGCAGTGGTGCGATCTCGGCTCACTGCAACCTCTACCTCCTGGGTTCAAGTGATTCTCCTGTCTCAACCTCCCGAGTAGCTGAGATTACAGGCACCCACAACCACACCCAGCTGTTTTTGTATTTTTAGTAGAGGCGGGATTTCACCATGTTGGCCATGCTGGTCTTGGAATCCTGACCTTAGGTGATCTGCCCACCTTGGCCTCCCAAATTGCTGGGATTATAGTCTTTCATCTTACATTTAAGTCATTAATCTATCTTGAGTTGACTTTGTATGTTTTGTGAGGCAAATGTCCACTTCCATTCTTCTGCATGTGGACATGCAGTCTCCCAATCCCATTTATTAAAGAGACTGTTCCTTCTCCATTGTGTGTTCTTGACACATCCCAAAAATTGTTTGACCCTAAATGCATGCATTTTTTTCCTGGGCTATGAATCACTTCCATTGGTCTATGTGTCTGTTTTTATGCAAGTACTGTGTTGTTTTAATTACTGTAATTTTGTAATGTAGTTTGTGTTTAGGTAATGTGATGCTTCCAACTTTGTTCCTTTCCCTCTAGATGGCTTTGGTTATTTGAGATCTTTTGTGGTTCCACATGAATTTTAGGACTGTTTTTTCTATTTCTGTAAAAAAAATGTCATTGGATTTTTGATAATGGTTGCATTGAATCACTTTGGATAGAATGGACATTTTAACAACATTAATCCTTCTGATCCGTGAACATGGAATATCTTTCGATTTATTTGTTTATTTCTTGAGTTTTTTCATCAATGTTTTATAGCTTTTGCATACAGATCTTTCTACTCCTTGGGTGAATTTATTCCTGCATGTTTTGTTTTCTGTAGTTATTGCAAATGGGCTTATTTTCTTGTAAACTTTTTTGGATAGTTTGTTGTTAATGTATAGAAACTTTGTTGTTGTTGTTGTTGTTGTTTTGATGATACCCATCCTAAGGGGTATGAAATGGCATCTGGTGTAGTTTTAGTTAGTATTTCCCTAATGATTCGTGATGCTGAATATCTTTTCATGCGTATGTTCTTTGGAGAAATGTCTGTTTCAGTACTTTGCCCATTTTTGAATTGAGTTTATTGTGATTGAGTTTTAGGAGTTGTCTGTATATTCTGGATGTTAATCCCTTACAGGTGGTGTGGTTTGAAAACATTTTCTCCCATTCTGTGGGTTGTCTTTTTACTTTGATAATATCGTCTTAAAAGTTCTTTTTCCTTGCCATGTGAAGTAACTGATGTTGTCTTTTGAGTCACAATATTTCAAAATTTTCATAAAGTCTAACTTGTTTATTTTTTCTGTAGTAGCCTGTGCCGTTGTTGTCACATCTAAAGAATCACTGCCAAATCCGATGTTGTGAAGTTTTCCTTTGTGTTTTCTTCTAAGACTTTAATTAAATTTTATTTGTCAATATTTAGGACTGACAAAAGCTTTTTAACATTCCTGGCACCATCTCAGTTATTGATCTACTCCCAAGATGGATCATTTCAATTAAAACATGTAAAGCATGACCTCACCTGAATGTGTTTGAACTTGCTCTTCTCCCTTTCAAATCGACTCCCTCACTTACATAGTTTGTGTTCAAATGTCAACAAATAAAACATAAAAAGAAATCAATCTTTTCATAGACCCTTTATCTAAAATAGAATAGTAGGTGCCATGACATTTCATCCTTTCATCTTGAATTATTTACTTTTCTACATGAACCAATCCATTCTTCTGTGTGCATGTGTGTGTGTGTGTGTGTGTGTAGTTTATCTGTCTACATATAATGTAAACACCAAAAAATAACAGACATTTAGTAATTTTCAAATGAGACTTCAGGAATTAACAATGGCTTGCCATTTTTAGTGTGTTATTATTATTATATTTAGATGAACAGAATTGCCTCAGGAACATGGCCAGGGGCTCATAGTCCAGGAGAACTGTGGCCTGACTCAGGTACATTTTACCTGCAATAACAGCAATTGCAGGTCACTGGAGTCCATCACAATTGGCTGGAGACAAATGTAAGACAAGAATATTTGCAGTTTCCCCAGACTGACACAGTTGCAGGTTCCCCGAAGTAATGAGTCCTGAGACACCTCCAACAAGAGCTAGAAAAGGTATCACTTCAAGAGGAGTTGCAGCCTACTCATTTTAGACAAATGGAGCAAAATTACAGTATCACATCTTTTCCTTTCTCCTTCATAGAATCTGGATGAACAGAACAGAAAGAGTTAATGGAATATAAGATTCCAATTCTCTGGCATGAGAAAATAGACAAGGAAAGGAAGATTCATCTTCATCACATCTCAGACATGCTTGGACACAGGGTCCAAGCACAAAAGAGAAACACATACTTCTTCCCATCCACACTGGGATCCAGGGTCTTCTCCCTCCTGTCAGGCCAGAACTGAGTCTCCACTCCCCAATTTAGTTCCCAGAGATGAAGCCCAATTTTCCTCTGTCTCAAGCTTTGAAGGCCAGCTTTAGCGTGTTCACCATGGATGAATGAAGGTGAGGTCAGAGGTTTGGGAAATGGTCAAGAATGAGGTGAGAAGAGAGCTGTGGAGGCATGGCCCCGGGGAGCTTGGTACCCCCCCATATCCAGAGCCTGTCTGGTCCAGGAGAGTTCCCAACCCTGTGAGCACCAACTCCGGATATTCTGGGCAGTGACCCGAGGGACAGCCTCTTATGAATACAGGCTGTTTTCCTCCAGTGTCTGCTGTGAAACCAGGATGTACAACATGGCCGTGTTCAACCCAACAATGGACTTAGGATTTTGCTGTACGCCAAAACTCAGTGTCCAACTTCCACTCTGTTTAGCTGGAAAAAGAAGGGGTTTGTTCCCATACATCTCACTCCTGTGTTCCTCTTTCAGTCTCAAAGCTCAGATGAAAACAATGAGTGTCACTTATTGTCAATCCTCTTCCCTGCCTTTTCCACACTCATCAGTATTACCGTTTACATTGAGACTAAAGATGGCCAATCACCACTTTTCTTCGGAAAAATCAACCTGATGTTGTACCTACTTTTTTAGAGGTGGAATCAACCTACCCTAAGATGCCAACTACATTTTACTGAATGGACTTTTGTGGATCCCCTCGATGTATATAGTGGCACCTTGAGGTATCATCCCTGTCTTTAGCAAATGAATATTATCCCAAGGACAATATTTCATCACAATTATTCGGGATGGACGAGTGGATATTGTGGTAGCAAGAACATTACTAAAAGTCACAGCTGATACAACACACTTGAAACCCATCTGGCCAATCTCCCACAGACAGAATGTCGCGCCATTCACTCCAGCCAGCTTCAGTCATGTTTCTTCCATTTCCACCTGTGGCCCCTCATGTCTCCACCAGGTCTTAGCCAGCATTGCCAAAAGAGCCAGGAAGACCAGACCAGCCACAACAATCCTGATGGAACTCTCCACAGTATAGTTCTGGAGAACAGGGGCTGGAGGGTGGGGGTAAGATCAGAGACCTTTCCATGTGGGCCAGGCCCCTCTCTCCCCAGAAGCTCTGAAATGGAGCTATTTCCCCATCTCACCTTCATAAAATTCTTCCTGTCCAGAACCCCTCTTCTCCCTATATCATCATGAGCACCTTCAGAAGTCTTTTGCCACAAAAAGAAATTTCTTTTGAAGATATACATTTTTTTGTACATTTCAAAAATGTTCCCAAACTAATTCTCCAAAGCAATAAATGTTTGTGTGTATTGCTGGGTAGGTTATGCATACAAGGAAAGGAAGCATAGTGAGTCTGATTTGGCAGAGGAAACATATGTGGAAATTATATCATTTACTCTCTTTACAAAATTAAGTACAAAATTGAAAACACTGGTAAGAAAGAATGAGCTATAGAGAAAGAAAACATCTGAGATGCTTGTTTCCAAGATGGCTGACTAAATGCTTTTCTGGCATGTCTCATCCACTTAGAAGAACGAGCAGAATCCAGAACAAAAACCATATGATCATCTCAATAGACATAAAGAAAAGCATCTGAAAAGAAATTCAACATCCTTACCTGATGAAAACCCTCAAAAACTTAGGCATAGAAAGAACATACCTCAAAATAATAAAAGCCATAGATGACATATCTAGAGTCAACATCATACTGAACAGGAAAAGTTAAAAGCACTCCTCTGAGAACTGGCACAAGACAAGGACACGGACATCCACCACTTCCTATCAACATAGTACTGGAAGCCTTGTCAGAGCTATTGGGCAACAGGAAGAAGTAAAAATCCAAATTAGAAAAGAGGAAGTAAAATTATTTTTATTTCTGATGCTATGATCTTAAATCTAGAAAATCCTAAAGACCCTGCCAAAAATTCTTATGATTGATAAATGAACTAAGTAAAGTTTCAGAATACAAAATCAATATGTAAAAGCCGGTAGCATTTCTCTACACCTATAATGATCTAGCTGAGAACCAAATCAAGAAGGCAATGCCGTTTACAATAGATACGCAAAATTAAAACACTCAGGAATACATTTAACCAAGGTGGTGAAAGATCTGTACCAGGAAAGGTGTAAGACACCAATGAAAGCAATTATAGATAATACAAAAAAAAAAAGAAAAAAAATCCCACGCTCATGGATCATAAGAATTAATATTGTTAAAATGACCATACTGCCTAAAGCAATCTACAGATTCAGTGCAATTCTTATATGAAAATAGTAACACCAGTTTTCACAGAATTAGAAAAAGCAATCCTAAAATTCATACAGAACCAAAAAAGATCCTAATAGAGAAAGCAATTCTAGGTGAATGTAGAAACCTGGAGGCATCACGCTATCTGACTTCAAACTATGCTCTAAGGCTATAGTAACTTAAATAGCACAGTGCTGGTATAGACACAGAAACAGAGATCAATAGACCAGAATAGAGAGCCCAGAAATACAGCCTCATATCTACAGTGAATAATCATTGACGACGTTAACAAAACATACCCTGGAGAAAGATTTCCTTTTCAATAAAAGGTGCTGGGAAAACTAAATAGCCATATGCAGAAGAATAAAACTGGACCTGTATCTGTAATCATACACATAAATTAACTTAAGGTAATTAGCAGCTTAAATGTAAATCCAGAACTATAAAATCACCGGTGGAAACCCAAAGAGAAACTCTTCTGGGCATTGGTCTGGGCAAAGAATTCATCACTAAGACCTCAAAAGCACAGGCAATAAAAATAAAACTAGACCAATGGGACTTAATAAACGAAAGAGCTTCTGCCAAGCAAAGGAAATAGTAGCAGGGTGAACAGACAACCCACAGAATGAATGGAAATGTTTGCAAACTATGCACCCAACAGGGGACTAACATCCAGAATTTCTAGGCAACTCAAACAACTAAACATAACCCCTCAAATAATAGCATTAAAAAGTGGGCAAAGGGATATACATAGACATTTTTCAAAAGAAGACATACGAATGGCCAAACAGCGTATGAACATCACTAATCATCAGAGAAATGCAAATTGAAACCACAATGAGATATCATCTTACAGTAGTCAGAATGGCTATTACTAAAAATGCTGGTGGGGAGTGGTGGCTCACGCTTGTAATCCCAGCACTTTGGGAAGCTGAGGCGGGTGGATCATGAGGTCAGGAGTTTGAGACCAGCCTGACCAACATAGTGAAACCCCATCTCTACTAAATATACAAAAGATTAGCTGGGCATGGTGGTGTGGTTCTGTAATCCCAGCTACTCAGGAGGTTGAGGCAGGAGAATCATTTGAACCTGGTTGGTGGAGGTTGCAGCGCGTGGAGATGGCGGCACTGCACTCCAGCCTGGGTGACAGTGGAAGACTCCATCTCAAAAAGAAAAAAAGAAAAAGTGAAACATATAACAGGTGTTGGCAAGGATGCAGAGAAAAGGAAACTCTTATACACTGTTGGCCGGTATGTAAATTAGTATAGCCTCTATGGAAGACAGTATGGAAATTTGGCAGAGAACCAAAAATAGAAGCACCATTCGATCTAGGGGTCCCGCTGCTGGGTATCTACTCAAAAAATATCTGCACCTGTATGTTTATTGCAGCACTGTTTGCAATAGCAAAGATATGAAATCAATCTAAGTGTCTGTGAATGAATGATTGGATTAAAAAAAGGATGCGTGTATACACAACGAAATACTATTTGGTCATAAAAATAAAACCATGTCTTTTGCAGCAACATAGATGGAGCTGGACGCCATTATTTTACATAAAACCACTCAGAAAGACAAATACCACATCTTCTCACTCTACATGGGAGGGGAGTAATGTGTACATATGGACGTAGAGTGTGGAATGACGGACAGCGGAGGCTAGAAGGCTGGAGGGTGGCGGGACGTGGGTGAGTGATGAGAATTTGCTTAATGAGTACAATGTACGGTATTTGGGTGATGGATATAGTAAAAGTCCTGACTTCACTACTCTGCAACATACTCATGTCACAAAATTACAAGTGTACCTCATAAATTTATACTAATAGAAAAGAAAGTCTGTACACAGTAATCAATTGTGATATGTAGATAAAGTCAATATTAAATTTAAACCAGAATAACTAGTTAAAATGTTGTGTACACAACAGTGAAGAGAGTATTTATCCTCTATGACAGAGGAAACCATCAATATTAATGCACAGAAAAAGCAAATAACTGAAACAAGAAAGAGCAGTTTTGTGACAGGGTAAAAATTGACAACAGTTTTAGAATGCTCCTAACTTGAGTTCCAAAAAGAAAGAACGAGAAAACAGGTCAGAAGCAATCTTTAAAGAGGCAATTGTTGATTATTTGGAGGAAGTAGACACATCCATCAATCCACAGGTTCAAGAAATCCAGTGAATGCCAGGCAGAATGAAGTAAACACACCTCACGTTCAACATTACAGAAAAGCAGCATAAAAGCACAACCAACCCTTAAAATTAGCCAGAGGAAAAGGATCAGCTGGTAAGGATTTATAGGGAGCCAAGCATTGTCTTCCCCACAGAAAAAAGGAAAACATAAGCCAGTAGAATAGCATCTTTACCCAGCTAAGATACCGTCGCCAGCCACCGACAATTCCTTACATAGTACAGTTACTGTCCAAGATCAACGCAGGAAAGAAACAGAACTGAAAGACAAAAGGGCAAAGAAAGCTTTTCTCACTGACCCTAAAGGAAATTCTGATGACCGTGCCTCAAAGATAAAGAAAGTGAAACCAGATGGGGTGTCGAAGATTCTGACAATAACTAAGAGCAGAGGAAGAACTAAAAATATGGCTATGCCAAAAATGAATATGGACCATACGATAGTGTATGAAAACATGCCCCTGTGTAATTTCTGAAAAAGATAGAATTATGTATACCACAAAACAAAACATCATATAAGTAAATACAAACATATGTACTAAATATGCTCTAAAATCCTGTTCTTACACAGGAAGAGTGGAAATATGTTTTTATATTTGCAGTTTAATCTCTGAAATGATTAATTTCAATTTTAAAAATATGTAACAACTTCAGGATGAGTACACCATATATGTATTCCTAAACGACATAGATCAAAAATAGAATGTTTGAAATAGAAAACCACAGAAGTCAGTGGGAAAAAAAGGGAATCAGGAAAACACAACGTAATAATAACAAAAATATGATTGGAAGAACTGCTCAAACATGAACAAAAGATTGTCAGAAAGTCTTACTTTCTAAGGCGAATTGTTTGAAATTTACAAAGGACACATCTCAATGTTAACAATTCATGGAGTTTGAAATTAAACAATGTAGAAATATACCAAGCAATCACTGTTAGAAATGTGGTATAACTATATTAAAATTAGACAAAATTAGTCTTTGGGAAAAATCAGCGGAAAACATTAAGCATAAAATGTAGGAAAAAAGCAGGTAAATTTATAGCATTTTAAATTTACCAGGAATATATAATCAGTTTACACTTAACCACTCCCAGTAATATTCCTGCAAATATACATGGAGGAAGAGTCGCGGAAATAAATGGACAGGTAGGCAAATCCACGGCCACAGTGGGGTGTTTAACACTCCTCTTTTCTCAGTTGTTGATAGAAGTGGTTCAGGCAATTAGAGAGGATTTAGAAAGATAATTGCTGGACCTGACCCAAGGTATAAGTCCACTCCCAACCACAGGACTCACTTTCCTTACAAGCACAAGGGCATTTAGAAATCTCTCTGGATTCTGACCAGCCCTCACCATATGGCAGGTCCATGGACTTCTTGGAACACACCAAGCTCATTCTCACATTAGGGTCATCCCCAATGTCCTAAGTCCATGAAAGTTCCTTTCAACACACTCCCCAGGGCTCACTCCCTCTTGTCTCTAAGATCGGAGTTTAAATGTGATCTCTCTGATGAGGTCTCAGTGAGACGTTCCCTCCTGTACACTCCAAATGACAACGTTCCACGTTCATTCATTTCATTCTGTGCATGGCACTTTCACCAAGTGCTAAGGATTCACTCACTAATTCATACATTCATTCATTCATTCATTCACTCATTCCATCATTCACTCATTCATTCATTCTCTCATTCATTCATTCATGTTCTGCCTCTCTCTCCCACCCCACAGCAATGTGAGCATCATGAACCCAGGAGCTTGGCCGTGCTGTCTACTCCTGGCCATGAAACAGAGAGAACTGATGGTAGGTGTGAAATAAATATTAGATGAATGAGTTAGTGAAGGGGTCATTTACTGGGTGAGCTCAGTTCTCTCTACTCTAATGCCCTCCCTCGGCTGACTTCCCTGAGTTGCCCCCTCGGCTGAGTGAAGTCCCTTCACTGGCAAATGGAACCTCAACCAGTAGCACCTAGGTGGTCTCATACTTTGTTCTTTCCCTCTCCTCTTGCTCCCTAAGGATTATCAATCTCCATGACAGGGCTGGAGAGCAGACAAGCCACACATTCTTTCTGGGGAGAGAGTAACATGGAGTACAAGGCATTCCACATTTAGGAAGAGAACTCAGTTATGGAAGGTCAGAAATGAAAAGTTCCTACAGACCAACACCCAGGTTGGTGGCCACAGCCCTAAATGCTGATGGAGAATCACTGCAAGTCTGTAGGGAAGATGTCTGGCTTGAGGCCACTGAGCGAAGTGGCAGATCCTTCTCAGCCTTCAGTGCTGAGCCTCTGTCCCCTCAGGGATCCACTGACCAATGAGAAGAGCCTCTTCTCATCTCCTGGGATGGAGCTTGGGGCCCCTGGCGAAGGAATGGGCCTGTTTCCACCTGTCATGTTGTCATCTAGCTTGGAAATCCTGCGAGTCCCAGGGAGGCCCTCCCCGAGTCCCCAGAGAAGACTCCCCCACTGAGTCTCCAAGGTGTGGAGAGAGCAAAAAACATCTAGGGTGGAAAATGCCTCCCATCAAGAGACATTGGGGCTCCCCCAACGATGGTTGCATCTGTGCCCCCCATGTGGAAATCACTCTTTGGTGAGAGGTGGGGGCTTCTGGAAATGGGCAATGGCGGGCGGCCAATGCTACCTCTAGTCTTTCCAATCTGAGCCCGGCCTTTCATGCTCCTGAGTCAGCATTGATGCTGTTTACATGTGTCCCAGGTGGGCTTCTGTACAAAGACTGGGAAGTGGTTTATGTGGCCTGTGCTCTATCTGCAAGCTTCAGGTAGGGTTGCAGTTACCACCCCAAACCCTAATGTGATCTGTCTGCCTCGCTCTGTCTGTCTGTCTATGCCTCTTTCTGTATGTTTGCTTTGTGTCTCTTCTGTCCAGCATCTCTGGCTGACACCCCCATGGCCACCCCCTCCATCTGAGGCTCCCCTGAATGTGGCCATTGTAGTCCGTCTGAGTCCCACTATTTGGGGAACAGACTGGTTTCCTCACCTGTGACAGAAACAAGCAGTGGGTCACTAAGGTCTGACCACTCGTAGGGAGAGTCACGGAAAGAGCCGAAGCATCTGTAGGTCCCTCCGTGGGTGGCAGGGCCCAGAGGAAAGTTGGCCTGGAAGGTTCCATTGACCTTGGGCACTGCAGGGAGCCTAAGTTCATGAGCCTCCCCGTCCCTTGATAGATGGTAGATGTCATAGGAGCTCCGGGAGCTGCAGGACAAGGTCACGCTCTCTCCTGCCTTAACCATGGGGCGCGGCTGGGCTGAGAGAGAAGGTTTCCCACATAGACCTGGAAGGAGAAGAGGCAGTTTCCTCAGGGAGGTTCTTCCTTGTCACAACTCCCCTCCCACCTGAGCTGAGAACTCACTCCCCTGCTCTATGGCCTAATGCTCTCTCTCTCTGTCTCACCCTCCACACCATCTCTCTTTATGTCTATTTCCTCTTTCCACCTTCTCTGTCTCTCTAGGTCTCTGACCTCACTTTCTCACCTCTAGATATGTTTTCCCTTTTTGGATTGTTTTATTCTCTCTGACTCTCCTTGGACTAGTTGACTTGATGTTACTTTTTTTAAATTCTGAGTTTCTCACTTTGTGTCCTGTTCATAACTTTCTGCATATTTCTATCTATTATCTATCGATATATCTATTTATCTATTTGGTGCCTATCTACAAATTCTCTACCTGTCATCTATATCTATATATAATCTATTTATCTATCAATTGTCTATCCAAAAATCATCTATTATCTATATCTATGTATCGTCTCTCTCTCTCTATGATTTCTCTTTGTCTGCCTCTCTATCTCTATGTATTATCTATCTATCTTCATCTTCATCATCTCTATGTATCATCGATTAATCAATGAATGAATCAATCATCATCTATGTATCTTTAACCTATTATCTATCATCTACCTATTTATCATCTATCTATATCTATCCATCTATCATCTGTCTTGCTCTGCCTCTCGGTCTCTCTAGTTCTCTTTGGAATCTCTGCAATTCATCCCCACATCTCCATCTTTCTATGTCCTTGTGTCTCTCCCTCAGGACTCTAATTTTAGTGCTTTTCTCTGTTCCCTTCCATTGTTCTCTCCACTTCTCTGCCCTCTTTTCTCCCTCTTTATGTGTCTGTGAGTCTCTCAATCTCCTTCCTCTGGCTCATTCTCTGTGTGTTTATGTCTTTGCTTTTTGGTGTCCCTGATTTCTCTCTGTGTCTCTCAGTGATCCTCTCATATGTGGGGTTATTTGGAATGTGAGCCTCAGAATCCAGTCTGGGGACCGCAAGTTCACACAGTATACAGGGGTTGATGTTCTGGGGCCATGATATCCTGGGACGATTACTCTCCATTGCATGGAAGGCAGAGGTGTCAGAATAAACACGGCATCTGTAGGTGCCAGAAGGCCTGAGGCCACAGGGCCCAACTCAGGCCAGAAATATGGGTGTCCTTGGGTTCTTCTGGTAGAGAACACTTTGTGGAAGTAAAACAGAAATGAAACTTCTAACCTGTGCCAGGTCTCTGAGCAAAGTCAGCATGGAAGGACACCTCTCTCTGGCACATGTCTGTCTGTGTCTCCTTTAACTCTTTCTGTCTTTTCTAACTCCCTGTATGGCCCCTGTGTCTGTCCTCTGTTATGACACCTGGTCTGTACTTGTGTCTCCTGTTTCTCTGTCTCTGTTGGTACAGACCTCACCAAGTTAGTCTCTCTCCATAAGAATACCAAGCTCATCTTCCTTATAACCACCTGGGCCTCCAAGTCGTGGATCATTCACTCTGTGTCCCAGTGACAATGAGAATAATGTCCAGACACTCTCACCTGTAATCACGATGTCCAGAGGGTCACTGGGAGCTGACAACTGATAGGGGGAATGAGGAACAGAACCGTAGCATCTGTAGGTCCCTGCAAGGTCTTGCGTCATGCGACCGATGGAGAAGTTGGCCTTGGAGACCCCATCATGGAGCTCTCCAGTGAGGCGCAAAGTGTCATTAAACGTCCCCTCTCTGTGCAGAAGGAAGTGCTCAAACATGACATCTGACCAACATTGCAGGATGACTGTCTCTTCTGATTTCACCAGGGGACCTGGGTGGGCCAGGAGGGAAGGTTTTCTGTGGACTCCTAGGAAGAGAGGTTGTGACTTTAGAAGGCATCTCTCTTTATCATCCCATCCATGGCACCTAGAATGAGTGAGGCTTCCCCTCGCTGGTGTCTTATCTCTCTCCTTCCTCTCTGTGTCTTCATGTTCTTTTCTGTGCCCATAACTCCTGGTACAGGTCCTTCCATCTGTCTCCCTCCCTCTTCTCTGTCCCTCTGTCTCTAGTAGCTCCTGATTCCCTTGCCGCTGGGCTCAGCCTCATCTCTTGGGCTGTTGTATCTATTTCGAACTAATGTCTTTCCTGCTTCTATGTGGGGGTGGAAGAGGAACCAGGATAGGCTGCACGTCCAGGCTCTTAGCAGACTGGTTCAATCTCTTTTGGACGATTTGGAATCCTTGGCAGAAGGTATGAACTGATCAGTAAGGCAGGCACCAGTGTCCACACACCCTGTTCCTGGTGGGGACTGGGAGCCACTCTTGCCATGCCTGTGCCTTCTCCATGGTGCCAGCTTCCATAGGCTGGCTTCTGGTGCTGGTTTGAGGAGTATCAACCCCTCCCTATGTGGATGGAGCCTGGTGGTGGCATCATCATCCCACCCTTGCTGATCTCGGTGTAGCCAACCTTCTCTTTGTTTGGTTTCTTTAATTAATTAATTAATTTTGGAGTCAGAGTCTCACTCCTTCACCCAGGCTGGAGTGAAGTGGTGTGGTCTAGGCTCACTGCAACCTCTGTCTCCTGGGTTCAAGTGATTCTCCTGCCCTCAGCCTCCTGAGTTGCTAGGATTACATGCACCTGCCACCACGCCCGGCTATCCTTGTGTCCTTTCTTATCTTGTCCTTGACCTGGGTTCCAGTGTTGGTTTCCTGTTGGTGCTGTGGAAAATTATCAGAAGCATGGCAGCAGGAGAGAGCACACTGACCCCTTCCGTTTCTGGAGACAGAAATCGGACCCTGTTTTTTGAGGGCTAAAATCAAGGCATCTGCAGGGCTGCGTTCCCTCTGGAGACCCAGGAGAATCAGTTCCTTGACTTTTCCAGCCTCTATAGGCCACCTGCATTCATGGCTCATGGCCTTCCTCCACCTTCAAAGCTGATGGAGACTTCCATTGCACTGCTCTAATCGCCACTCCCCTCTTCCTTCTCCTCTCATGTGCACCCTTGTGATTACACTGAGCCCAGCAGGACAGTCCAGGCTGTCTCCCCATCTCAAGGTCAACTCAACAACCTGAGCTCCATCTTCCCCTTCAGTGCCTTCCCCTATAACATAAATAGTCACAGACTGCAGGGATTAGAATGCAGTCATCATTGGGGACAATTATTCTTTCCACCACAGCACCCATTTCCCTGTATTCAATCCCCTTTTACCCCAAATACAGTTAGGGTCTGGATGATGGGACGCTGGTGGACACTCCCACCAGAAGCTCTGGGACTCAGGAGGTGGGACAAGGAGAATCCCAGACAGGAGCCCTCTGACCTGTGACCATGATCACCAGGGGGTTGCTGGGTGCTGACCACCCAGTGAGGAAGTGTGGGTGTGAACCCCGACATCTGTAGGTCCCTGCATGTGCTGGGGTCACAGGGCCTATGAAAACGGTGTTTCGGAATACTCTGTTGTAGAGCTCAGGGACAGGCATCCCGTCTTCTTTGGACAGACTGAATTCGTTAAACCCAAGACGAGAGCGACACTGAAGAGCCACATGTTCTCCTTCAGACACCACAGGGCTGGGCCAGGCAGAGAGGAAGGGCTTGTCCTGACCACCTGGGGGAGAAGGAGGCGCCACCTTAGAGAGGAGGATGTGGCACTCCCTCCCTCTATTCCTTTCCAGGACTCACCAACACACGCCATGCTGACGACCATGAGCGACATGGTGCTGCCGGTGCAGACAGGCGGCCGCGCCCCAGCTCAGCTCAGCAGCGCACAGGATGTTATTTGGCGCCCTGCCCATGCAGCTTACATGTTGACTACATCATGGGAGGGTGACGTACGCAGGCTCTTTCTACCTTGCATGAGGCCCAGTGGATGCTTGCTCAAGAGCGGAACACGGCTTCCTGGAAATTGTTCTCACTAGAATTGGCACCTCACGTCCTTCACTATGACCAACTCACAACACGTCTCAGATCCAACCTCCCGAACACAAGATGCCTAAAATCTGTGCTAACGTGAAAGACTTTTCATGTATTTTTATCCGAACACGAGATGCCTAAAATCTGTGCTAACATGAAAGACTTTTCATGTATTTTTTTTGTTTTTATCTGAGATTCAAACTCTTCTTCCTGTGTAATATGCAAAGTATCTAATAGGTATTATTAATGTTTTCGGAGTCATTGTGACTAATAAACCATTAGAATTTTTCATGCTTGTATTTCTAGTATTACAGCAGAACCAGCTAAAATGATTTAAATTCCCAGGGAAGGATTATGCAATTATTTACAATCTTAGAATTGTACTTTATCAGCAAAAACCACACCTGTAAATTCTGGAGTTTTGTAGTTTAATCTAAAATTTGTCTCATGACCCAAGATTCCAGAGTCCCAACTCTGGAGTTTGCTCTCTGTCTGTCTCTCTCCCTCCCTCGTTTTAAATTTTACAGAAATATCCAGTAACATAATGCTATAGAAAATCAAGTTTTCCCCAGCACGTTGGGAAGCCGAGGTGGGCGGATCAACTGAGATAAGGAGTTTGAGAGCAGCCTGGCCAATATAGTGAAACCGTGTCTCTGTTAAAAATCCAAAAATTAGCCGTGCCTGGTGGCAGGCACCTGTAACGCCAGCTACTCAAGAGGCTGAGGCACGAGAATCGCTTGAACCTGGGAGGCGGAGGTTGCAGTGAGCTGAGATTGTGCCACTGCAGTCCAGCCTGGGCGACAGAGCAAGACTCCGCCTCAAGAAAAAAAAAGCAAACAGCCTATAATAACAAATTAGAGGGCTCTGGCTACTAAATTTAAAGGGTTCTATAAGGCTACATAAAGTGCAGCATCATCAAGAGTGTGGACACAGAGAGCCCCTTAGCAGAAACAGTGTCTAAAATACATCCATGTACACACAGTCCCTTTAGAGTTGACAAAGGCTGCCGTGTGGTTTAAGGTGGCATAGAATGTCTTCTCAATAAATAATATTAAACCAATTGGTTACACCTAGGAAAAAATAAATCTAACTCACACTATAAAAACACTTCTTAGTTTTTATCTAGTTGTACATTTTTTATGATTTATATTTAAATTTGAGAAATAAAAGTCATATACGGTCATCCTTCACTATTCGTGGGTGATTGGTTTTGAGATCTCCACTCAGATACCAAAATCTGTAGATGCTCAAGCCTCTTATATGAAATGGCACAGCGTTTGCAAATAACCTATGCACATCCTCCTGTATACATGAAATCATCTCTAGATTACTTATAATTCCTGATACAGCCTACACACAGCTTCATTTGTGTCCATTCAACATAGTTATGCTTTTTGAAACTCTGTGGATACTTTCTCTCAATATTTTTGATTTATACTTGGTTCAATAAACACCTGTAAACCCCGCAGATATGGAGGAGTGACCGTATATTTATATTATGAAAGATGATGTGTTGATATGTGTCCCCATGGAGATGAGACTAACAAGGCCTATGATTCTACAAATGTTTCATTGTGGAATGACTCTGCCAGCTTTCCAGGTCTGCAGAGAGTAAGAGTATCACTTGTTCATATGATTCGTGATCCTTGGAACCTCCTATGTGCTACATCTTTGGATGGAAATTGGAGTCCCAGAGACAAATGAGGCTCCACCCTGCTTCCAGAAACTCAGAGTCCGGGGATGAGAACTCAGTGGGGAACAGATGGGATTATATGGACATGGTACTGATAACACCGGAAGCCTTAGGCAAGAAAAGAGTCCCATTACCGAAACCATGGGGGCAGACATGTTTATTTGAAGGATGGAAAACTACATTGAAGTTATTTTAAAAAATATATAAGTTTTACTGCTGACAGAAGACTGAAAGCTAGTCTGAGGGGAGGTGGAACAGCATGAGGGAAGGTGGAACAACACGTGTCTAAGTGCTGCGTTAAGAGGGAGCCTCTTGTATGTTTGGAATTGTGAGTTCCTCAGTGTGATTGCAGCCTCAAGTAGACTAGGAAGTAAGCCAGTTAGGTTGGAGAGGTGGGCAGGGGTCAAGTGAAATGGAGAACTGTGGGCTAAGCAAAGGAGTGTGTTTTTTCTCCAGCAGGCAGTGGGGACCTTAGACATTTGTAAGCAAGTGAGAGGCACATTCAGATTTGTGGTGTGAGGAAGATCGATGCCCTAAGATGCAGACTCATGCCTTCAGATTCCAGCTGCTGGTACATGGGAGCTGGCAACCCGGTTTTGAGACAGGGCTGTTGTCTCCCTAGAAGACGCCCTCAAGGCCTGACTGTGGTGCTCATGGGCAGGAGACAACTTTGGATCTGGACTCAGCATTTGGAAGTTCCGTGTACACGATGATATCTGTTGGGGGTGTCTTGGGCCTCTGAGAAGGGCGAGTGATTTTTCTCTGTGTGAAAACGCAGTGATTCAACTGTGTGTATGTCACCTCCTGAGGGTCTTGTTCATCAGAGTCCTGGAGAGAGGGAAATGCTGAGTGAGGGAGGGTGCTCACATTTTCCAGGACTCTTTGGGAATAACAGTAGCCACGAGCCCGGGCCGAGGAGTACCTACCTCGCTATTCGCTGTTCTGTTTCCTGCAGACTCTTGGTCCATTACCGCAGCATCTGTAGAAGACGGAAGTCAACAAAACAGCTCGGAGGGCACTTCTGGGTCCTCATTTCATAAGCAGATACCAACATACAGGGGGAGACCATAGGTGGCTGAGGTCCCTCAGTTGCCAACAGCAGACTCAGACATTCTATCTCTCTGAGCTCAAGGACCCATCCCATGAATAGCTCTGAGTTCCCATCCCATTGATTCTGTCTCCCACTTTCTGCCTGTCATGGAACCTTCTCCTGGATGTGAGTGGCTGCAGGGGACATGAGGATACAGTTCAGAATCAGGCAACGGTCTGTGAGTTGAAGGCAGGGACAGGGAGTCTGGTGCCCTCTCTAGAAAGTCCTGCCTCTGTGGCTGCTGCCTTGGGCCAGGGACCATCCTGTTTGTGAGGAACACACACCTGAGTGCTCCCATCCTGCTTCCCCACATGGCCCTGAGCTCTCTGGCCTCTGCTTCGTGAGACTTACTTTTTTTGTTGGAGCACCAGCGATGAAGGAGAAAGAAGAGGAGGATGAAGAGGATGATGACCACTGAGGTCCCAATCAGAATGTGCAGGTGTCGGGGGTTACCTGGAAGAAGATGAGACACCAATAAGAAGCTAATCTTAGCAGTTCCTCTTTATGAATTGTCTCGCATTTCTTGATTGACAGGTAACCACATAAAACACCTCTTTAGGACAAGCACCCAGATGGCAGGAGACCCAGCTTTCTCCTGCTTTTTCAGTTATAGCTCTCATAGTAACCATAGAACGTGCTGAGGATACGACTACTTTAGTTGAGATGTTTGACCCCTTCAAACCTCACATTGAAATTTCACCCCCACTGTGGGAGGTTGGGCCTCTTGAGAGGTGTTTGGGTCATGGAGGTGGATCCATCATGAACACATCAATGCTGTCCCAAGGAGACGGGGTTAGCAAGTTCCCCCTCTATTAGTTCCCGGAGAGCTGGTTGTTAAAAAGAGCTTGGAAGCTCCATCACTCCCCCTCCCCCTTGCTCCCTCTCTTGCCGTGTGATCTCTGTGGTCTCTGCACAGACAGACCCTCCTTCCCTTCTGCCAGAGTGGGAGCAGCCTGAGGCCGTCACGAGAAATAGATGCTGGTGCCATGCTTCCAGTACAGCCTGCAGAACGGTGAGGCAAACCAATCTCTTTTCTTTAGAAGTTACCGAGGCTCAAGTGTTCCTTTAGAGCAACAAAAATGGCCTAAGACAGCAACTTCCTGAGATCAGGAGGAACGTCTCAGAACACCCTGGGCTGTCTTCCTGTTCTTCCTGGAGGACGTCATGCAGTGCTTTAGCTGAGTGCTTCCTGTGGCTCCAGGGTACAAAACCCAGGCTGGGCTGCTTTCTGGCTTCCCCCAGCTACACTGCAAATGGGGTGACTCCATATGTCCCGAGCAGCTTTTCTGAGCCTTGAGGGACTGGGTCACATTGAAATATAGGTTTCTGTTGTCACTCGCTGCTTATCTGTTAGTAATGAACCTGCCTATGTAACGTATTCTCTGTGTGTTCTGTCTCCCTGGAGTGACGGTGAGTGATAGGAATTGGCATAGGCCCAGGTGCAGTCCAGGAGGTGTTTAGAGTCTTCTCTGGGAAGACTGGACTGGGATTGATTCACAGCGAATGTGCTTTAGGGTTTCTACATCCACAGCATTCTTGAATCAAACAACTTGCATTCTCCAAGGAAAGAAAACAAAAGTGAAATCAAGATAAAAAAAGCGAAATAGAATTCTCTTATGTCAAACGGCCAGGAAATAGTGTTGAAGCCCGTGTGAAACCTGCTGCTCTTTGTGATCTCGGGAGACACATATTAGGCTGCTGTTCTACCCGAGAGGCTGGGGGAAGGACCACCCCCTCGGCCATCTATTGCTTCAAAACCACCTGTCCTCCTGTGAATTAGTAGGAAAGGGGAGCAGGAGCTAGTGCTGTCGCTGATCTCTGATTCCAAGATCTGGACTCACTCCAAGGAGTGTTAATGTTTACCTCCCCATGGTCTATCTGAATCTCCACAGGTGATTGGAAGTAGGGGTGAGGTGGGGGATTTGGGTGAGTGGGCAAGTTTTTTTTGTGATGACCAGAGCACTTTCTCTATTCCAGGATCTGTGCTGGAGGATTCAGCGGGCTTTCACATTTTCTATATGATCTCATGCTCACAGAAAGCCAAATAGGGAAGAGGTTTTAGGCTCATTGCCTAATGGATAAGATAAAGGATCAAAGAAGTAATTATAGAGAAATAGAAAAATCATGATTGGAATTC